>NC_000007.14:154639998-154953063 GCF_000001405.40 Homo sapiens | reverse complement strand
CACATTTTTGGCCACAGATTTTAAATATAATTCATGTTTATGTAAATAAATTAGAAGTGTATATATCTTAAAGTTCATGTAGTCTAATTTTACAGATGAGAAGACCCAGAAAAATAAAGATACTTAAGATTGCTGTTTATAGCAAAGCTAGAAGTAAAGTTAAAATTTTATGATTCTGTATATCTAAGGCAGTAAGACTCAGGAAAGAATAAATCATTAATCTGAAGGAAAGACTAAATCCTCAACTATGATATTCAGGCAATTCTTGTCATACAGGTAGTTATGCTCTATAAAGTTGCACAGACACTGAGTTAGTGAATGCTGTACTGTAGTCTCTGGGTAAACACGGGGTTAGGTTCCTGAGCGCCTCTGTTCACTACATTTTCATCAGCCAATCATATATAACCTTGTTTTATGTGTGTTTCTGTTTAAAGGTACCTTATTCAATGTATATTGTTAATTCACTGACATTGAACTCATGATCCACAGCACTGTAACTCACGCCTGCATGAAGCTTCCCTGAGACACATATTTTCTCCATAAGGCACATCACTGCCTTCTTGCACTTAGGGCTGTGGACATTTTAAACAGCAAAATCACCAACATAAAGCACACAAATTTGAAAGCAATAGCACTAAATAGATCACAAAAAGGATGCTTATTCACCATTTCAGCTGGAACAGGAAGGCAAGGCATGGCCTTGTTCCTCCCGGCTAGGAACGTTCATGTGGGTGACTGAATCTTTTCCAGTCCACGTACGTCCACAAATGGCCACCGAAGTGCCACAGACACTGATTGTGGGTTCATAAATAAATTTCAGAGGGGAGGAAAATTAGCAAAGAATCTGTGAAATAATGCGGCTCGCATGTACTAAGTGGTATTTAGAAATTTTTTTAATTGAAATTTTGAAAATTTTTTGACTCTAAAAAGGTATTAATGAAACATAAAACTTAACAATGAAGGCAGAAGAAGAACATAGTAGAAACAATTACTACAAACATTTTAGCTTCCAATTTCATATAATGTTATACAGTTTAGAAGGAGATAGTCTATTCGTTAATAGAAATAGTAAGTGTACTTTTTTAGCTTCTGCTGTGGGAGCATGGCATACACCAGCTTGGGTGGTGGGGAAAGCGGGTCTGTAATGTTCCAGCCTCTGGTTGGCTCCATCGGCTGCTTTTGGGCAACACCCAGCTTTAGAGATCTTTTTTGTTACTTTCTGACTTTGCTTATTCTTTTTCTTTTCCAACCAAGAACATGCTAATTCTTTGAAAATTAGTTTGCCAAGCAGCCAATTTAGTGAATGACCAATTTACTTAATTTTTCAAGTTTCAGTTTGTGAAAATGTGGTTGTTTTATCTGTATATAAAGTTTACAGTTCCTATTTAATGGGAAGTTTTGGTTGACTAGCTTTTATTTCTTTATGGCACTGTTAATAAGTATTTGCTGTGTTGCTCTCTGAGGGTTAGAAAGTGGTTGTTATAAACATTTAATACTGAGAAAACATTTCATATTTTATCTTCCATATTTTAGGATTTCCTAAGAGAATTTTTCCAGTTTATAATTATTGTTTTTTAAAAATAGACAATTTTTAGGGCAGTTTTAAGTTCACAGCAAAATTACAGAAAGTACAGTGAGTTCCCATATACCCCAGCCCATACCCATGCACACACACCGCCACCCCCACTACAGTCACCATCCCACACCACAGTGAAATGTTTATTAACTGTTAATGAAGCTACATTGACATTTGGGTCATAGTCACCCAAAGTCCATAGTTACATTAGGGCTTACTCTTGGCCAGTCACCCGAAGTCCATAGTTACATTAGGGCTCCCTGTTGGCCAGTCACCTGAAGTCCATAGTTACATTAGGGCTCACTCTTGGCTAGTCACCCAGAGTCCATAGTTACATTAGGGCTCACTCTTGGCCAGTCACCCAAAGTCCATAGTTACATTAGGGCTCACTCTTGGCCTTGAACAGTCATTGGGTTTTAACAAATGTGTAAGGACATGATTTTGCTTTACAGCGTCATATGGAGTTGTTCCACTGCCCTGAAAATCCTCTGTGCTCCACCCACTCATTCCTTCCTGCCTGCTGACCCCTGGCAACCACTGATCTTTTATTCTTTCTATAGTCTTGCCCTTTCCAGAATGTTACATATTGGGAATCATACAGTATATAGGATTTTCAGATTTGCTTCCTTTGCTTAGCAATATACGTCCCAGCTTCCTCCATGTCTTTTCATGGCTTCATAAAGCATTTCTTTTTAGCACTAAATAATATTCCATTGTCAGAATGTATCTGTTCAGCCCCTCACCTACACAAGGACATCTTAGCTGATTCTAAATTTTCGCAGTTAGCAGTAAAGCTGCTAAAACATCCATGTACAGGTTTTAGTGTGGACGTAAGTTTTCAACTCCTTTTGGTAAATCAACAAGGTTGCAATTGCTTGATCATATGGTAAGAGTATGTTTAGCTTTGTAAGAAACCGCCAGGCTGTCTTCTGAAGTGCCTGTGCCATTTTGCATTCCCACCTGCAGTGAATGGGAGCTCCTGTTGCTCCACATCCTCCTCAGCATATGCTGGTGTTAGTGCTCTGGGTTTTGGCCATTCTAATAGGTGAGGTCCAGGTTACTTCTTATTTCTTTCATGGATTGTGTCTTTGGTGTTGTATCTAAAAAGTCATTGCCAAACTCAAGGTCCCTTAGATTCTCTCCTGTGTTATCTTCTAGGAGTTTCATAGTTTTGCATTTTACATTTAGGTCTGTGTTCCATTTTTGGGTCAGTTTTTTTTAAAAGAGGGTAAAGTCTGTGTCCAGCTTCCTTTTATTGCATATGGATGTGCAGTTGTTCCAGCATCATTTGTTGAAAACACTCTTTTCTCCACCTGTTTTGGTAGGTGCATGTTTTTGGGATTTTATATTTATGTGTAACTTACATAAAATTTGAGACATCAATATTATAATCAATTTCTAGGATACTCATTTCTTTTGTACTTCCATGAAAAGTTTAATGTTCAGGTTGAGTCTTTACATTGCTACTACTAAGGTAACATAACCCTGTTTGAAAAAACCAAAATCTCAATGTCTCATCTGTGACAGGATCGTCTTAGCTGTATTACTGTATTTTTCAATATTACTTTCTTTTCTTTTTAAGACAGAGTCTCACCCAGTCTGTTGCTCAGGCTGGAGTAGAGTGGTGCCATTGGCTTACTACAACCTCTGCCTCCTGGGTTCAAGCCATTCTCCTGCCTCAGCCTCCCTAGTAGCTGGGACTGCAGGCGCCCACCACGACGACGCCTGGCTAAATTTTTTTGTATTTTTTAGTAGAGACAGGGTTTCACCATGTTGGCCAGGCTGGTCTTGAACTCCTGACCTCAAGAGATCCGCCCACCTCGGCCTCCCAAAGTGCTGGGATTATAGGCGTGAGCCACCGCGCCCGGTGGTGTTTTCTCTATCATAAACATTAACTATTCTTGGTGATCTCACACAAGTTCTTCAGAAGGCATATCAGCTTTGAAAGTAACACTTCAAATATACCATCTCATGTGTAACAGTACTTTTTTTGTTCCTTTTTTAATTCATCATTTTTTGTTTTTCCAAATTTTAGACATTCTTTTTCTCCTTTCACCTAAAAAGCAGCCTTTCTATCTGCTGGTTGACTCAGGGATTGATTTTGTATTTCTGGCCGTTGGTGAACAGATCCCTGCATTTCTGTCATGATGTGGTTGCTCCTGCCCAGCAGTCAGCAAACTGGTCCATACGCTGAAAATGGTTTTTACATTTTTTAAATATTGCTTAAAAAAGAGAAGAGGAATATGCAGGAGAAATAATACATAGCCCACAAATCCTAAAATATGTATCATCTTGTCAACCCCAGTTTGCCAATCCCAAATCACTTTTCCTTGTTTTCTGCTTTTGATGTATATATTATTGGGTTTGAGCTGCCTTATTATGCTGTATGGTTGGTAGGAAATGGCGGCGGAGGAGAAATGGTTTTCTGAATATGAGGCATATTTATAGGAAGATTGAAACATTTTGTGATCTTTACCTTTTGACACATTTCTTAAAATGTTGCTATGAAAACTGAAAATCTGTCAATTATTAATAATTGTCAGAAGTCTTTAAAAATTGATAAAACTATCCTTTATAAATTGCTGTATACTTTTATATACTTGAATGTGTGTTTGGTAAATCTTTAAAGTTTGGTAATTCACATAATTGATTATGAGCCAAATGACTCCAATGTCCTACAAGTCCTTGAGGAGTTAGTGTATATATATAACATATATATATATAATATACACTTGGATGGGATTATTTGAAGCTTGTCTTTCTAGGACTGGAGATTTTAACCTGAGATCTGCGGGCTTGGAAAGTTGGTGAACTTCCTAAAATAGTCGGGGGGTAAAGAGGGGAGGAGCAGCTATGGGAAGAGGGTTCATATTTTTCAGTAATTTTTTTTTTCTTTTTTTACATTTTTGTTGTTAAAAAAAAAAAAATTACTATTATTTTGAGACCAGATCTCACTTTGTTGCCCAGGCTGGGGTGCTGTGGTGCAATGATGGCTCACCACAGCCTCGAACTTCCCAGACTCAAGCGATCCTCCCACTTCAGTCCCCCGAGTAGCTGGGACTACAGGCACATGCCACCATGCCAAGCTGATTTTAAAATTTTTCTGTAGAGATGAAGTCTCACTGTGTTGCCCAGGCTGTTCTCGAACTCCTGGCATCAAGCAGCTTTCCTTCCCCGGCTTCCCAAAGTGCTGGAATTACAGGCATGAACCACCACACCCAGCCCGTTTTTTTCAAGAGTTTATGACCCCAAATGGTTAATTACCACTGATCTAGGAGAAAAAATACCTGTCTGTCTTTTTGGTCTGGCTGTTTTTAGAGGGAAGTAAATGAAATATAATGGTGACATTTAAATATCCGAAGGCTGTACAGGTAAATGTAGCTGTAATATTATGTACCTGAATATGGGCGAGAATTTTGTGGGTCACACTTGCCACACTTCACGTGTCCACACTTTTCAGAGTATGTGCTGTTCTGTTTTCCAGATGAGCAGAACTACATTCTCCGAGATGCTGAGGCAGAAGTACTTTTCTCTTTCAGCTTGGAAGAATCCTTAAAACGGGCACACGTTTCTCCACTCTTTAAGGTACACTTTAAGGGAAAAGTAAATCAGTCCAAGTAAGCATAACACACGGACCTGCTCAAGGGAACTACCAGGTGATTTGGTGGGAAGTGCGCCTCCAGGGGAGCTGGGCTCACCCTGCATCCCATTTACCTCTTGGCTTCCTTCTTGGACATTGCCACTGGAGGTCTTCCTCCTGTGAACCACAGCACATCTCTAGAGAACTTTTCTTTACTATAATGTTTAAAAATAAGTACACAAATTTAATAAATACATCTATGAGAAATAAGTTATTCAAAGAATAGGTTTTTGAGTAATTGGTTAAGAGGCATGTTCATTTTTCTGCTTTTAATAAATCTTTAGAGGACATCGCTTACTTCGTACTATTGTCAGTAAATGTATATTCAGCTGGAGAAGATACTTGGGAAAATATTCAGTGTGTGCATAGATATAATTCAGTACTAAAAGATTTTTAAATGTTAGATAAGTGTTAGAACAGCTAGGAATTTTTTTTGTACCAAAGAACTAAGTAAATCAATAAAGATAATCGGTTCTTTAACCTTCTTAAGGAGTCAACAGGAATTAGAAATTATTTGCAGTTTCAGACAGAATAGTATTTTGTGGTATCCTCAGGAGCAATCTTGTTAGATAATTAAATCTTAAGCATCAATATCATTTCCTGCTCTGAGTTCAAATAATATGGAGAAAATAAAGAAAAGGGATATAAGCCAGGCAGCATGCTATGCCAGAGGCTGTTGCTGGGCAGATAAGTGTGGTGAAATATAATGCTGATTTAAAATTGTATAGAAATTGTGAAAAATATTTGTAATATTCTTGCTTATTCACAAAACACTTTGTTTTAGGGACTTAAGTTCTGGTTACTTTAAATCATCTTCAGGCATACTTAACATGTGAAAATGCTTACATTCCAAATTTACATAGCTGGATTCCTCTTCCACTTCAGATTGAGTGCTAGTAGGAGAATAGTACCTTCATAATGTCATAAAATTTGAAATTTTGTCAAAAATCTCAGGGCAGAATCTATGAGAATTATGTACTCTAAAAATTAAAGCATTTTAAGAACATAATACATATATTTTCATTTAATTTTAGGCAAAATATTTTTACATCACACCTGGAATCTGCCCAAGTCTTTCCACTATGAAGGCAATCGTAGAGTGTGCAGGAGGAAAGGTGTTATCCAAGCAGCCATCTTTCCGGAAGCTCATGGAGCACAAGCAGAACTCGGTGGGTAGAGTGGAGTCCGCCAGCGAGTCCGTCATTGCCCTGTATCACATTCAGCGTTCGGTCACTGAGAAACTCATTTTCTTTTCCTTAGAGTTTGTCGGAAATAATTTTAATATCCTGTGAAAATGACCTTCATTTATGCCGAGAATATTTTGCCAGAGGCATAGGTACGTTTCCCCGCTTACCTGTGTGAGTATGTGTGCACGCACAGCAGTGGATCTCTAACTAAAGTGTCTGTTTCCACCCTGTTCAGATGTTCACAATGCAGAGTTCGTTCTGACTGGAGTGCTCACTCAAACGCTGGACTATGAATCATATCCTTTCCAAAAGAGAATTAAAAAGTAGACGGGTTAGATATGAAATGGATTTCCCAGGTTAATAAGGCAGTACCTTTCCTGTTTTGCAAGCCATTTTTCCTTTCTTTGCTATTGTGATTTATGCAGTGAACAATTCTTTTCTCTTCAGAATATTCATTTGAGTTGCTAGTAAAAATATTCTCTTAACTTACTGAGAGTTCAGTTTTAATAGGTGATGTTAATTAGAAAGGATCTATACTGTCTAGTTTATGGAGGTATTAAAGAATTTGACAATTAGATAAAATAGAAAATAATTGCAAAAATAAATATATGTTTCTTTTTATCAGCTCACCTTTGAGTTTGTAGTTTTCCAAATGAAATTTAGTTCGTATATAGTCTTTGTACTCAGGAACTTTGGGATGGGAGATAAATTACTACTAAATGGAAGCGGCAGAATGAATACTTCATCAACATGTCAGGAAAATGCAAAGGTCAGTCTTTAGAATATTGACACCTAGGCTTTTTTCTATTTCAGACATTCAGGAAAAAATAAAGCTCATCATCTGTTATTTGAATTCCTTATTAAAAATCTCTGAATTATTATTTTAATGTAGGAACAGCCTATCAGTGAAGCAAAACATGCCTTACAGGTCCTTATGGGAAAATTCTGTTTCCACTTCCGTTTCCCATTGCAGAGCACCTTCTCTCAGGGCTGTTCTCAGGACTTCTCCCTGGGCCTCCTGCAATGAGGCTGGAGCTCCTCCTCTCTGTGAGGGTGGGAGCCTCTGCCACCTCTGACCAGTGTCAACCTCAGTGGACCTTTCCTTAAGCAGGGGAATTTTGTGTTTGGGATAGGACTGCTTCAGTAAGGCGCAGAGGTCAGAATGATACCCATCCTTGCCGAGTTTTTTTTTCTTCGTGTGTGCCTGTTTCATCCAGGTAATTACATTTAAGTATATTTACATTTAAATACACTGACATTCATCCAGTTAATTACATTTATCAAACATTTTCCTCTTAACGCTAAAGAGCTTATGGTTATAATAGTAGACAGAAGACCTTGATATCACTGAGAGAAAAGCACTTTTAAGAAGTAAAATTTGGCCGGACGTGGTGGCTCATGCCTATAATCCCAGCACGGGAGGCCAAGACAGGTGGATCACCTGAGATCAGGAGTTCGAGACCAGCCTGGCCAACATGGTGAAACCCTGGCTCTACTAAAAATAGAAAAAATTAGCTGGCCATGGTGGCGGGTACCTGTAATCACAGCTACTTGGTGAGGCAGGAGAATCACTTGAACCTGGGAGGCAGGGGTTGCAGTGAGCCAATATCGCGCCATTGCACTACAGCCTGGGCAACAAGAGCGAAACTCTGTCTTTAAAAAAAAAAAAAAAAAAAAAGAAGTAAAATTTGCCTCAGTCCCAGAATCCAATGTCATGTTTAGCCATAAATAAATAGCCTGTCTAGTTGGAATGAGGCTTGGTGCAGAAACGCTCTTACCATTCATACCAGAGCTTGCTGTATTCCATACCGCCATCTATTAGAAAATTATTGTAGGAGCTACTGATAGGAATGATAAGAGGCCTGTTAAATTTTTACAGATATGCTATAAGCATTTGGTTTTTATACAACATGTACTCTTGCATTTTTTCCAGACTTTTTCCTAACATTCATGTTTGTATTTGTGAAAGCCTGTTCTACACTACATTTACTTTCAGAAGAAATTGCTTTAAAAGTCATACAGGAGACTTATGAGTATTACCTTGGGGGCCTTTTTTCATATCCATAGCTTGATGAATTTTGCCCAAAGTGGACGGTTTAGAATTGCAGAGGTCACTACCTGCTCCTGCAGGTATAAGTAGGAGTCAGCTATTTGTGGTGGGGCTTTGGGGATGTCAGCTCTTGGGGGTTGTGTGTTGTACATGTTAATTTAAAGGACATTTCAGCTATTGCTGGGCCTCAGTTCTGGCCGCATGGTGGATACCTTGCGGAGCTGGCACAGGTGCTGATGTCCCCGGGCTGAGTGAGCCTGTGTGTCGGGGCTGAGGGCCTCCTGTGATGTGGGTATGCAGCAGAGCGACTGGTTTGAATGGGTAAGAAAGAGGCTGTAGCATTCCTTCAAGGGTGTCTCTGAAACTGGATGATGAATGTTGGAACCCTTGGTTTCATGTTTTTCTTTTGCCTTGTGTTTGAAAGTCGTTTTCCTCAACAAGCCTACATATAAGTTTAACTGATGGCGTCTAGGCTGCCGTGCATGTCGACTCCTGCGGTGCGGGGCTGGCTGTCTGGCTGGCGAGGAGCTGCTGCGCTTCCTTCACATGCTCTTGTTTTCCAGCTGCTTTCCTGGGGGATCAGACTGTGAAGCAGGAAGACAGATATAATAAATATACTGCATCTTTTTAAGATGTGCAATTTTATTCTGAGGAAACATAAATTATGTTTTGTATTATATGACTTTAAGAGCCCACATTAGGTTTTATGATTCATTTGCCAGGTTTTTAAATGTTTTCACAAAACTGTTACGGGACTTCAACTAGAAATAAAATGGTGTAAATAAAGACCTTGCTATCTCTAAATTATGGATGTTAAAGATTTGAAATGTTTTGTACTTTGATTATTTTTATTTCTTATACTCTGTTTTCTTTTATATTGATATCTTGCCCACATTTTAAATAAATGTACTTTTGAACTTAGAATTGAGTAATCCTTTATTATTCCACATTTTTTGCATAACTTATAATTTGCATCAAACCGGATCACATTTTAAGTAATTTCAAGACAAAATATTTTCCAGTCAATTTTTACCTCAAGAAATAATTTCTAGAAGCCAGCCATTTTTTTTGTCACCGTAATAAACTCCATCCCAGGCAGGGGTGGATTCAGATTATTTTGCAATCACTAAGCACAGGCGCAACCAGTGAGAACCAGTGACGCTACGGAACTTGCATCCATCCTGCTTCTTTCCAGACCCTGTTGCAGTACACGTCTTGTTGGATCATAGGTGTGATAAAATGGTAGGAGACCGCCTGTTTATTAAAGATGAGCAGGGCAGTAACTGCTAATATCTTTAGATCGTGCTGACCAGTGCTGTCGCAGACATTCAGAGCTGTTTTTTAACCAACATTGTGCCTCAAAATATGTCTATTTTTAAGCTTATATTTTTGTGCTTAAATAAACTTAGATACTGACTTATCTTTGAGTAGATGTAGAACTGACCTTTTCCCCTTGTGTACCACAGGTAGAATTGGTGTTGCTATAAAATATTTTAGATTCTGTAGAATCCTGGCAGTGTGGAAGCATTTCATAAATCAGAATAGAGTTTTCATTTGCAAAGTATTCAAAGTACTTCCCTACTACTTAGAAGCTTGAAGGCAAGTGACAATCATTACAGAATAAATGGGCCTTCTGGGTAGAGTATAATGCGTCTGTTTAATCTTTGGTGGAGACAGGGTGTTTATATAACCAACATACAAATATGACTGATTTGATTAACCTTTCAATTAGTGCTTTTTTTTCTAAAGCTGCCAAGAAATGATCCTTAAAAACTCCAGGAGCTGTCTAAAGCCAACTGGCTTGCACAGCTGTTAAGCATTGATTTGGTGACTAAGAGGGACTTAGATGAACATATAAAAATAAAAAGATTTCAAGTAAATACTTCTTAGAAAAAAATGATTAGATCGGACAAATTATTTCTTACATGAAAATCTCATTTAATCCTATTTTCATCTGGCTCGGTGTCATCTAATAGAAATATAATGGGAACAATGTGTAATTTAAACATTTTTAGTAGCTACAATAAATGTTTTAAAATTAGTTTTAATATGTAGACAATACATCCAAATATTGCTTCTGCCAGAAGTAATCAATATTTTTAGAAATTACTGAGATATTTTTACTGTTTGAGGGATGCCAAGTCTTTAAAATCCAGTGTATATTTTACACTTAGACAACATCTCAATTCTGAAATTTTCATTGGAAGTACTTGATCTGTTTAGATTTCACACCACTTAGAGTTGAAAAAGGATATTATGTATGTTTATATACTCAAATTATTCAAAAGATAGTTAAGTGTCTTCCAATAACTGAATTAATGCCAGTTTTGAAGTTAACATAAAGTGCAATTAAAAAATGGAGGTCCTTCCCTTGCACTAGGTACTTTTCCAGCGTGCAGTGACCAGGGGTGGCTGATCATTGAGAAGATGAACAGCTGTCCATCACCGAGCTGCCACCTCAGTATACCCTGAATTCTGTAACACTGGCAAGTAAGAATGGCAAGCAATGTGAATGCCAATGATGAAGACATAGATAATCCATCCAAATCATCCCAAGATTGTTTCTTTGTGTAGGATAATTAAAAGTATCTACCTGATAGCTCACAAAAAGTGTGTTTTTAATCTATCTGCTAGGTATTGAGAGGAAACTTGGAAGAAATACTGCGTATCCTAGCTCTAGGAGTTTAGTCTCATTAGGAAAAGTTAAACAACATATGTCAATCTAGCAAATATTTGGTAATTTAAGGAAATATTTGAATAGTAATAGCTGCACAACTTTATTTTTAAGAAATATTTTAGCATAGAAAGTTAAATGAAGATAATTGTATCCTCAGCTCTTTAAACCTCAGTGCTGCTCCCCATGAAGCTCTCCCAAATTACTTTGTTGAATTAAAAAATAAGTGTGTAATTACGTACTAACTTTGTAGAAAGTTTAGCTACCTCCTGAAATGAACCACATGTGTCCCCGAAGAGTTTCTCTCGCCCACCGCCCAGCCGCTCCATCTCTGAACTTCAGTGTTGCTGGGCTTGCTCCTCAGCCGATTCCACCCTCTAGGGGTGCAGCTAAACACAGGTCACCTCTCCTTATTTCCAAGGTTTGTTCCTCCAACTGCAGAGCTGTTCATATCTACCTCTCCCCACGCTCACTGTGTTCATTTCTTTTCCTCTTGTAAATGTTAGCAAGGTTTTACATTTGTCTCCTTTTCTCCAGTCGCTTTCCTTTCAGGTTGACCTCTGTACTGTTCCAGGAGTAATTTTCCTGAAATAAGATTCTGTTTCTCATATTAATGCTAAAAAGAAAGAGTCCAAGATGAGATGTTTCACATCTTTTTCTTTTTTTTTTTTTTTTTGAGATCGAGTCTCACTCTAGTGCTAGCTGGAGTGCAGTGGCATGATCTTGGCTCACTGCAACTTCCACCTCCCGGGCCCAAGCGATTCTCGTGCCTCAGCCTTCCAAACAGCTGGGACTACAGGTGCGTGCCACCACGGCCAGCATCTTAATCTCTTGTAATGTCACCATCCCACCCCCTTACTCCCATTAGTCACATGGAATCAGTTGTGATTACCCAAGCTTGCCAAACACTTCACAGGCCTCTCTCACTTTATATGCTATCTCTTCCTATTAGAAGAACTCCCATTCCTATCTGGCAAGCTTTCCCCTCATTTAGACTGTAAGGCCTTCCTGATCTTTATAAACATTCTTTCTAGTTTCCTCCTCTTTGTGTCCTCAGCCCTCTCTGATACAATGGAATAGATGTCTTAGAGGTGAGTGGTTACTTGTTCGCACTCTGTTTCTCTCTGCGTTAATGAAGCCTCAGAGACAGATTGAGGCCTTCTTCACCTATGTTATCTGTGGTAGGTGGAATTATAGCCCCCCAAAGATACCCTAGACCAGCAGCCCCTTACCTTTTTGGCACCAGGGAGTGGTTTCATGGAAGATAATTTTCCCATAGATTGGGTAGGGGTTTAGGGTATGTTTCAGGATGAAACTGTTCAACCTCAGATCTTCAGGCATTAGATTCTCATAAGAAGTACGCAACCCAGATGCTTGGCATGTGCAGTTCACAATAGAGTTCGTGCTCCCATGAGAATCTAATGCTGCCAGTCATCTGATACGAGGCAGAGCTCAGGCGGTAATGCTCACTCGCCCACCTCTCAGCTGCTGTGCAGCCCAGTTCCTAATAGGCCGTGGACTCGTACTGGTACGTGACCTGGGGGCTGGGGAATCCCTGTCCTAGACCTAATCCCCAGAACCTGTGGCTTCTATGTTAGCTTAGTGGCAAAAGATACTTTGCAGGTGTGATTAAGGTTGAGGACCTTGAGATGGGGCGATGAGCCTGCATTATCCAGGAAGGCCCAAGCGAGCCATGTGAACCCCTCACAGTGGAAGAGGAAGGCAGAATTATCCAGGAAGGCCCGAGTGAATCACGTGAACCCCTCACAGTGGAAGAGGAAGACAGGAAAGTGGTTTGGAAAATGGGACCTTAGTCCTACAGATGCAAGGAACTAAGAGTGATTTTACTCCAATGAGACTCCACCAGACTTCTGACCTATAGAACTGTAAAACAATAGTTTTTAGTTGTTCTCATTTAAGCCACTAAATTTGTGGCAATTTGTTACAGCAGCAATAGAAAACTGACAGTATCCCAAATTTTTGTAGATTGCTTGGCATTTTATAGGCATTTGCTCAAAATGTGTTGAACTAAAATTATCAGAGGGAAAATAAGGAATAGTTTTAATTTTTTGTGGGGGGAGGGGATATAATAAAAACTATTCCAGAAAGATTAATTTGAAAGTAGACACAGTGAAGGCAGGTAAGTGAACAAAACATGTTGGATTCACCTCTATAAGAAGTAGTAAGACCTGGAATTAGGATAGACTTAGAGAAAAAGGGGGTGTTTCAAAGGAAAACAACATCGCTTTGTTCATGATTTAAACTAAAAATTTTACATTTGGAGAAAAGAAATTAGTGATAATGATATAAACAATGAACTTGGTAAGGCAGCCAGAGAAAATTTTATAGTGAAATTAAGGCTGCAATTTGGGTAAGCATGTAAGCTGAGTTCCGTTACTGGGGAGTTATCATAGTGGCATTAGGTAATTGTAGGTCAACACTCCCTAATTACCCTTTGTACTGCCAAGGACTGGGGCTTGAAGACCAATTCTCAGTGGTCAGTGGAAGATATCAAAGGAATGGTTGACAAGGTGAGATGAGAATTTTGATGGTATGAGACCTCAAGTGTTCAGGGAGACATTTGTATCTCTGGCAATATGGTGGGCAGCTACCTTGACTAGTTATCCTTCTGATAATGAAAAATGGTGACCTTAGATATAGAAAATAAACCCATGAGCTGGCAAAACAGGAGTACTCAGGCCAAGAACTAAGTAAAGATGAAAACTCAGGGACTAGCTAAGCACTGAGGCCATTGCCTTGAGAGCATTTGTCCAAGCAGCTGAACTTGAGTTTCACAGCCTCACTGTGGAGAAGGTAAGTGTTCAGGACCTGCCCAAAGTGAGGAGTGAAATAGAAGATCCTCCTTCCCTAAGACTGGAACCCCAAAGGGCTATGCCCTAGGTATAAATATGAAATAGAAATAAACATAAATCTGCCCCCAACAACCCTGGGAGTCACTGCCAGTCTTGAACCTTAGGGCTGCTGCACTAATTCACAATACGTGGATGGTCCAAAAACCCTTCAACCTCAGAATTTAGGCTAGTAGCACCCTAAAGCAATTGCATAAGGAATTACAAATCCTCCTTGGAGATACCCCCCTCCCCATCTTGGACTAAACACATACTTATCCCACAGAGAAAATAGCAAGGAAGCAAGGCATCATGAACAAAAATGGGCACACACCAGACACAGAAATAGGAAATAGAGCCACATAATTTGGAATTATGAGAGAACACAACAGAGTTAATATCTCCTGAGGCAGGCTTAAAATATTAGCAGGAAATAAGAAACTATGAAGAATGACCCAGCAGATTTGAAAAAGTATCAAAAGGAACATGTAGAAATAAAATATAATTAAAATATAAAGCTTAATGGGGTAGTTCACAGGTGACATGATCTTATATGTAGCAAACCCTAAAGGTATGTAGAAACCCTAAAGATACCACCAGAACAAACAAAAACACCAACCTGACAGAACTAATAAACCAGAAAATACAAAGTCAACACGAAAATCAGTTGTGTTTTTATATACTAACAATGAACAGTCTGAAAAGGTAATTAAAACAATTCCATTTACAATAGCATTAAAAAGAATAAAATACTTGGGAATAAACTTAACCAAGGAGGTGAAAGATGTGTATGCTGAAAACTACAAAATATTGATAAAAGAAATTAAAGAAGATACCAATAAATGGAAAGACATCCCATGTTCATGGATTGGAAGACTTGATATTGTTAAGATGTCAATACCAACCAAAGCAATCTATGGTTTCAATGCAATCCCTATCAAAATCTCAATGACGTTTTTTCCAGAAATAGAAAACTTGACCATAAAATTCACATGGAATCTTAAGAGTGAACAGCAAAAATAATCTTGAAAAAGGAGAACAAAGTTGGAAGTCTCACTTCCTGATTTCAAAATATTATAAAGTGACAGCAATCAAGACAGCATGATGTTGGCATAAAGACTTATTGACCACTGAAATAAAATAGAGAGTCCTGAAATAAACCTTTGCACATAGGGCCAAATGATTTTTGGCAAGGGTGCTAAGATTTTCAATGGGAGAAAGGACAGTCATTCTAACAAATGCTACTGGAAAAAACTGGATACCCACATGCAAAAGGATGTTGCTGGAACATTACCTTTCACCATGTGCAAAAATGAACTCAAAATGAATCAAAGTCCTAAAGCTAAGAACTAAAACTATAAAACTCTTAGAAGACAACATAGAAAAGCTTCATGATATTGGATTTGGCAGTGACTTCTTGGATACAACACCAAATGCATAGACAACAAAAGAAAATATAAATTGGGCTACACCAAAATGTAAAATGTTTATATATTAAAAGACAACAGAGTGAAAAGGCAACCCATCAGATGGGAAAGAATGTTTGCAAATCATATATCTGATAAAGGATTAATATCTGGAATATATAAGGAACTCCTATGACTCAACAGCTAAGAATCAACTTAATTAAAAAATGGGTAAGAGACTTGAAATAGACATTTCTCCAAAGAAGGCATATAAATGGACAATAAGCACATGAAAAAAAAGAAAGCTCAGTGTCACCAATCATTAGAGAAATGTGAATTAAAGTCACAATAAAATACCACTCCATGTTGGGAGAAAGGCTTATGGGGTGCCTGCATAAACTGGCCATAAAAATATGAGACAATAAGTTGCGGAAAGCCACAAGAGGCCTCTGAAGAAGAAAGCCTTCTTATAGCCACTATGTTCCCATGCTCTGAGCAAGACTTGCTCTCTTATCCATAAACACTGTGTTCAAGGAGAAAGACACTCCTATGAAGCATTAGAATGTGGCTAGATATGCAGGCTCCTAGTTAAGCCCGGTCCCAACAAGTAACTAAAGATATACTATTTGAGCACAAAGGAGATTCACTTAAACCGCCACTGCTATACATTACACGTATAACGCACTGTCTGCCTTTCCCCATTTCACCCCTGAACCCCTGCTTCTCAGATCTAAGTGATTGTACTCAATAAATAGTGTGGAAACCAGAGCTCTGAGCCTTTTGCAGCCTCCACATTTTGCACTGGCCCCCAGCTCCCCACCTTTCACTCTTAACTTGTCTCTTCTCATTCCTTTGCCGCCACCAAACTTTGGGTACCCGTGGGTGGCGTTGAGGCTGGACCCTAACAACTCCACACTCATTAGAATAACTACTGTCAAAAAAAAGCAGGAAATAACACATGTAGGTGAGGATTTGGAGAAATTGGACATGTGTGCACTGCTGTTGGGAATGTAAAATGGAAAACAGTATAGCATGCCCTCAAAAAATTAAAAATAGTATCAACATATGATTTAGCAATCCCACTTCTGGGTATATACCCAAAACAATTGAAAGCAGGGGCTCCTCAAGATATTTGTAAGCCCATGTTTATAGTAGCAGCATTCACAATAGACAAAAGGTGGAAGCAAACCAGGTGTTCATCATTAGATGAATGAATAAACAAATGTGTTCTATTCATACAAGGGCATATCATTCAGCCTTAAAAATATCACTCAGCCTTAAAAAGGAAGAAAATTCTAACACACACTACAACATGGATGAACCTTTGAAATATATTGCTAAGTGAAAGAAATCAGTTACAAAAGACACATAGTGTATGATTTATCCTACACTTCAAAATATAATGCTAAGTGAAAGAAATCAGTCACAAAAGGCAGATAATGTATGATTCCACTTGCATGAGGTTCCTAGAGTAGTCAAATATAAAGACACAGAAAGTAGAATGGTGGTTTCCAGGGGCTGGGAGAAGCGTGGAGAGTTATGTAATGGGCATAGAGTTTCAGTTTTAAGATGAAAAAAGTAATGGAGATGAGGTGGTGATGACTGCACAACAATGTGAATGCACTTAAAAGTAACAAACCTGTACACTTAAAAATGGTTAACGTGTTAAGTTCTGTATTGTGTATATTTCATCACAATTTAAAAACAAGGAAATGCAGAGCACTAGTTTAGCCAGTGAACTGATGACAAGGAGGTTGGCCAAGGGGAGATTCTGTTGGGAATTCATATTTAGCTCTTCCACAGGACTTTCTTTAAACTTCTCTTAAACCTTGTGTTCAAAACCTGATATGGTCTGTCTTTGTGTCCCCACCCGAATCTTATCTTGAATTGTAACCTGAAATGTAATCCCCACGTGTTGGGGCAGGGACTTGGTGGGAGGTAAATAAATCATGGGAGCAGTTACCCCCATGCTATTCTCATGATAGTGAGTGTGTTCGCATGAGATCTGATGGTTTTATAAGGGGCTTTTTCCCCTTTGCTCAACACTTCTCCTTTTGGGCACCATGTGAAGATGGACGTGTTTGCTTCAACTTCTGCCATGATTGTAAGTTTCTCGAGGCCTCCCCAGCCCTGTGGAAGTATAAGTCAAACCTTTTCCTTTATAAATTACCCAGTCTCCAGCAGTTCATTATAGCAGTGTAAGAATAGGCTAATACAGTAAATTGGTACCACAGAGTAAGGTGCTGCTATAAGGATACTCAAAAAATGTGGAAACAACTTTGGAACTGGTAATAGACAGAGATTGAAACAGTTTGGAGGGCTCAGAAGAAGACAGGAAAATGTGGGAAAGTTTGGAACTTCCTAGATACTTGGAGGGTTCAGACGACAAGGAGATATGCGAAAGTTTGAAACTTCCTAGAGACTTATTGAATGGTTTTGACCAAAATGCTGATAGTGAGGTGGACAATGAAGTCCAGGCTGAGGTGGTGTCAGATGGAGGTGAAGAACTTGTTGGGAACTAGAATGAAGTTGACTCTTGCTATAGTTTACCAAAGAGACTGGTGGCATTTTGCCCCTGCCCTAGATATCTGAACTAGAGAGGGATGATTTAGGGTATCTGATGGAAGAAATTTCTGAACTTTAGAAATTTCTTTAGAATTCTGTTTTAGAATTTTGACTTCTAAAGCAAAGCATTCAAGAGGTGACAGAGCATAAAGTTTGGGAAATTTGCAGCTTGACAATGCGGTAGAAAAGAAAAACTCATTTTCTGGGGAGAAATTTAAGCCAGTTGCAGAAATTTGCATAAGTAACGAGGAGCCAAATGTTAATCACCAAGACAATGGGGAAAATGTCTCTGGGGGATGTCAGAGACCTTTGCAGCAGCCCCTCCTATCACAGGCCTGGAGGTCTAGGAGGCAAAAATGGTTTCATGGGCCAGGTCCAGGGCCCCCCTGCTGTGCGCATCCTGAGGACTAGTTGCAATGCATCCCAGCTGCTTCAGCTCTAGCTGCGGCTAAAAGGGGCCAAGATACATGCTCAGGCAATTGCTTCAGAGGGTGAAGCCCCAAGCTTTGGCAGCTTCCACATGGTGTTAGTCCCTCAGGTGTGCATTAGACAAGAATTGAGGTTTGGGGACCTTCACCTAGATTTCAGAGTATGTATGGAAACGCCTGGATGTCCAGGCAGAAGTCTGCTGCAGGGGTGGAGCCCTCATGGAGAACCTCTGCTAGGGCAGTGCTGAAGGGAAATGTGGGGTCAGAGCCCCCACACAGCATCCCCACTGAGGCATTGCCTAGTGGAGCTGTGAGAAGAGGGTCACCATCCTCCAGACCCCAGAATGGTAGATCCACTGATAGCTTGCACCATGCACCTGGAAAAGCCAAAGACACTCAAAGCCTGCCGTGAAAGCAGCTGGCGGGGGGTGGGGGGCTGTACCCTGCAAAACCACAGGGGCAGAGCTGCCCAAGGCTGTGGGAGCCTACCTCTTGCATCAGCGTGACCTGTATGTAAGACCTGGAGTCAAAAGAGATCATTTTGGTGCATTAAGGTTTGATGACTGCCCTATTTGATTTCAGAGTTGCATGGGGCCTGTAGCCCCTTCATTTTGGCCAATTTCTTCCATTTGGAACAGGCGTATTTACCCAATGCTTGTACCCGCATTTATCTAGGACGTAACTAACTTGCTTTTGATTTTACAGGCTCATAGGTGGAAGGGACTTGCCTTGTCTCAGAAGATACTATGGACTTGGGCTTTGGGGTTAACGCTGAAATGACTGAAGAGTTTGGGAAATCACTGGGAAGACATAATTGTGTTTTGAAATGTGAGAAAGACAAGATTTGAGAGGGGCCAGTGTGTATAATATGGTCTGGGTCTGTGTCCCCACCCAAATCTCATCTTGAATTGTAATCCCCACATGTTGGGGGAGGGACCCAGTTGGAAGTAATTGAATCATGGGAGCAGTTACCCCCATGCTGTTCTCATAATATTGAGTGAGTTCTCATGAGATGTGATGGTTTTATAAGGGGCTGTTCCCTCTTTGCTCGATGCTTCCCCTTCCTGCTGCCATGTGAAGAAGGACATATTTGCTTCACCTTCCACCATGATTGTAAGTTTCCTGAGGCCTCCCAAGCCCTGTTGAACTGTCAGTCAATTAAACCTCTTTCATTTATAAATTACCCAGTCTTTGGCAGTTCTTTACAACAGCATGAGAACAGACTAACACAAAACCCAACATCCACATATAGAATTAAATAATAGGCCAATGTACCTCTGTGTATGTGTGTTACTGTGTGTGTGTGTATGCTTTTTTTTCTGTGTCTTTTATCATACTAAAAAAAAATTTGGCCTAGAAAAGATTTAAAATTTACCATGGTAAAAAATAAAAACCACCAGCCATAATGCCTGGAGAAGGATGTGTGAACTGATGGTGGAGGGCCCTCCAAGAATCTGTGCCTCCGTAAGAGAAGGGACGTAGCATAAGCTGTCAAAATCCACTTTTTCAGAACTCTGGATATTAACAATAGGATTGGAACAATTCAGAGTGTTAGTTAAAGAAAATGGCTGAAACTCAGTAAACAGCAGGCTTTGTGGAATTTTAACTTTGCCTCTTCCCCAGTCCCACCCCCTCAACCACCATCAGCTCTGCAGCAGCCTTGAAAAACAGCAGCCTTGGAACTGTGGTAGTAGTGAAAACCAACAGCCTAATGGACGGACTAGAGGGGCAGGACAGCTTCAGAGCCCCAAAAACCTCATTCCCAGAGAATCATCAATCTTTCTCCTGGGCTGGCAGCTCCTATTCAAGCCCCATTCACAAGGCTCACCTTTATTTGACCTGATTCAGATCTCCCAGTGAGGAAAGCCCCATCCCCAGGGTGTTTGTGAAAATCAATCAGCACTAACTGTTCAACATCCCAGCTGTCAAAAGTGGTGGTGCCACTTAGGGCAGATAAGAAATTGGATATAAAAGGCCGGGCATGGTGGCTCACACCTGTAATCCCAGCACTTTGGGAGGCCAAGGCGGGAGGATCACAAGGTCAGGAGTTCGAGACCATCCTGGCTAAAATGGTGAAACCCTGTCTCTACTAAAAATACAAAAAATTAGCCAGGCGTGGTGGTGGGCACATGTGGTCCCAGCTACTCGGGAGGCTGAGGCAGGAGAATGGCGTGAACCCAGGAGGTGGAGCTTACAGTGAGCCAAGATCGTGCCACTGCACTCCAGCCTGGGTGACAGAGCGAGACACCGTCTCAAAAAAAAAAAAAAAAAAGAAAGAAAAAAGAAATTGGATATAAAACTTACAAGGAAAGTCTAGGGACAGAGATATTCTTAGGGGCTTTGAAAAGCTCCAACTTATTCCTGGGGGATTAGAAGGCCTCCTGTGTGCACGGCTGCATGCAGGCCCAAGAGAGACCAGGAAGGCCCTAAGTACTTACTCCAGTGGCTCTTGAGGGTCTGATCAAGCAGGAGTGAAGACTAAGGTGGAGTTGTGAATTGCAGGGACATTGAAGACATACCCTAACAAACAGCCCATGAGCAAGGGGAGGCTTATTGGTTGAAGGCATTTAAGGAATTCTCTGTCCAATCATTAGCTGACCACTAAGCTAACCAAGTAAATACTTTAGTGGCTGCACACAAAAAAGAATACAGACTTTACAATACCAATCCAGAAACATCACTAAACAAATAAACCACCACCACAACAGCAATCACAAAAACAGCAACAACTCTAATTTCCAGAGTCGATATATTATTTAAAGTGTCTAGTTTTCAACCAAATAATTAGGAGACACACAAAAGAACAGGCAAGTATGGCCTATAAACATAAAAAAGTAGTCAAAAGAAATTGTCCCAGAGTAAGCCCAGATGTTGGACTTATTAGACAAAGACATTAAACCAGGTATCAAAAACATGTTCAAATAAAAGAACTATGTCTAAAAAAATTAATGGAAGATATGAAAGTTATTCCACACCAAATAGAAAAAAAATGTCATTTGGAAATTATGATGAACAATAAGAACATTTTGTTATATATATTCAATAATAAATCTATCTATCTATCTATGTATCTACCTACCTATCTATCTATCTATGTTGGACCAGCAATTCTATTTCCAACAAAAATGTGTACACATATTCATCCAAAGACATGCAGCAGCCCCAAACTAGAAACAATGTTAAATGTCCATCTACAGTAGAATGAAATAAATACTATTATAGTAATGCAATAAAATATTATAATAACAATAAAAAGAAATGAACCATTGGTACAAACCACAATACAGATGAATTCCACTGGGAGAATATCATACAAAGAAGTTAGACAGAAAGTAGAAATACATACAATATGACTTCATTTATATAAAGTCCAAAACAGGAGAAACCACTGACAATACAAATCAGAGTTTTAGTTACTTTTGGGGAGGAGTGTGAGATTAGTGACTAGTAAGGGTGCATACATAGTTTCTGGGATGCAGGCAATGTTTTCTTCACACAGTTGGTGGTTACATGCGTGTAGTCACTCTGTGATAGTTCATACAATGCTATAATGTGTATACTTTTGTTTGCTGTACTTCAATAAAGAGTTAGTTAAAACAACAACAAAACACTTCTGTTTCTAGTATCTCAGGAATTGGAAAATTATAGTCCCTGGGCCAAATCTGGCCACCTGCTATTTTTGGAAATAAAATGCTAATGCGACCCAGCCACACTCATTCATTTACAGATTGGCTATGGCAGCTTGCATGCCACTACAATGCAGCGTGGATTTCATGGCCTGCAAAGCCTGCAATATCTACTACCCAGCCCTTTACAGGAAAAGTTTGTCGATCAGTGCTCTAGCCAGGCCTTGCTCCCATTCTTCAAACTGGCTCTTTCAAGCCTTCGTTCTCAAACTCAAATGCCAATCAGACTTTTTTTTCTCC
The DNA here is from genome assembly GCF_000001405.40 of Homo sapiens. Lineage (NCBI taxonomy): Eukaryota > Metazoa > Chordata > Mammalia > Primates > Hominidae > Homo > Homo sapiens. Next base: position 154,930,762 of record NC_000007.14, on the reverse strand, counting down.
CAGCAATTTTGAATTAGGACACAGAAACTGACTGGGTTAGGTGTTGTAGAGAGCAAAGCTGGGAGGTCACATGAAATGGAGGGCTGAGGCTGCCATGCGTCAATAAACACGATAGGAGGTGTGCAGAGTCTCACGTGCAGAGAGGAAGGTGAGTCAGGCCTGCAGGGCACAGGCAGGAGACCAAGAGCTCTGCAAAGGTGCTGAGGAAATCAGAGCGGGGCATCCTCCCTCTGCTTTCCAGGACTTGGGAGGCTCAGTCCTCTATTCCTGCAGCTAGTGTCATGAGCTTTCCCCAGCACAAACCCCAAACCCTTATCTTTGTAGTTCTTCGAGTGGCACGCCTTGTTACTGATGATCGCTAAGAGGAACATGGTGTTCTTCAGGCTGGGGAGAGGGCTTGATGCATGGTACATGAGGAAGGCAGTGCTCTCCAGCCAACAATAAACAAAGAAAAATTAAAACATGGATGCTTTGGTTGCCAAGAAGAAATGAAAAAGTAACATTAAGATTCAAAGACTTTTTTTTCATATCAAGACCCTCAATAAAAACCAATTTCAGCCAGGCATGGTGGTGCGCACCTGTAGTCCAGCTACTCAGGAGGCTGAGGCAGGAGGTTCGCTTGAGCCCAGGAGTTTGAGTCCAGCTTGGGCAACAGAGTAAGACCTCTTCTCTAAAATAATGAAAAATCTAACAATGACATTTTGAAAACTTTCAGAATTATTTAATCTGATTAGCCTAATCTGTATATTGAGATTAGTAAAGGTAGGTTTTGTTTTGTTTTCCAATCAGGAATATCCTCGCCTCTCCGTCCCCCCTGTATATACCTGGGAGCCTGAGAATGTATTTTAGTGCTACCATGGGAGGAAGGAGAAAGAATGACTAAATGGTTCATAAAACCAAACAAACCCTGAAGGTTCACGCCATTCTGCCCAGTGGGCCCTGTGGAACTTCGTGGGGCTTGTGGTTTAGGCTTCAGAGCTTTGGGGCTTCTGGGGTTTCTGTCTATATTATTCCTGCCTGGATGACATAGTGAGGTCTTCACTGCTGGAGAAGGGAGGGCTGGTGGGCCAGAGGGGAGACCCTGCAGAGGTGTGCAGTGTCCTTCTCTGCTGTTCATCTCAACCCGCTGTGTTAGGAAACCAGGAGGAAGCCCTACCTGGAATGAAACAGGTGCCTAGAATGAAGAGGGTAAGGACAAGGTTTAAGACTGTGACACCTGTTGCTTAAGAGACGCATTTAGGAGTGTGGCATGTAGATCCCAAATGTCCGTTTTGTAAAAGTTGTTGTTATTGTTTCACTTTTGTTGTTGTTGTTTGTTTGTTTTGAGATAGAGTCTCACTCTGTTGCCCAGGCTGGAGTGCAGTGGTGCAATCACAGCTCCCTGCAGCCTCAACCACCTGGCTCAAGCACTCCTCCCACCTCAGTCTCCCGAGTAGGCGGGGCCACATGTGTGCACTGCCATTCCTGGCTAAGTTTTCTTTTAATTCTTTGTAGAGACAGGGTTTCCCTATGTTGCCCAGGCTGGTCTTGAACTCCTGGCTTCAAGCAATCCTCACACTTCAGCCTCCTAAAGTGCTGGGATTACAGGCGTAAGCCACCACGCCCAGCCTGTTGTTATTGCTTTGAAGGAGTTCAGGAAATGCCACCCCCATGGCACTTGGGAGTGCTGATCCCTGTGAGCTGAGGGCACTTGGGAATCAGCGGATGCAGGCAGAGGTTTCCTCTGAGCTCCCCTTACCTGCCTGAAGACGGATCCTCCAAAAGGAACTCAGCTGTCATGAATCGCCTCCCCAGGAATCTCGTCAATCTGGGAGGATTAACACAGATCACAGGAGAGGACACTGGAGGTGACATCAGCCCAGATGACTATCACCCGTTCTCCCGAAGGCGGCTCTGAGATGTTTACGACCTCAGAGACATTTCATCCACAGAGCAGCACAACCTTTACTCACCAGACAGTCCCTCCCCAGGCTCTCCCATCACTTGTGTTCTCACCTCCCCTGGAAGCCCCGGGAACTTCGAAGTAGGCTTCTGTGGACTCCTGCCACTTCATCAGTAGCTGGGGCCCTGGTACCAGCACAAACTGCTTGCATCCAACTGACTTCACCAGACATACGGGCGTCTTTGGTAAGACCGCTCTCAGGTTTTGAATCTCCCAGGTTTGGGCTGAGATTCAGATTTTATTTAAGTAAATGAATTTCATGCTCAGTGGGACTGATATTGAAGCCGCCATTTAGGGCTTTAAGGCAGGAGTTTCGCGTCATTTCTCTAAAGATTCTGCTATTGGCAGGTTTGTGGTTTCACTTTTCTATTAGGTTAAGTTTTCGTTCGTCTTACTTGCTCTTTTGTAACCTTTTCTCTCATTGGACATTTTACTTGCTCAAGTTTGTAACCTTTTCTCTCATTGGACATTTTTTTACTTGCTCAAGTTTGTAACCTTTTCTCTCATTTGACATTTGGTTAAAGAGAAAGCAGTTTTCTTTGTAAAAGGAGAAAGTGAATGTTTGTGGCTTAAGCCAAATTTGTGGCTTTAAACCAGCCAGGCTTTGGATCTTGGTTAACATTGAGATTTAAAGTTTCTTCCTGAGTCACCCAAAATTTGTAAAAGGTTGGAATGAGGACGTGATAAGCTGAAGACAAAAAGGACTCTTTCTCCCAGCTGAAAGGCACCTTAGGCAATGGAGGTAACACAAGGGTGTGGAAGCTCACAACAAACCCCAGAGAAGAACTCACAGGGAGAGCTGCTTAACCCCCGGGGCACACAACACACAAGGGGTTCGTCACCCAGTGCCTTGAACTCCCAGAAATGTCTGGGTTTCTCTGAGGTAGGTAAGAGGGAAGAAGCTACTTGTAGGTGATACCTCCAGGAATAATCCCTACTAAGCAGCACACTGGACCCCAAACACTTTTCCCTTTTAGCCTTTGGGCATTTTAAAAGAGAATCCAAATTATGAGCAATTATCCATCTATAACCAAGCCCTCATTAAGCAATGCACCTTTGGAAACTCCAGCGGGGTTTATGTACAAGACTTATGGCGCCACCTCCTGTCGATAGTTGGAGAAATGGTCTTATTTGACCTAAGAAGATCCTAAATTACAATGATCAAAGAGAATTATCTTTGAAATAGCTAGATTAGTTTATTTATATGCACAATTTTAAAAAGCCAGCTATGGAATCAAATAAAATAATTAAGAGAGTTACTTCCAATGGCACCCAGAAGCATCCAAAAGAGGTTTTGACAGAATTCTTCCCTTAGAGGAAGAAAATAAAAAGCACTCTAAAACCATTACTGAATTTTAAAAAACACTGAAATGTCTTCTTCTCTCCCTGCTCCCCTGTCTCTCTAAGCCTCCTTGTCAGAACTACCCAGCCCTGATTGACCTTCTCCTCCTCCTCCTCCTGCCCCTCCTCCTGCTCCCACTGGTTTGGCTCCATTTCATCCAGCATCTGGTAGAGGGGAACCTGCTTTATCAATCATGATCAAACTTACAGGCATAGTTAAAAGAATTCCTTGATCTTCACCAGGTTCCTATTGGTTTTGCTAGGAAATTTGAATTAAATATCCAAGCTTATGACCCTAGTTATTCTGACTTCTAGCAACAGATTCACATGTTAGTAGCAAAAATTAAAGCTAAAGGCTGGCTAGACAAAGCTCACTGGAGAAATCTGTTAGGGATCTTCATAAATGTTCAGAAGAGGACCATAGACAGGCTTGAAGAACAGCAAAGGCTTTGCATCAGGCTATCTCCTCAGTTTTTCAGAGTAGTCAACTGGAACAAAATACAATATCAACAAAATTCAGATGAGTCAGTAATATACTTTGAGGGCTGTGGAAAAAATTTTAAAGAATATTTAGTTTTATCCGAAGAAAGCTGTGCTAATCATCGAAATGATACTCGACTCCAGTTTAACAAATGAGTTAGATGAATTGGAACTAACAATGAAAAGACAAAGTTGGGCCACTTCTGATACTCATGATTTGGTCAGTCTCATTGACCGGTTATCTGATACCTTAACTGAAGAAGAAAGAGAGAGGGAAGCCAAACAAAAGAGCGAGGCTAATACAATTATGAATTTACAATTAAAACAACTATTCACACAATTTTGGCCTTCACAATACCCCTAGAAACTCCCTAATGGACCTAACCTTCCACTTTGCAATTTTTGCAAAAAGCATGATTACTTTCAAAAGAGTTGCCAAAAATGAAAAAGGAAAGAATGTTAACCAGTGGAGGCAGAAAAGAAAACAGGGGTGCTCCAAGGAACTTAAAGGGGCCTTTCATTTCCTCCTTACTAACACTGGGAGAAATAAAAATTATTATAAATGGAGAACTAACACAAGCACTTATTGACACTGGAGCCACATTATCTGGAATTAATCCCATCTTGGTACAAGGTCCCATTCCTTGCAGTAAACAAAGAATTCAAATGGTGGGCATCACAATCCTCCTGTATTGGCATACCAATCTCAGCCTGTAACCTTTCAACAGTGTTCGTTACAAGGAACTCATGCCCTCCTCTTTGTTCCATCAGACCCCATCCATTCAACAGGAAGAAACTGCTTAGAATTATGTGATACCCACATTTCTTTCTCTCAAAGGAAGGAAATATATTTAAAATTAGATTATAAAACTCAACTTTGAGACACAACAGATATTTTAATAAAATTTTCAAAATCTAATCCAATTGCAATCCATATTGCCATGAAAGACAATGAATTATTGCTTAATGAAGAATTACAAAATGTACTAAAGACAGTACTTGATCCATTGTGGTCAGTGTCCTCCATTGATATAGAAACTATCATCTCAGCTACTCCAATAAATATTTAAATATACCCATGGAAACATCTTCAAAATACAAGACAATACCCCTTGAGAACTAAAGCTCTAGGAGGGATAAAGCTTATAATGTCAGATTATATAGAAAGATGACTGTTCATTCCTTGTACAAGCCATTGTAATACCCCAATCCTCCTGGTAAGAAAACCAAATGTTAGAGAATGGAGGTTTGTACAAGACTTGAGAGCAATAAACAACATGGCAATCCCATGGCACCCTATACTGCACAAGCCTATGTTACTCACAGCCATTCCTTCTAATGTGGAATTCCTTACAGTCATAGACTTATGTAGTACATTCTTTAGCATTCTTGTAGACAAAAATAGCCAATTTCTCTTTGCCTTCACTTGGGAAAACAGACAATACACTGGGTCACACAGGCCTCCAAGGATATGCTGAAAGCCTGACTTACTTTTCAAAAATATTAAAAATAGGCCTCTCAGATGTTAATTTCCTGGAAATGCATACATTAATCCAGTAAATAAATGACTTCCATCTTGGAGAGCAAACAAGATGTTCTGTGAATGATGGGCTACATTTATTACAAAAGGCAGCCCTAAGAAAACAAAGTCTCTAAAGAGAAACTTCAATTTTGTCGAAGACAAGTGATATACTTAGGCCACCTAATATCCAAGGAAGGATGTTTTATTAATTCAGACAGACTAGAAAGGATCTCAGCTTTTTACAACCAAGAATGAAGAGATGGTTGAGTGGGATTTTAGGACTGGCAGGATATTGTAGAAATTGGATTCCAAATTTTTATTTAAAAGCCCAATCCTTATATGCCCTCCTTTTTGTTTTTAAGACAGAGTCTCACTTGGCTAATTTTTGTATTTTTACTTGAGACGGGGTTTCACCATGTTGGCCAGGCTAGTCTTGAACTCCCGACCTTCATTGATCCACCCATCTTGGCCTCCCAAAGTCCTGGGATTACAGGCATGAGCCACTGCGCCCACCTTCCTTATATGCCCTCTTAATAGAGAACTTTAAACCCTCTAGACTGGATAAAAGAAAGTCAACTAACATTAGAAATGACTAAGAATGGTCTTGCCAATGCCTCTTCTTTGGGGCATGTAAATTATAACCTCACATTTTCATTGTTTGTACATGAAAATGATGGAAATGCTTTAGATAATCTGACTCAGAAACATGAAGGCTGAAATAGACCTGTAGGGCATTACAGCCAACAGTTAGGCCCGGTAGCCAAAGGATTGCCTCTTTGCATGAGAGATATAACAGCAACCACCTTGTTCATTAAGATGACCCAAGGAACTGTGGTGGGAACTCCCCTTACTGTTTTTATCCCTCATTCTGTGGAAGCATCACTAAACTCACACCACACTGGACATTATTCAATTAGTAGACGAGCTTCACATGAGTTTTACTTCTTTCAGCTTCTCCTATCACCATCTCCAGGTGTAACCTAAATCCTGACACTCTTCTGCCTTCATTTTCAGATGAAACACTGCATAATCACATAGCCCCAGTTGATTGGCTCCTCTTTCCTAGGACTGACTTGCAAGAGACTCCACTGATTAATGCTGATGTTGTTTGAGTTACAGGCAGCTCTTATTTAAAGGATGGATCAGGGACTTACCGAGCAGGTTACACAACAGTATCTTCAACTGAAGAAATAGAAAGGCTTACCTTCCAGAAGCCACCTCACATCAACAAGCAGAATTGCATTGATCAGGGTTTGTCAGTTGGCGAAAGGAATAATTGTTGATAATATTCATTACTAATATTCAGTAAATATGCTTTCAGAGTAGCTCATGATTTTGGAATGCTATGGAAACAGAGGATTTTTCACCTCTTCTGGTCAATCCATAAAAAATGGACACCTCATTTCACAATTGTTGGGAGCCATATTATTACCAAAGTCACTGGCCATAATTAAAATTCCAGGCCATTCTAAATCAAACACTCCAGAAAGCAAAGGAAATCAGCTAGCTAATAAGGTAGTAAAAAGAGCTACTGTAAATGTATCTAAACAAGAAAAATAATCTACAGTAATCTTAAAAGAAACACCTGCATTTGTATAAAATTACCTCAATCTGGGCTCCAAAACCAGAACATAAAAGTTGGAAAGCAAAGAGGGGGAACATACTCCCCCAAAGACGAGGTATGATATGGATCAAACAACATGCTTCTACTTCATGCTGAATTTTTGTTATCATTTCTAACTTATGCACATGACATAACTCCCCAGAGCCTGACAGAGTGATTGCTTGAGGGAAACGATATTTTGGAAACCTTCTCTGACTGTAGCACACAGGATGTACAGTTGTTACCTTTGCCCCCAAAATAATCCAGGGAGGCCTCTGTCAAAGTATGGCAATTACATTCCGTCCAGTTGCCGCTCTCACAAATATACACATATATTTTGGTAATGATTGGCATGTTTTCTCATTGGGTGCAGGTGTTTCTATGTAGAAGAGCAATGACCTTAGGGTGAGTACAATTCTCTTAGAAAACATTATTGCAGCCTGGGGAGTTCCTCTGGAGCTTCATAATGACAGAGACACTGGGATCACTGGATAAGTCATCCAACCAGTACGTTAAATTTGGCCCATTCTCCAGTATTTCCATTGTGTTGACCACCCCCAGTCATCTGGGTTAGTGGACCACACAAACAGAATAATCAAAGCTCAACTGGCAAAATTAATGGAGGTCTTTCAAATTCCTTGGCTAAAAGCTCTTCCACTGTTTCTGCTTAATCTGAGGTCGATCCCTTTTGGTAAACACCAGTTATCTCCATTAAAAATTACAGCAGGCAGATCTATAGCCTTTAATAGTAAAGGAGACATATTTAGCTATTGCAATGGCTTAATGAGGCAATTAACTAAAAATTATGAATCGGTAGAAGAATCTTTTCACAGTGAGCTCCTGGGAGAAGAAAACTTCAAAGACCATGGACTTGACCCACGAGATTTCATCTATTGGACACAACATTTCTTAAATAACTCTCTTCAACCAAAATGGTATAGACCTTATTGAGTACTGCCTGCTAAACTTTGTGCTGCTGAAGTAGAAGGCAGTTAACACTTCTCATCTAAAGAAGACTATTAGTTCGTTCTTGCATTGCTATGAAGAACAACTTGATACTGGGTAATTTGTAAGGAAAAGAGGTTTAATTGGCTCTTGGTTCTGCAGGCTGTACAGGAAGCATGGCTGGGGAGGCCTCAGGAAACTTTCAATCACAGTGGAAGGCAAAGGGGAAGCAGGCATGTCTTACATGGCCAGCAGGAGGAAGAGAACACAGGGAGGTGCTACACACTTCTTTTTATGAGATGGAGTCTTGCTCTGTTGCCCAGGCTGGAGTGCAGTGGCATGACCTCAGCTCACCACAGCCTCCTCCTCCCGGGTTCAAGTGACTCTCCTGCCTCAGCTTCCCAAGTAGCTGGGATTACAGGTGTGTGCCACCATGCCCAGCTGATTTTTGCATTTTTAGTAGGGACAGGGTTTCACCATGTTGGTCAGGCTGGTCTCGAACTCCTTACCTCAGGTGATCTGCCCACCTTGGCCTCCCCAAATGCTGGGATTATAGGTGTGAGCCACCCTGCATGGCAGTGCTACACACTTTTAAACAACCAGATCTTGTGAGAACTCAGTCACCATCACAGAACAGCAAGGATGAACTCCGTCACCATGATCCAATCACCTCCCACCAGGTCCCTCCTCCAACATTGGGGATTATACTTGGACATGAGATTTAGGTGGGGACACAAATTCAAACCATATCAAAGGCTGAGACTCTAGGTTGGACTTTTTCCCCAGAAGGTGACCTCTGACTCAAAATAGTTGATGCCAGGCAGAGAAAAAGATGGCATTTGACATAGACAGCTGAAACCCAAAATGCTAGACAAACATTTAATACTAAGTTGTTAATCTATGGAGAAGATTTTCTTTTATAAGCTTCCACTGAACTTCCTTCTAGTATCCTTAGTCCTTATGTGACGGCATGACTATCAGCCTGTTTTTGCAATGGGTCCCAGGCTGTGCTGGTAGATTACAAAATGACGCTTGCTGGATATGTGGTCCCTTTCCAGTGGGTCTGGCCTACCATGGTGGGCTTTTCTTTTCCAAAGGCAAGACTGGACAGAATGTCAAAAATTTATCAAAACTATCGGATGGGACACAAAATCAGTCTGGTGTCCTTCACACTAGTCTGACTAAGGATAAGGTACACCATTGACCTATTGATGATGCTTTACAGAATGAGGAACATGAGAAGAGCTTCTTGGTAGAAGAAACCAGTTTATTGGCTTTTCCTCAGGCCCCACCCCAAATGAAAGGGAAAACAATGATACCTAATTGACAGCACGATTTCAGCACGGTATATTACAAATTTGGGGTGGGTTTACTTAGCTCACCTCCTCTTTTTTTTTTTCTTCAGATGGAGCCTTGCTCTGTCATCCAGGTTTTTGTGCAGTGGTGCGATCTCGGCTCACTGCAACCTCCACCTCCCAGGTTCAAGCAATTCTCCTGCCTCAGCCTCCTGAGTAGCTGGGACTACAGGCACGTGCCACCACGCCCAGCTCTTTTTTTTTATATATTTTTTTTAGTAGAGACGGGCATTCACCATGCTGGCCAGGCTGGTCTCAAACCCCTGACCTTAGATGATCCACCCACCTTGGCCTCCCAAAGTACTGGGGTTACAGGTGTAAGCCACCTCACCTGGGCTCATCTCCTCTTATGGCCAGCTTAGGCAGCATCCCCCTTTGTGTTAGGAACAAAAAAAATCACACCAAAGATAATGGCCCAACTGCGCTAGAGATATGGGGTAGACATAAAAAATGAGGTATGCCCGCACCCTTGTCTTACGAAGAACTGATTGGTCTGCCACCGATTAAACACAAGGACAGGTATTTATTGGTTATAGACCCAAATGGAACATCTTGGCTATGTGGCACTAACATATGGCCATTGTTTCCCCCAGGACGGTAAGGATGATGTTGCCCTGGTTATGCTTGGGCACAAGGCTGTGTCGTTCATACCCTGTCAAAACCAGTAAAATTTCCTCATTTACAATCTTGTTGGGTGTGTTCTGTGTTCCATTGGTGTGGTCATTTGGCTTCTGTCGTCCTACCACAGCTGGGTGTTGAAGTTGTCATTTGGCACATAAAGGCCCTAACAAGTTGTGCACGAAAGACCCTAAGTGACAGCTGCATGGGTATTTTGTTATTAAATCATGAAGTGGCTGTCATGAGAAAGGCTGTATTACAGAGCCATGTGGCCTGAGACATACTCAGCGTGGCCCGAGGAGAAGTGTGTCCTGTCATGAAAACTGAATGTCGTGCCTTCATCTCATTCATGTCAGATGAATCAAATAACCCTCACAAATTCATAACTCATATAACCCAAATAACCAGACTTTCCGATCGAAAACCCTCCTTCTGGGATTGGCTAAGTAGTTGTTTTGGCTCTTGGTGAACTTGCTGGCAAAAGCGACTGCTCATCCTGGGAATCAGCGTCATGGTGGGTTTCGTCCTGTCCTCGTCCACAGAAGTACTACGGTGTTCGTCTGCAACTGAGTCAACATGCAGCTGAGAAAACTAGAACCATGATTGTTCAGACAATTGCTGTGATTGAAGAGGCAGCTGTGCAGCCTGACCCAGGCTCCAGGACTACTCTCCCTTTGTTCCTTTGACATTTCACCTTGGTCCCTTCCAGTCCCCCTTCCTGGGGAGGTGACTTCCGAGGAATGAGCCCTCCTGGCAATGTGGGATTTGATAAAATACAGGGCCTGAGCACGATTCCTCTGCAATACTAATACGGTTTGGACGTTTGTCCCCTGCAAATCTCAAGTTGAGATTTGATCCCTAATGCTGGAGGTGGGGCCTTCTGGAAGGTGGTTGAGTCATGGGGGTGGAGTCCTCAGGAATGGTTTGGTGTCCTCTAGGTAATGAGTGAGTTCTTGCTCTATAGGTTCCCTCAAGAGTTCCCCAGAGAACTGGTTTTTCAAAAGAACCTGGCACCTCCTCCTCCCTCTCTTGCCTCCTCTCTTGCCACATGATGTGCCAGCTCCCCTTCCCTGTCTGCCACGAGGAGAAATTTCCTGAGGCCCTCAGGAAGCAGACATTGGCACTATGCTTACTGTACAGTCTGCAGAACCGTGAGCCACATAAACCTCTTCTCTTTATTAATTACCCAGCCTCAAGTATTCCTTTATAGTAATACAAATAGACTAAAACAAATGCTTTCTCTGAATAATTTTCAAGGAAAGGGAGAAATGTGAAAATAAAATAAGTTTCAGGAGCTTCTAAATGTATTTTGCCAAGGGGTAAAGTTAACGCCCTGGAAACCAAGTCATGTAACAGCTGTGTTTCTTCTCTGGGGCACAACTGTAGCTGTCTGACCTTGGTGTGTTGAGATGTGACACATTAGCCAGGCTCCTGTTCTTTGCCAGGCAAAATGCCTGGCATCGGGAAGTGGTCAACTCGTAGGTTGGTAAGAATTTACCAACAACAGCATAGGTTTGAAAAAGGAAAAACTTTTTTTCTTTTTGAGACGGAGTCTTGCTCTGTCACCCAGGCTGGAGTGTAGTGGCGTGATCTCTGCTCACTGCATCCACTGCCTCCCGGGTTCAAGTGATTCTCCTGCCTCAGCCTGAGTAGCTGGGATTACAGGCATGCGCCACCACGCCTGGCTAATTTTTGCATTTTGCGTAGAGGCGGGGTTTCACCATGTTGGCCAGGCTGGTCTTGATCTCCTGACCTCGTGATCCACCCGCCTCAGCCTCCCAAAATGCTGGGATTACAGGCATGAGCCACCGCACCCGGCCAAAGGAAAGTTTTGTTAGAAAGAAAGAACGCGGCTGGAGAGCGCAGTGGGTGCCTCAGCTAGAGAGGACTGAGCACACTGCGGTGGATTTTTCCTTAGGGGTATTTATGGACCTTCAAGCAGGAGCTGAAGGGTGATTTGCACGATAAAGTATTACATTTGTAGACATTTTGGTGTCTCAGTGTCAGCAAGGGTTGCACCATAAGTTTTGGCATGCATGCATTCCAGAGATGTATAGAAATTCTAGTTACTCACACGTTTTGAGGAGAGGCCTGGAACCAGGTGCCTTTAGGTAATAGGGAAGTCTAATTACTTCTAAATTCCTCAGATAAGGAACTTTTGTCCCTGGGGTCTGCATGATGCTCACCAGGTGATTTTTGCCCTCCTCATTCTTCATTCACACCTAGATTAAATGATGTTGGGAGAGAGCCTTGTGATTGTTACCTCTTCACAATGGAATGTTAAGCAATCCTGGAGAGTGTAAGCAATAGTAGCCAACTAAATCTTATATCTTTGTGTCAGCCTTTCCATGGAAAATGTAATTCACCTGTGTTTTCCCTGTATAAACGATCTTTACCTTTCCCGACTCCAGGAGCACTGGTGAACATTATTCAGTGTTCGTGTGTCCCGGACAGCTGCCCTCACACTTTACACCTGAGTAAGCTCTTTTAACTGGATCCCAAGCCTTTTGATGATCTTAGGTTGACCATTAACAGCCCCAGTTAGAGTCCTTGAGGGTGTCAACTGAGAAAAGTGACGAGACAAGTCTCAATCATTTCAGGAGGTTTATTTGCCAAAGTTAAGGATGTGTGCGTGGGAGACAGGACTATGCCTTTCTCCAAAGATGATTTTGAGGGCTCCAAATTCAAAAGGGAAATCGATGAGAGTCCTTTTCCAGCCATACACATATGAAGGGCTTGCCCTCTTCCATTGGGCACGGTGGCCTGAACACCAGGATATTTTTGGGATATATATAGCTAGGTAGGGAACACACACTCCAAAACTCAATTCCCTAAAACAAGGACCATTTCACTGTGCTCAGGATCCTGTGGGAGGGGCACAGCAGGGGCTGCCTGAGCCTGTTCCACAACTCTCCCGCCCCAGCGGAGCGTGGCTTCCCTGGCTGGAGGTGACTGAGATGGCCCCACAGGGTCCCATGACCTCTCCAGGCCATCCCTGTCTCCTGGGCTGGAAGATGTGAGCTAGCCCTTCCCCATGTCGGCTGGGGCTGCACTGACGGAAAGGGCTGGGGGCTGACCAGCGTTGCTCTGCCCACTTCTCTCTTCAGCGTGGGCTGGACTGTGCATTCCCAGACACCAAGGTGGGTACTTCAAGCCTTCTGATCACTGAGTCTCTGAAGTGACATGTGTCGCCACCATGGTGCTACTGGTGACACAAGGACAGGCAGCTCAGTGTTGGGGGAGCGTCCCACGCATGACACTGAAGGTGTGGTCTCTTGGGGAGCCATCTGGAGACCAGTTACTAGTCATCTGGAGATTGGTTACTAGTCATCGGGAAACTGGTTATTAGCCATCTGGAGACTGGTTACTAGTCATCTGGAAATTGGTTACTAGCCATTTGGAGACCAGGGTACTAGTCATTTGGAGACTGGTTACTCGTCATCTGGCAGTGGGTTACTAGTTTGGAGACTGATTAATTACTAGTCATCTGAAGATTAGTTAATAGTCATCTGGAGACTGGCTACTAGCCGTCTGGAGACTGGTTACAAGTCATTCGGAGACTGGTTACTAGCCATCTGGAGACTGGTTAGTTATCAGTCATCTGGAGACTGGTTAGTAGTCATCTGGAGATTGGCTACTAGTCATGATCTGGTTACTGATCATCTGAAGATTGGTTACTAGCCATCTGGCAATTGGTTACAATCAGTTACTAGTCATCTGGAGACTGGTTACTAGTCATCTGAAGATTGGTTACTAGGCTTGTGGAGACTGGTTAGTGCACAGAAGCACTATCCAGAGGTTGAACCTCAGAAACACCAATTCACCATCAGACACAGAGGCCAGTCCAAGTGCGCTTCTCGTCCGATGCATGCACCTGGTTCCCGTTCCAGCCGTCACACCCCATTAGCCAAGGAGAGGAATGAGAGTAATAATAATTAAATAGTAATGATGGGAAACAGTGCACAGTTAGGACAGGTGCTTGCACTGTGCTTGCCCATGCCCGATCCTGAGCTAAGTCCTGTGCATATACACACCCACTTTATCCTCAGAATGCCAACAGAAGACAGGTGCTGTCACTTCCTCCCTTCCACAGCAGAGGAGGGCAGAGCACAGAGGTTTCAGTAGCATGACCAGGGTCTACCCCAGGCACAGGCTCCAACATCGCGCCCTTAGCCACTGTGAGTTATGGCAGGTGGTGCTGGGTCTCCTTTTACTTGGGCCTGTGGACAGAGCAGGGGGCTCAGGTGACACTTCCCACCCACCGGCCTTCTCTCTCTGCCGGCGACATGCAGGGCCCCGAGCCGGGACTCTCCTGGGGCGCCCAGGACAGCTTTCCTCTTACGTAGGCGTCCCCTGTTCTTGCTGGGCATTCCCCGCCTGCCCCTGCCTGCCCCCCACTCGGCCCATCTGTTCCCAGGCCCTGATCCCAGCCTCCAAGCCAGTCTTGCCAGCACACACGGACAGGAAATGATGGCACTTTTAAAGATGCAACGCTTTTGTTTTGGAGTCACCTATTGAGCCAAGACACGGGGACCTGGGCAACACGTGGTTTTGTGGATTGGTGCTGGGAAGGGGTGGCCTGGGAAAGCTAAGGATGGAGGAGAGGAAAAGGGAAGCTGCAGGCTGCTGTGAGGGGTACCCCTGGTCAAATGGCACTTTGGGGATGAGGAGACTTGGGATCCACTTGTAACCCCAGCCGCACACTGCGGGGGATCTCTGGGGACACTTCTGTCACTTGTATTTTATTGCACTAAGAGCCTAGAAGTTTGATCTAAGAATGGCAGAGTCAGCAGCCGGCACTGTGGAGCCCTGATTTGTGGTAAAAATACTGAAATATGGAAATCCTCCCACACGAGTTTGTAGTAGCGCTGCATGAGCCCCTCTCTTGGGTGTCCCCGCCCACTAATATCACCTCATCATCCGGCACCAGGGGAGCCAAATACCTGACATGGGGGAGCTTGGAGGGGGCTGTTCCAGCCCAATGTGGGCAGCCCCAGCGGGTTGTGCCCCGAAGCTGTTAGTGCTCTGAACATCACCTCTACTCTGAGGTAGGGTACTGTCGGGTGTGCTGGGCTGCAGGTGTCCTGGGCTGAGGGCATATGGTGTCAGGTGTGCTAGGCTGAGGTTGTGTGGGAGTCAGGTGTCCTGAGCTGCAGGTGTCCTGGGCTGAGGTTGCAGGAGTGTCAGGTGTGCTGGGCTAGGTTGTGGACATCAGGTGTCCTGGGCTAGGTTGTGTGGGTGTCAGGTGTGCTGGGCTGCAGGTGTCCTGGGCTGAGGTTGTGCAGTGTCAGGCATCCTGGCACCGCCTCTCCACCCAGGGCTGGGCCTGCTTCTGGAACCCCCTTGGGTTCTCTGGGGCTTTGGTGCTCACCACCCTGGTCTAGAAATGGAATGCCGGCACGGGTTTCAGAACAAGGGCTCTGAAGCCACATGACCCTAGGTTTGAATGGTAAATGTACTTTTAATGTGATCTTGAGAATTTTTCTTCAACCTCTGTAGCTCTGTTTTCTTACCTCTAATAGGCCTATGGCAAGGATTAGATGAAATTAGCACAAAGCGGGATCTTCCAAATCCTCCTCCTGGTCTTAAGGTACCTAGGGACTGGTTAAAAGTAGGTTCTTGGACACCCCTAAGACCTGCTAAGTCAGACCCCCGGGTGTGGGGGGCAGTGCAGCCAGCCAGGCCCGGGAAGCCCGGGCCGCGTGTCTCCCCAGCGTTCTCCAGCTCTCAGCAGCACCCGCACTGCAGCTGGGCTCCCTGCGCCTGGAGCCCCGGGTGCTACCCCCGACCACCACCGTGTGGTGCTGGCGCTGGGTGACTCACACTCTGCCAGCTGTGCCCCAAGCAAAGCCTCCGCGATGGTTGCGGGCTGAATCAATTGTGTCCTCCAGATTCATAAGCTGCCGGTCGAACTCCCAGGACCTCAGAATGTGGCTTTATGTGGAGCTGGGGTCTCTACGGCGGCCAGTAAGGTATAATGAGGTCATGTGGGTGGGCCCTGATCCAGCAGGACTGGTGTCCTTCCAAGAAGAGAAGATGAGGATACAGCCGTGCACGCGGGGACAGTCAGGTGAGGGCACGGGGAGAAGACGGCAGCTCAGCTGAGGAGAGAGGCCCCAGGCAGAAGCAGCCCTGCCCACACCCAGATCTCGGGCTGTGGCCGCCAGGACTGGGAAACGCAGACGCCCGCTGCTGAGCCCACTGGCCCGCGGTGCTGTGTTGCTGCTGCCGAGCTGACGAGGATGTGAGATCCTCCCTGGCTTTGCCTGCGGCCGCCCGCGAAGCCCATTTACCCGCCTCGTCTTGCTGGTCCCCAGGCCCCCCGGGGGGACGGGTTCCCCTTTGGCTTCTTGCAGTGGCTGCAGCCCTGGAAGCTGCTGGGAGGAGACGGCTGGGGCTGGGCAGGGCTCGGAGCTGACTTCGTGTCACCTGAGCGAGCTGCACAAAAGTCACAAATGCCACCCTTTCTACGTGTGCTGATGGGTCACTCCGCAATTCCTAGGCATTGATTTTGTGTCTGGGAAGGTCACCGTGGCCCACACGGACAAAAGCTGCTGCTCTCCTGGGTCCCGCTGGAACCAAAGGCCCCAGAGAACCCGTGGGGCTTCCAGAGGCAGGCCCGGCCCCGGCTGGAGGGGCGATGAGCAGGGCACCCGATGCCTGCGCCGTGGTGGGAATGCGGGGAGCACGGCCCCCGGAGGGTCCGCCATCCCCCGCGGCGCACCGGAGCCTGACCCCGGCTCTCCCTACACCTGCAGCCTGCACGCGACTCTCTCCGAGCTGATTTCTGCGGCTCCCGCTGCCCTCGGCTGGCTCACTAGTTCCTTCGAAGCCTGTGCGCTTCGGACCCCGCTCCATCTCTCCTCTAAAGAGGAAGCCAAGAGTGGGTCCGCAGTCCCTCTCGGCGCCACGTTAGCCCGGGAAGTGTTTTCACCTCCCGGGGCTCCTCATGGTACCTTTGCAACTCGCAGTCCCAGAGCGTGCAATCTTCCTCCAGGTACCAGGGCCCGGCCCAGCCGGGAGGCCTCAGAGACCTGCCAGAGCTGGGCCTTTGCTGCCATCTGCTGGCGGCTCTCAGATGACAGGTTGAAGGCCTGAGGAGTGGCCTCCCAGGGCCAGTCCAGTTCAAGTTCAGCAGGGGGCAAGGCCTGAACTCTGCACTCCTGAGCAGCTCCGGGGGAGGCCCAGGTGCTGGCCACGCGGCAGTTCCGCTGCGCTCTGTTCTCAGACGCGGAGGCCGATCTAAGAGTTTCCGCTGCTTGGGAACCTGTGGCCACATCGCCTGGTCTGGGTTTCACAGGTTTGGGGTCTTGGGGACCCTCTGGCCAACCATCTCATTTCCCATTGGCTGAAGCCCAAGAGGTTCCAGCGACCTGTCCAGGGTCACAGAGCTGGTTCTTGAATAATTGGGAAGAGATACACCCCTTCCACTGCCCAGAAATGTTTTCCAAAGACTGTTCAAGAAACGTGAGTTGGCGGACAGAGAGCAATGCCGGGTGGGGAGAGGCCGCTGCAGGGCTGAGAGAAGGGGCCACATGAGCGGGGAGGAGAGTCTCAGGGATGAACGGGGCTCAGAGCCCACCCAAGGACGCCAGCTGCCCCTGTCTCCGTCCTGCTGCACAGAGGTCGTTTTCGCAGCTGTAGAAATTGGTCACATTTCTGTTTGTGCCAAAAACCAATTTGTACCAGTCGACAAATTGAAAAGCATGTGCTTTCAATTGTCCTTGGCACTTGAAAAAACTAACTTTCCCGTGATTCAGACCCACTTCCCTGCTGATTTTATATTTCCGATGTCGAGTTCACGTCAGCTGTTCCTAAATAGGAGGGAAGCTGTACAAAAACGTCTCTGCTGTCAAAGACAACACGGTCGTATTGGAGACACAATTTTGGAAGGATTTTTCTTGGCAAACCCACTTTCCTCCAGCTTGGGGATTTAACATTTTTTTTCTTCTACCATCTGCTCCCTTGAGGCTTGGAAAGGCCTCAGCTCAAAAGCTCAGACCCGAGGGTGCTGATGAACCGCACCTGGCCTACGGAGGGGGATGCCAGCACTTCTCAGTGTCAGCTTCACTCTTTATGGTCATTGCTCCACGTTCTTTTTTTTTTTTTTTTTTTTTGAGATGGAGTTTTGCTCTGTCGCCCAGGCTAGAGTGCAATGGCACGATCTCGGCTCACTGCAACCTCCGCCTCCCAGGTTCAAGCAATTCTCCCACTTCTGCCTCCCGAGTAACTGGGATTACAGGCACCTGCAACCACGCCCAGCTAATTTTTTATATTTTTAGTAGAGATGGGGTGTCATCATGTTGGCCAGGCTGGTCTCAAACTCTTGACCTCAGTTGATCCATCTGCCTCAGCCTCCCAAAGTGCTGGGATTACAGGTGTGAGCACCGTGCCCAGCCTGCTCCACATTCTTGTAGTGTGCAAGGTGGAGTCGTTAGCCAGAGATCTATACTCAGGAAACGGGTGAGTGACTGGTTGCTGGTGAATCTAGCAACTTGATGTCACATGGCAGGTCATTTATCTGTGGTCATCGTGCTCTGGTGGACAGCTGGTTAGGGACAATACAGGGTAGAACAGAGAGGCAGCCCACCGTCCACTCCTTTCTGTGTGAGACTCACAGAAAGACACTGTTTCTGGGGTAACAAGATTTCAGTCTAGTTGGGGAAATGGAAACCACTCCAAGAGCAATTAGCAAGAAAAACAAATGTCATTACATGCTGAACATGAAGTGCTGAGCTGATGACACTGGAAGACATGGCCCGATGACAAGAACAAAACTTGACCCTGTGTTGCAGACAAAAGGTGCGGGGACCTGAAGCCTGTCTCTCTGGCCCTGCCCAGGCTGTCGGGAACAATCAGATTAACATCAGCTGCTGCTCAGATTCCATTATCTGATATCAAGCCGCTGTCCTGCTGGTCATTGAGCTGCAGTTAGCAATTTTCTAAAATTTAAAGTAAAGACCTTTGGTTGCCTATGTGACCCCTGGGCTGGGGTTTGAGGGAGAACTGGAGCCTCAAGGATGTGCTCAGGCCCACAGGGCCCTGCAGAAGGATCTCAGTTCTACAGCTCCTGAGGGCAGCTTTCTGGGCCAGGCCAAGGGAATCCATGGGGCCAATGAGGCTGTCCAGACAGGCGGTCTCCTGTGTGTTAGGGGAGGCAGGTGACTAGCATCTGGGATTGTATTAGTTACCTACTGCTGTGTAACATACAACCCCAATACTTAGAAGCTTAACACCACACTGATTATCTCCCAGTGTCTGAGGGCCAGGAATCTGGCTGAGGCTTGATTGCGTGGCTCTGGCCCAGGCTCTCTTGGGAGTTTGCAGTCAGGCTCTCAGCAGGGACTGCAGCCATCTCAGGGCTCTGCAAGACAGGCTGCTCAGGGGCCTCTGCTTGAGTGGCAGCTGGGTTTCCCCAGAGTTAGTGATGAGACAGAGAGAGACATTCAGGCAGACATAGACACACAGAGAGAGGAGAGACAGAGACTGGGAGAAAGAAAAGGAAAGGAGAGATGGAGAGAAAGAGAGGAGAGCGGGGAAAGACCAAGCACCAGCCTTAGAAGCCACAGTCTCTTATTACCTCCTCTTAGCTCAGCATTGACATGCGGTCACTGCTGGTCACACCAACCAGCCCTTGTGCATTGTGGAAGGGGCCTCCACAAGGGTGAGCACCAGGAGGGGGATCTCAGGGCACCAGCTTGGAGGCTGGACACCACAGGGATCTTGGGCCAAACTACAGGATAGGGCTGAAGTTCAGGACTGACTGTTACAAGGCCACCAGGTCATAGCCCCCCGTGCAGTCGCAAGCCAATGCACCAAGACAGCAGGGTTTGCAGCAGAGAAAGAGTTTAGTGGCGGCAGGGCTCCAGGTGAGGAGATGGGAGGAGACCCTCAAATCCATCTCCCTGGGGAGTTCTGGGCTGGGGTTGTTAAGGAGGGTGAGGTACTGGAAAACTGGGATGGTTGATTGGTCAGGGTGAGGAGGGTGAAGTCATCAGGAGGTGGAAACTGCATTCTCTGGTGGGGACTCAGCTTTTTATGGAGTCCTTCAGACCAGCTGGCATCAGTAGTTGCACTGGTACACAGGAATTGAAAGGATATCTCAGAGAAATGTAAACAAAACTTAACATTTCATAATGTTCAACTTGTCTATAGAGCAGTTCAAGGCATCTGTAATCTGTGCCAGGCTTTATGTGATTCTGGGGTGAGAGGCAGCAAACGGCAATGAGGAAGGGGTTGCAGAGCAGGCTGACCCAGTGATTCATGCTGAGTGTGCTGCAGCTTGGTCTATTTTCCTTTCTCTTCCTCCCCTCAGCCCTGATGAATTTTATAAAGTTCACAGGGACAGTTCCTGACTGGGTGGCTAATCCAGGGTCTAGCAGTCCGAGCTCTGCAGTGGGGCCTGGGCCAAAAGGAATGTGGGTGTGGGGATGCTGATGCCAGCATGAGCTCCTCCTGGGCTGCAGGGATGGTGCACAGGCTGGAGATGGAGTCTGGCCTGTGTTGAGAAGGGGCAGAGACATTCTCTGACCACACTGCTAGACCTGGGTCCTGCTGTCTGCCTGTTGTGGGTGCCAAGCACTCGTCCATCTGGGCAAGTCCACAGGGACAGGGGTGGTTCTGTGCTGGCCCCTTGAGACAACAGGCAACAGTGGTGGGTGTGCACAGAGCCAGGAGACGTTGTGGCCCTGTGGCCTCTGAGGGGCACCCGCCCAGCAGGATGGATGGACAGATAGAGCCTCTCCCTGTGCCTCCGCCCCACTCTGGCCACACAGGGCTCTCTGGCATTCTGGGGTTGTGCTGGGGAGGCACTCCCTTTGGGCCATGAACTTGGGGTTCCTCTGCCTGGAGCCCCCTTCGCAGGCATCTGCACCACGCATTCCCCCACTCCCCAGGGCTTTGTGTAGACTCCAGTTTCTAAGCAGGGCTCCCATGCCACCTCCATGAGAACGATGCCTCCACCCCAGCCCAGCCCCTCCTCATGCTCTGCTCTCCCTCTGTGCGAGGCGCCCTCTCGGGCAATAGATTTCTCATATGTATTGTCGTTCTGTCCCCACTGGAATCCAGCTGTGCAGGGGCCCGGCTTCTGTGTGCTGGGTGCTGCCATACTGTGCTCAGTGCCCAGGGCTGGGCCGGGCACAGATGCTGGGGTGTGAACTGGTAGCGGCCTGGGAGGAGTCATGCAGGGTGGGCATGAAGAGGAGAGTTTGCCAACCAGGAATGAGACCTTCCCCAGCCTCCAGGGTGTGCCCCTCCCTCTCTCCTCCGTCCTCCCTGCTGTGGAAGGCTGTCTGGGAGGGCAGGTGACCCTGTCGCCTGTTTGCTTCACATCCGTCCTACTTCGTGTGGCAGATCTCCCTGCAGGAGTGGAAAGGGTGGCAGTGCTGTCTCTCAGGGCCGGGGAAAAGCATAGGAACCCGAACCGGTAGAGTGGGAAATGGCGTTCGCCACTCTCTCGCCCAAGCCTTCGTGTTGCTAAGGGGAAGAACAGGGTGGGAGGCCGAGGTGGTTGCTGAAGTCACAAAGAGAGTGAGTGGGGGAAGGCGGACCCCCAACCCAGTCCCCTCCTCTGCCAGAGATCAGGGGTGTGAAGAGGGTCCAGATGGGGAAAGCGTGCGGAAGAGTGGGATCAGGTGTGCCTTGTGGGCACTGTCGGTGGGAATGTGGGCCAGGGCAGCCACCATGGGGAATGCTGTGGAGTTTCCTCAAACATCTAAAAATAGAACTACCTGCCACCCAGCCATCCCAGTTCTGGGTATTGACCCAAAAAATTGAAGTCAGTATTTTGAAGAGGTGTCTGCACCCCAAGTTCATTGCAGCACTATTCACAATAGCCAAGTAGTGGAAGCAACCTCCATGTCCATCAACAAATGAATGAATAGAGTCCAGGCCATCACCACACCATGGAGTACTATTCAGCCATGAAAAAGAGGAAACCCTATCATTAGTGACAGCAGGGATGAACCCAGAGGACATTATGTTATGTGAAGTAAGGAGAAAG
Source organism: Homo sapiens (assembly GCF_000001405.40). Classification (NCBI taxonomy): domain Eukaryota; kingdom Metazoa; phylum Chordata; class Mammalia; order Primates; family Hominidae; genus Homo; species Homo sapiens. The sequence continues at coordinate 154,908,955 of NC_000007.14, read as the reverse complement.
GCAGACACTGCATGGTCTCCCATCTACAAGGAATCTGAAACAGTCACGCTCATAGAAGCAGAGAGGAGGGTTGGGGTCTCCAGGACTGGAGGAGGGGAAGCGGGGGTAGAATACACGTTATGCACGATGAGTAGGTTCCAGAGATCTGCTGTTCAACACGGTGCCTCTACTTAACAATAATCATGAGAAAAGATCGGCTGCACTCAGGAGCACCTGCTTCAGGGTCTGATGGGCAGTCATGAAGCTGGTGCCGGGAATCGAGAGAACTGCTGTTCAACACGGTGCCTCTACTTAACAATGATCATGAGAAAAGATCGGCTACACTCAGGGGAACCTGCTTTGGGGTCTGATGGGCAGCCATGAAGCTGGTTCCGGGAGTAGGACCTGAGCTGCAGGGGAGGCACTGGTGCAGCTGTGGAAGCTTTCTTCTATCACTCTTTACAATAAATCTTGCTGCTGCTCACCCTTTGGGTCCACGCTGCCTTTATGAGCTGTAACACCACGAAGGTCTGCAGCTTCACTCCTGAAACCAGCGAGACCATGAACCCACCGGAAGGAACTAACAACTCCGGATGCACCGCCTTTAAGAGCTGTAACACTCACTGCGAAGGTCTGCAGCTTCACTCCTGAAGTCAGCAAGACCACGAACCCACCAGAAGGAAAAAACTCCGGACACAACATCAGAAGGAACAAACTCTGGACACACCATCTTTAAGAACTGTAACACTCACCGCGAGGCTCCACGGCTTTTCTTGAAGCCAGCAAGACCAAGAACCCACCAATTCCAGACACAGCCAGACTGATCTCAAACTCCTGACCTCAGGCAATCCGCCTGCCTCGGTCTCCCAAAGTGCTGGGATTACAGGTGTGAGGCACCGCACCCAGCTTGTTGTTTACACCCCAGTGTAAAACAAAACTAAAGCACCCATGTGACACTGTTAATTAGGTTTCTGAGGAAGTGCCCTGTAAACTGTGGATGTCTTCCCCAGGTCCTGGAGGCCTGAGAGAGCAGGCTGAGGAGTGCAGCCCAGGAGGTGGGAGCAGGGAGGGCTCAGCAGGAGCTGGGAGGATGCGACGCCCTGCAGAAGCCGTTACATCAGAAGCAGCCCCTTGAGGCTGCTGGGGAGGAGTTGGCAAGACCTGGAGCCAGGACTGTGGTGGGACTGGAGAGACACCAGTGTGCCTGAGGCCAGGAAGGAGGGGAAGACGTCTCATCCCTGACTCTGCAGGACAGGAGCTCCAGCCACTGCAGGCTCCACACCGCAGCCCTGCTCCTCCCTCCATGGGGGGAGCTCATGGGGCTCCACGTGCTCCCACCTCATGGGGACCCAAGGAGATGACCGCTGCTGGCTGGGGCAGCCTGCTTTTATTCCCTAATCTGACCCCACCCTCATCCTGCTGATTGGTCCATTTTACATTGAGCTGATTGGTCTGTTTTTACAGGGTGCTGATTGGTGCATTTACAGACCTTGAGCTAGACACAGAGTGCTGATTGGTGCATTTACAATCCTTGAACTAGACAGAGTGCTGATTGCTGCATTTACAATCCTCCAGCTAGACATAAAAGTTCTCCAAGTCCCCACTGAACTCAGAAGCCCAGCTGGCTTCGCCTAGTGGATCCCGTGCTGGGGCCGCGGGTGGAGCTGCCCGCCAGTCCCACGCAGGGCGCCCACACCTCTCAGCCCTTGGGCAGTCGATGGGACCGGGCCCGCAGAGCAGGGGGTGGTGCCGGTAGGGGAGGCTCCACCCACAGGGGTGGAGGCGGGGAGGCTCGGGCATGACGGGCTGCAGGTCCCCAGCCCTGCCCCGAGGGGAGGCAGCTAAGGCCCAGCAAGAATTTGAGCGCAGTGCGGGCGGGCCGGTAGTGCTGGGGGATCCGGCGCACCCTCTGCTGCTGCTGCTGGCCCGGGTGCTAAGCCCCTCACTGCCCAGCCAGCGGCACCAGCTGGTTGCTCTGAGTGGAGGGCCCACCCAGAACTCGCGCTGGCCCATGAGTGCTGCTTGCAGCCCAGGTTCCCGCCCGCGCTCTCCCTCCACACCTCCCCGCAAGCAGAGGGAGCCGGCTCCGGCCCGGCCAGCCCAGAGAGGGGCTCCTTCAGTGCAGCCGGGGGCTGACGGGCTCCTCAAGTGCGCCAGAGTGGACGCCGAGGCCGAGGAGGCCGAGGAGGTGCCGAGAGCTAGCAAGGGCTGCTAGCACGTTGTTACCTCTCATGACCAACATGGTGAAACCCCATCTCTAGCACAAAAAACAAAAATATTAGCCGGGCTTGGTGGCGTTTGCGTGTAATCCCAGCTCCTCGGGAGGCTGAGGCAGGGGAATTGCTTGAACCAGGGAGGTGGAGGTTGCAGTAAGCCGAGATCACACCACTGCACTCCAGCCTGGGTGACAGAGAGAGACTCCATCTCAAAAAAAAAAAAAAAAAAAAGCCCAGGTATGGCAGGCATGAGAGGCTGACCCTGCAGACCAGGCCGTAGCACTGCTGACAATCGGGAAGGGCAGAGCCCCGGAGAGTCCAGGAGGCCTTTCCTAGGAGGACCAAAGACACAGCAAGGCCCTGTCCCAAGTCCACTCACGGGGCCACCTACCCCATAGCCGCAAGCTGCCTCAGAGACACAGGCCCTCCCGCCCCAGCTGCTCCTTCCTCCTCCCACCCAGGAGGCCCTGCTGTTGTGCTGGAATGGTGGTATTCCTCAAAACATCTGCTGAGCCCTAACCCATGGCACCGCCAAATGGAACCTTCCTTGAAGACAGGGTCTGACCAGAGGTGATCAAGTTGAAATGCGGTCAGCAGGGTGGGCGCTAACTCCATATGACTGCTGTCCTTATGAAAAGGGGGAATTGGGACACAGAGACAGACTCGCACAGAGGGAGAGTGCCACGGAGAGTGTGGAGAGACCCAGCCACAATCCAGGGAGCCCCCCGCCCCATCCCCTGGGGGAGAGCACAGTGTCGGAGGACAGGCCCTTCCCTAGCACTCTCAGAGGGAGCCTGGCCCTGCCCACACCTTGATCTCGGAGCTCAGTCTCCAGCAGCATAGGATAAAACCCCGTTATTGAAGTCTCGGGTTTGGGATGCTTTGTTACAGCAGGGGCATCCCTGCACCCTCCCTCCTGATCCCTGCTCCCACCTCCTTCGCCAAGTCTGTCTGCTCTGCTCAGTGCTGGGTGCTCGACCAGGCTTCCCCTCCTCTCTGGATGGCCAAGCCTAACCAAGGCCTGACCACCCACCCAGATGGGGAGGGAAGAGGAGGGGAGGCAACGGGGAGAGACAAGGAAGGATACAAGGCCGGAGGGAGGGAGAGATGGGGAAAAGACAAAAGAGGAGAGAGAAAGAGAGGGAGAAGGGGAGAAGAAAGATGGGGACAGAGACAGAGAGAATGGACAGAGAGAGAGGAGAGAAAGAGAGAGACGACTGGAGAGAGAGAGAGAGAAAGACTGGGGTGGTCAGGGTTGTGGGGCGGAGTGTCCAGGCCTGGGAGCTCAGCCCTAAACCTTGCTGTAATTGTTACTTTATAACAATGTAACTTTGAAGCAGTGGACTAGCTCCCTGTGCCTGGTGACTGAATAATTGAAGAAATGTTTGCAGGGCTGGCGTGGAGTGCTAGCAGCTGCGGCCTCCTCTGATATGTATGAAGCCTGATAAATTATGCCTGAGCCAGCAGCGTGGTGGTGTGAGACTCCTGACCCCAGAGTCTGGGGGCCTTGGATGCTCTCTTCATGGCGTTTAACTTCCACCGTGCTCCCCAGACAGCCTCTGCCGGTTACTGAATCAGTAGACCTCCTTGAGGCTGCGGTCTCTGAAAGTGCTCTAGAAGCAGGGGTGTGGAGCTCAGCTTCAGGGTGGGATTCCAGGAGCATGGAAATGCGGGGTGGTCCCGCCCAACATGGAGCTAGGACCCCCCACATCCTCTTGCAATTCATTCTGTCCACGTCTCTCCAGTTGCTCAGAACTGCCACGTGAGCCAGGCGCTGTTGATGGGGGACGGAGGGGTGAGGTATGGGGGAAATAAACCGTCTCGCTTACCCCGGGAACTTGTCATTTGGGTGGGAAAAAGTCAGTTTCGATTTGTGGAAGTGCCTGCCCAATGCCACAGAAGAAACCTGTCCAGGATGGAGGGTGTGGGTTTGTCAACTCCTGGTGCTGCATTCTTTGGCCCTCCTAGAGGCCCTGCCCCATAGACTAACCGGTGTTAGCCAGAGTTAGTGGTGCCTGATGGAGAGTGTCACACCTACTCACTGGAAATGGGCGGGAAGGGGTTTGGCCCTTTGCTTCCCAACTCCATTTTCAGTGATGGCAGCTTGGGTGTTTGACGTTGGCCATAGTGGAAACACTTACACCACGGAGATCGACAGACTCTATGGGTTGGGATTTTCTTTTCTTTTGTTTTTCTCTCCTTTTGTTTTCTATTAGGAAGGCTGATGCCAGCATACCACTGAGAGGGTCATCTAAGTCCAGCTCAAGGTCCTCAAAGCCCACAGTTGCTGCAGTCATAGAAGAGGATCTCAAGCAGTGGATTCATTCTGCCTCCTTCCGCCAAGCGAGTAAAAATCTCATTCACAGGACAATCATGCTGACTTTCAGACAATATTAAGATTTCCGTAAAAATGGTTATTTGGAAAAGCACACATCTGCTAATATATCTGAGACGTAAAACTCCAGCAGTCTTGGTGCAGTTGAAAACAGAATTTGGAGACATTCATGGGTCCTGCTTCTCTACTGGTCAATGAATTCATCATATTTATATACTTATGAGCTGGGCTTGGTGGCTCACGCCTGTAATCCCAGCACTTTGGGAGGCCGAGGCGGGAGGATCACTTGAGGTCAGGAGTTCGAGACCAGCCTGGCCAACATGGTGAAAGCCCGTCTCTATAAAAATATAAAAATTAGCCAGGTGTGGTGGCGCACATCTGTAGTTCCAGCTACTCGGGAGGCTGAGGCAGGAGGATCACTTGAACCCAGGAGGTGGAGGTCACAGTGAGCCAAGATTGCACCACTGCACTCCAGCCTGGGCAACAGAGCGAGACTCCGTCTCAAAAAAAAAAAAAAATTATGTTGATTATACCACTCTTCTCCACAGGGAATACTGGCAGTGAAATCCGATTGAACGAACTACAGTGGATAATCTTGCTCACTGACCTTGCCGGCCTCTGGGTGAGAGTGGGTCTCACCACCACTGACGACCTACGTTTCACCAGCTTTGCCCCCTGCCATCTCAGGCTAGGACGCTGGCCACCAAGGGCTCCTTGCCAAGTGTGCCTGGACTCAGGCTCCCACACAGCTGGAAATTGACTCCTTTGTGTGACTGGCTCAGGTCAAACAGCTGCTCCCGTGGTGTCTGCTGCTCACCCAGACACATGGGACCATCCTCCACCTCGGAGCCCTCCACAGCCCCCAGGTTCCAGCCGTGGTGACTGGCAGGAGGCTGCTGCAGACCCTGGGCTGCCCAGGTGGCCCCAGATCTCAGAGCTTCTCTGGACCGACTGCATGGCGCTCCCTCTGGGCCACAGAGAGTGCCCCCAGCCTCCCAGGCCAAGCCAGCCCTCCCTTTGTCTCCCAGAAAACGAGTTCTTCAGCTCCTGCTGGAGAGCCTCTCGCAGACCAGCGACCCCTGCTCACCTCTCCAGGCACCTGGGCAGAAGGCCTTTCTTTGTTCTCTTTCAGCTCAAACAAATCAACCTGCCAAGGCCAAGCCTATTACTCAAACACATGGAGGTCACACAGTTCATCTGCTGTGCCCAAACGTGGGTAGACTCGGGTTTGGGACCTGGTAAGGGCCTCCCTTTGGAGAGGGAGCTGGTGGTGGCAGGACTCCCTCCCGAGCACTGACTGGCTTTGTTATCTGGGGCCAGTGACGGCGTCTCTCTGTTCCTTTTGTTTCCTGTCCGCCAAACGTAAATAATGGTAACCCAACCTCATGGGGTAGTTGTAGATTGAAATGTGTTAATTGTGCAGAGATTAAATGTGTTTATCCACGCAGAATGCTAGCACAGTGCTTGATATAGAGCAGGCTTTTCATAAATGTTAATTATTATTATTAATGTGGCTATTGTGATCTTTGGAGTGAATGGATGCATAGTCATCTGCCTTGTGTCCAATGCAAATGCTTAGTTGTCCTGAATAACTGGCAACTACACAGCGTTTTGCAGTGAGAGGCTCTGGGCCCTAGGATCAAGCCGCTGGCCTGTGTAATTCAGCCCTCACAGTGCAGTGTGCTAGCTGGCATCAAATTTGACTGCAAAACACAGAAAAGGCCAAGATAAAGAAGATAGAGCGTTCTGATGAGGGACACCAGGGCTGGTATAGTGTGCCCACCTGCCAGGAGCCCAGGCAGCATCTGCTTGCTCTCTGTCACCCTTGGCTCGGAGCTTCCACCTTGTGGACCAAGGCTCTGTTGGGTCTTCAGGAACCCAGAGGGAGGAGGGAGAAGATGAGACCAAGGATGCTTCCCTGCTGTCTTTTGAGGAAGTGTCTTGGCAGCTGCCATGTGGCATGTCACATACATCCCAGTGGCCAGAAGTTAGGCTCAGCGAAGAGGCCGGAACAGTTTTTATTCTGGATGACCATAGGCCCAGTTAAAAACTGGGGGTTCCACTTCTAAGAAAGAGGGGTGGTAGTGCTAGGGTGGACTCCAGTTAGTGCCTGAAGGAATTTTTCTACCATTTCTCTTCCTGCCATTTGTGAACCCTTCCCAATGTAGCAGGGATTTGATGCTTGGGACTAGGAACCAGTGACTTATGTCAGACGGTTCAGAGTCTGCGCCCACTCTCAAGGGTCACTTATGCCCCAGCCTATCCCATATTTACAGAAAGGGGTGTCCTGCAGAGGCACTGATGCGGGTGCTGGCAGAGTTTTTGGGGGTGGTTGTGAGTTGTATTAGTTATCGAATGCTGTGTGACAAATCACTCCAAAACTTAATGGCTTAAAACAACAGTCATTTACGATTGCTCACAGTTCCTTTAGATTTGGAATCTGAGAGTGCCTTGGCCAAGAATTCTGTCTGAGAGTCTCTCTTGAGGTTGCAATCAGATGTCAGCTGTGGCCATAGTCATGGGTGGGACTGACAGAGGATGGAGGATTTACTGCCATGGTGGCGCCCCTACATGGCTGGAGAATTGCACTGGCTGCTGGTGGGAGGCCTCAGTTCCTCTCAACATGGACCTCTCCGTGGAGCTGCTTGAACATCCTTGCAACATGGTGGCCAACTTCCCACAGAAGGAGCCATCTGGCCAGGAGAGAAAGACAGAAGCTGCAGTACCGTTAATGACCAAGCCTTGGCATTCACGCACTGTCACCTCTGCAGTATTCTGTAGTCACAGGGGTCAAGCCTGATTCCATGTGGGAGTGGACTCCACACGACAGGAATACTAAAAAAAGCGGGTAGAGTTGGCATCATGGTGGGTGGCTAGCAAAGTGCGTATTTAATCAGCTTAGCACGACTGGCTGTGGCTCCATTCATCACTGTGGAAGTTCAGACAAGCAGAAATTAACACTGTGAATCTTCACAAGTTGACTTTAGGTCTCCTGAAGGGTCTCTTGATCTACTGGGATAACTAATTTGGGAAATGAAAAATTTTCCCTTTTCCTTCCAATGGAAAAGCCTTTGGCTGGGAATTAGGGTTTTAGAGCTGGTTGAAGTAAAAACCAGCTACATCCTCTGGGCAAATCATTTAAATTTTGTGCACCTTCCTTATCAGTGAAATTGGAATAGTTATGTTACTTGCCTCATGTCCTTCCCAAGGATGTTCTGAGACTCCAGTAGTAACAAAGGTGAAAATGCAGTCAACGCATTCTCCTTGGGCTGAGGTTCATGGCTGCTACTTGGCTGAGTATGAAAGTCTTCTATCAACGTCTCAAATTTGTTAATAGCCCTTTTCTAGAGAAAGAGAAAGAAAACTCAGTGAGATTCTCACATCGTCTGGAGGTGCCTCGATGACTCTTCCAGGCCAGAAGCTGTCTCATTGAGTGAGATTTGTAAGGGAGTTTAGTCCATGAGGCCCAAAGCCCTTCGGCATGAATGGCTTGTGTTTCCAGGTGGCAATTCTTGGTGCCACCAGGATGGTATTAGACGTGCAGGGACACACAACTTTGGCTTGCAATTTCAGGGACTCATAGACCCCCTGAAGCCCATCCATGAATTTCCCTAATGGTCGAAACTTCAAATTAAAAACTCTTGCCTTGCCTTGCAGGGTGGTGTGTGAGAGTCACTTAGGTCCACTATAAGAAATTAGACCATGTGTAAAAGAAATCAGGCTACAGGCAGGCAAATATTTTAATTAAAGTGGACGTTCTGACACAGGCCTCCTGCGAGGCCTCAGCTGCCCTCTGGGAAGCTGCTTCTCATTCTAACTTTGTTAACCTCGACTTGTCCTGGAGTCAGACCTGCAGACCCAAGTCTCTCAAAAATAGCTTCCTGGGTCCTCCCGGGCTGGGGGGCCCTGTGATGAAGGCCAGCCTTCCTACAAGGGCACAGCCTCAGGGTTGAGACCCGTACATGTTCTGAAGACAAGCGCGTGGCTCTGTTAACCCACGTCCACGGCTACAAAAGTAATTCCTACAAGGGACTGATGTAGTTCCTTCCTAACCCTAACAGTAATGAAACTTACAGTGGTCATACCCCACACTCATGTAGCACACAGGTTAACAAAGGACTTTATCAGACAATGTTTAATTTGTACAACACCCTAAAGAGGCAGGTACTTGTTCTATTTTAAGGATGAGAAAGTTGGGGCTCAGAGAAATGAAGGGACCTGCCCGATGTTACACAGCTGATAGGAACATGTGGTCTCAGGCCTCACAACCACAAAGACGTTGCTGTTTCTGCCTCGTGCCACCATCTTCCTCACCAAGCAGGTCCTGTGAACCCTAGAACTGACTGTGGAGGCTGCTGAAGCTGCCAGCACACGTTCCCACCAGGCTGACACAAACCACATTAGACGAATAACCAGCTCATGGGTGGGGCTGGCCTCTGTCTGGAAAGCCATTAGTTATGATAACCAAAGTCAAAGCCAGGGAGCTCCAGACTCCTCCAACTTAGGAACTTCCCATGCTAGGGCCAAGGCTGGGAGGGAGGGAGCAGCTTCTTTGTTCAGAGGATGCTGGCAGTGGGTCCTCCACGCTTCTGCATTAGTCACTCGGCTTTGGAGCAAAGGTCCCACCAGGCCAGCAGGCAGTACCTGGGGTCCATGGCAGAGGCATGGGAGGAGCTGAGCTGCCCCCAAGCGAATCCCCTGCAGGTCAACAGAGGGGTTCCAGGTGGGCCGTGTCTAGTCTGGGTGGTAGCAGTTCCCTGACTGACATTATGAAAGCAGGGTGCAGGCTGTCTGCTGCGGCTCCATCCCTCTGTGTAGCACATGGACTGCCCACACTCAGGGTGGTCGGCCGGTCTGGTCTTCGCCTCCAGGTGGAAGCCTGCATCCCCCAGAGGTGAGTGCCGCTGGGCTCGCCGAGCGTCTGTTGGGTTTGCGCCCACACCTGTTTTGTTTCATTTCCTTTGTAGTTGTACTTCTCACTCCAGTCATAGGTTCGATTAGGATCCCTAGAAACAGACTCTCTGAGGGACCGCTGCCTCATGCAGGTTCACTGGTAGTGCCCTAGGGAGACGCACCGGGGGGCTGAGGCTGAGCCTGTCGGCCTCAGCCTGTCCCCCAGGACGTCGCCCTTGAGCTGAAGCCTCTGTGGCTGGGATAACCTTTGAGATTGTCCTAAATTGAGACAGAGGGACTGGGTATTGGTATCCCAAGTCACACGGTCCTTGGCCAGGTGGCGCTCCTGGGAGGGTCTGTGACCTTCAACCAGGCAGGTCCCCTGCAGGTCCGGTAGGCTAGCCAAGGGCCCAGCTGTGAACAGCTCAGCCCACATGCTCAGGAGCTGGGCCACAGTGTCCTGTCCTGCAGAGTCCCACCCTGCTCTGAGAGGGGTGCTGGGTGGAGCACAGTGGTATCCACGGAGCCAAATTGGATTCAATCCCACTTAAACTCTGGACAGTGAGTGTAAAAACAAAATGGTGTCATTCCTAGAAAAACGAAGTTGAGTGATTTGGAAAAATTCAGTAGGGGCAATCTGCTAAAAAAAAGGAGTTGAAATAAGTTGTGGGCAACTGTAAATGACTAGGAATACATGGAGAACTCGGAAAGGACTCCCATTCAGATGGCTTCATGACGGTCTTTCGGGCCCTGTTCCATTCCTGACGTTTAGGTTTTTATACTACCGTACCTATGCTTGTGGTTTACACATGGAAGCTAACAGAACTCGACTCACTGAGCTCATGAAGAGGTTGAAGATAAACGAATGTAAGTCAAATGAAACATTTTAATGGATTTAAATATATTCATATCATTTTGAAAACGGTTCTCCTCTTTCCCAAACATTTTATTGTCCACCTGGCTCTGCACAGTGTTGAAAGGGCTTCCGTGAGCTTCTGAGCCAGCCCGGCGGACGCACAGAGCACATTCCCACCGAGGGAACCGCAGACACGGCGGCTCTGGTCACCCCCAGCATCCACCTGTTTCTTGCAGACCTCCAGACCGTGATGTGACCCAGGTGGGACCCTCCCCTTCCCTCTGATCGTGAACATGGTTCTATGTGTTGAGGCTTCTGCAGTGAACAAAACAGACAAAGATTGCGGCTTTCTGGGGTTCCCTTTACTTGGGGTGGGCAAGGCGGCAGTGTGTTCATTGCTGGCACACCCACGGTGGGCCAGGCCCATGCTGAGCGTGTGGCACGCACTTTCTCCCGGGGGGAGGTTACAGAGTCGGGTGGCTGACCCGGCTCTTCTGTGTGTTTACGTGTCTCCTTGAACTTGTGGCCACTTCCGATCCCACTCTGGGAATCAACACAGAGCTACCTTATGGCTGTGCATCGGGGGCCGGTAAGCCGATCAGTGAGGATTTCTAGTTCATGTCCTTTGTAGGGACATGGATGCAGCTGGAAACCATCATTCTGAGCAAAATATTGCAAGGACAGAAAACCAAACACCGCATGTTCTCACTCATAGGTGGGAACTGAACAATGAGAACACGTGGGCAAAGGGTGGGGAACATCACACACCGGGGCCTGTCGTGGGGTGGGGGGCTGGGGAAAGGAGAGCATTAGGAGATATACCTAACGTAAATGACAAGTTAATGGGTGCAGCACACCAACATGGCACATGTATACCTATGTAACAAACCTGCACGTTGTGCACATGTACCCTAGAACTTAAAGTATAATAATTAAAAATAAAATAAAAAAAGTTGGAAAAAAAAAAGAGAATTTCTAGAAAGGATCCCTGGCTGGATAGGAATTGGAAGGACCCATAGCTCTGTGGTTTTCTCAGAGCCTGGATCTTGACGCCCATGTCCACTGAGCCAGGCTCCATGTTGGCTGGAGACTGTGCTTGGGGCACCCACACGGGTGAGGACGAGCACCCCAAGGGACCATGCTAGACACCCCCAGCCCAGCTCTGTGGAGAAAGGCAGCTGGCTACTACTCCCGGGGCCCTGAGGCCAGGACTTGTGAGTTTATCATTGAAGAAAACACAGCAGGAAAAAAGGGCGGAAGGAATGCAGGACTGTGACTGTTTCCTGCGTGGTTTTGGACAACTTCCTTGCCTTCTCTGGGCTTCAGATTCCCTATCTGTATAGTGTCACTGGCTGAGTTCAGATGGAGAATGACCATTTTGGAGCTTGTGGTTTGCAGAGGGGAAGCCAGGCCTTCGGGAGCAGCCCTGGAAGGCTGCCCGTCTGCCTGTCTGGACCCCTGGGGAGCCCCAGCAGGGAGGTCAGTCTCCTGAGGCTCTGTCCGCCTCCTCTGCCTCCCTCCTTCCCTGGCCTCAGAGTCCCCAGAGGCCCCTCAGCAACTCTTCTCTGAAATAAAAGAACACCTATTTTCTCCCTGGAATGCCAGTGTGAAAATAAACAAAGACCACCTGTGACAGACTGAATGTTATGTTTCCCCAAATTCACTGTTGAAGCCCTAAGCCCCGGTGTGATGGCTAGAGATGGAGCATCTGGGAAGTGATTAGGGTTAGAAGAGGTCATAAGTGTGTGTCCCCCATGATGGGATTTGTGCCTTGTAAGAAGAAACATCAGAGAAGTCTCTTCTCATGCTCTTGCTCCCTCTCGCTCCTTCTCACTCTGCCACGTGCAGACAGAGGGAGAAGACGATCAATAGTAAACCAGGGAGAGAACCCTCACCAGGAACCGAGTGTGCTGGCCCCATGATCTTAGACTTCTGGGCTCTAGAACTGTGAGAAATCAAGTCCTACTATTTAAGCCCCCAGTCTATGGGACTTCACTATGGCCGCTAAGGCTAAGACTGTACTAAAATGAGTGTGAGCAGAGGCTGCTTATCCAGAGCTTTCTCCAGCAAGGGGCTCACTGCTCTTACCTGCGTTCGGACGGGGGGGTGGGTGAGCTTCACGGTGGAGAAAAGGAGGCTCCAGGGATGCTCTGGCTGGAGGCTGCTGGAGTGGGAAGCTGGAGGCGCTCAGAAGCAGGGCGTCCCAGGAGATTGGTTGTGGGTATCTGGCTTTTCCCAGTTGGTCCTCAGTTAGAAGCAGGGCTGAGAATAAGGGAAGCTGGTATTTACTGCTCAAATCCTGACCTCTGGGACCAACTGCTGCAGAGGCCATGCCTGGCCCCGGGGCAGTGTCTGCAGGTGCAGGTTGGAGCCCTGCCCTGATTTATGGCCTGGCCCTTGTCCGTGGGCACATCCAGGCTCTCACCAGGCGCCCGTCTCGGCGTAGCTGCCCGTCTACGAACACGCAGCTGTGTACCAGGAGGGAGCACCAAGGGAGCTTCTGAAAATGTCCTTCCGGGCTCTTCTGTGACAGAGGGGATTTTAATAGGGGCTTCCCGAAAACAATCAATCCCTTAAATCACTGCTTCTGGGTGGGTTGGGTCAGGCAGGAGGGAAAGGAGCATGTTTTCAGGCCAGTGGGGATGGAGGTCCCCCCACGTGCATGTCTTTGTGAACCTGATGGCCCATGGCCTCAGAGATGCCCCAGGCAGCCCAGGAGTTGGGCTGTGGGCCTGGAGCTGGGTGCTGAGAAACCTGATGGTGCTTTGGGAATTCCATAGCTGCCTGGTTGGAAGTTCAGTATTAAAACTAATTTAGGCCAGGTGCGGTGGCTCACGCCTGTAATCCCAGCACTTTGGGAGGCTGAGGTGGGCGGATCACGAGGTCAGGAGATCAAGACCATCCTAGCTAACATGGTGAAACTCCGTCTCTACTAAAAATGCAAAAAATTAGCTGGGTGTGGTGGCGCTTGCCTGTAATCCCAGCTACTCGGGAGGCTGAGGCAGGAGAGTCACTTGAACCAGGGAGTCAGAAGTTGCAGTGAGCTGAGATTGCGCCACTGCACTCCAGCCTGGTGACAGAGCGACATACCATCTCAAAAAAAAAAAAAAACAAAAACCTAATTTAAAACGGAAATAAAAGTAGCACTCTACTGTGCCACGCACGTGCAGTTTGAAAACACAGAGAAGGCTGCAGTGGGGGATTTGAGCCAGGCAGGCACAGCAACCACAGCCGCGGCGGCCTGGTGAGGCCACGCCGGCGTCTTCCCAAAGCCATTCTAGAGCTGGGGAAAGACCAAAGCTTCTCCAAGTGGGAACCGGAGTGGTCCCTGCTGGTTGCGGCCAACACTTGTTCTCAGGGCCAGGCCTAGCTCGTCATTCCACACTCAGTGTTTTCCAAAGTGGGAAAATGCACCTTCTTGAGCAAACCGTCAACTCCTATCCACAAATCAAGCCCTGGTCCGGGGGAAGGACTCAGGGATGGAAAGCTGGGATGGGGGCACTGGCCTCCTTCTGGGGCGAGACCAGGGAGAGGGCCAGGGTGGCTCACAGAGATACTGTTTGGGGGGAATGAGTATGTTAGACTTAGATGGCCTCTGCTGTGTCTGGTTTTTAAAAATCTCCTTTCACATTTGATTCTTTCTTTTTCCTTTTTAACTCCTCCTCTCCACCCACCCCATTCTTTCCATGATTCTTGATCCAGAGGGTGACAAGAATCAGCTAATTCAGCGGGGCTGATGGGACTGATCCCCCATCTCTGAGGCAGCAGCTGCTCCATGGTCGGGAAGTATTAATTAATTAATTAAATCAATCCCTTGGCTTTCAGGCTGGGCCATGTTTACATCGACATTGATAACAGCAAATGAGTGGATACATTTCCAACAGATGGAGACATTTTTCTACAGTTTTCTAGGCCAGGCATGGTGGCTCACGCCTATAATCCCAGCACTTTGGGAGGCCGAGGCAGGAGGATCACTTGAGGCCAGGGGTTCAAGACCAGCCTGGGCAACATGGCAAAACCCCATCTCTACAAAAAAAAAGAAAAAAAAATTAAAGTTTTCTAGTGGGCAATGCTATGGCTTCCACTGAGAATCAATTTCACTCTCAGGGTTAGGGAATAGCTCTGCGTCTCCACCCTAAGACTCCCAAGACAAAATTCAAATTTGTTTTCTTGGACTGATTTGGGGCTTTGATATATTCGACTGGTTGCGTCCTTCTCTACTACCCAGACTGCTGCGACCATGGATGCAACCTTCATTTGGCACACAACAGGCTCTTGTGGCCATGCATCCGTCTTGGAGGGGCCCAGTGGGTTCTCTGAAAGTCTCCTGAAGCCTAGCACACTTTCTAAGGTGCGATGGGGGAGGATGAGCAAGAAAGGAACAATCCGAGTGGTAAAATAATGTTTTATTCCATGGATGAACAGACGCTACCATGCCACATCCCCACTTCCCTCCGACCAGATGTCGTGGCCAGAGCTGGCTTCCCCTTCCAGACCTAGCTGGCTTTGTAGTCGTTCAGGCCCATTGAAATAGCAAACGCACAGTCATGTAGCACTCGGATCGGTCCTGTTTATCAGCACGTTGGTCCTTTCACAAATGGTGGTGAATCACCTTTAAAACACCCAGTGATGGAGACCTTCCAATCACCCTAACTATAACGGACGTTCAGAGCTCATGTGGATAAACCCAAAGCCCCAAACGCCAAAATGCAACAGGGACGCATCTCCTCTGCTGATGGGATGCCAAGGACACCCCCGCAGGGCTGGGAGCTGGCGAAGTCAGTCCTGACATTCAGCTTGTCCACAAGCTCAAAAGGAAATGACAGTAATGGATATATTTCAAACTAGCACTTCTAGAGTCCAGATCGGCCACAGTGTCAGCATGCAGGCTCAACACGGGGTTAGCACTGGCGGGAGGAGGCTGGGTTGACTGCACAGAGGCCTGACACACATTGCTTCCTTTATATACAAGAGAATGAAATATACACTGGGAACACCGGCTGCACATTTGGTGGGGGTGTATCTTACAAGGCTAACGTAGCACATCATCAACCTCCTGCTCGTGGCAGGAAGGTCACGGAGCCACCCCCACGATGGGAGAGGGATGCGCGCAGGCCCACAGAACCCTCAGGACTCCCGTGGCCCGAGCACACACAGCGGGCCTGTGGGTGGAGTTGACGCTTTGTCTTTTTTCTGTTTTTTTTTTTTTTTTTTTTTTTTTTTTAAACCAAATGTCATGGGAAAGAGCTTGATACGGTACCAAGGAGGACAAGGATGGTTGTAAGGACGGATGTAAATAGACAGTGCACACCTACAGCCAAGCCCTAGCATAGCTGAGTGGGAGAGAGGTTTTATTTAGGTATTTCTTTTAATGGGTGCTATTGGCTGTCTTCCCCCTCAGTGTTTAGGAACGTCCCCAAGACGTCTGAAGACAACCTTGAGGAGGGAGCAGTTACTTCCGATCTGCTTCTTCATCAAGCGCAAAGTCTACACGTGGACTGGAGAAAGGAAAGGGAAACAAGGCCCAACCCCAAACAGCAAAACAACCCCATGACGGAGACAGTGGAGCATCAGGTTAAAACCATAGAAAAATACGAGTTAATTCTATCAGGTTAACCATTAGCGTAGCTACAGTAAGACTCTGTACAGAAAAGCGTTTTCTTGTAGCCCCTCACCATGTTGAACGTCCTCATTACAGGAAGTAGCAAGCCCATATATGAACACGCACTGCTAAAACAATGGTGCTGTAACTGCTGCGTCCATGGCACTGCGACGTGAGACAGGGTGTGATGTCCCTAACGGGAACACAGAGGCTAGTGTGGGCGGGTCTCATGCTTCCGCTTGGTGGCTGGAATCTAGGGGCCGGTGTCCTGTGGGCTCGCGTGGGGCCTGCGGCCACCATCCTTTGCTCTGTTCCTTGGGGGAGGGGCCGTGGCGTGCCGGTCTCTCGGGCGCCGGGAGGAGGCGCTGCTGCGGGGACAGCGTTGTCCCTGGTGCCATGGAGGCCGTGAGTGATGACCCCGGGGAAGGAGCTTGTTTCCCAAGCAAAACTGCCTTCCGCATCCGAGACACACATGCTATGGAACACCCGGCCCCGCCCCGCCCCGCCCCTCCGAGGGAAGAGGGAGGGCAGGGAAATCCCTCGGTTGCATCTGGTTGTAGAAAGAGCCACGTTTGTGCTTAGAGCGACCTGAGCTTAGTCCTCCTCCTCGTCCTCTTTCGCTGTGACTGTCAGCAGTTTGTCCTGGATCCTGAAGCATTCCACGAAGAAGTTGATGATGGACCGGTACAGATGCTGTTTGAGGCTGGAGCTGGTAAAGTAATGGCTTTCGTCCGGGTAAATCTGCAAGGAAGGCACGGAGAAATTACTCTCCCAGGTATACGCTCCCCAGGGGACGGGAACGCACAGAAGGTGTGGAGTTTAGTGAAACCTGGGCCCCGTCCGGGGCTGGATTGTAGTTGATGAAGTGGGTTTGCTAACCATGCCACTCCTGATGGAAGTGCCTCTTCCTCCTGGGAGATCTGCCTGGCTGTCCCAGTCAGAGGGGCGCCTCCCCTAGCGTGGACATGCACCACCCATTCGTGAAGCCAACCAGCCTTCAAACACCACCACGCCCCCGGTGCCTGGCCCTCTCCAGGCACAGCAAATGCTCAGTGGGAACTGGGTGAAAACATTGGGAAGCTCTTCATTCAACACTCTACAGTCCGGATCTGCTTGCTTGAATTTGCAACATGGATACAAGCTTAGGGACTACAGAGCCGCAGCCCAAGTTTTCAGGGTGTCAGGCTCTGAAAAGAAATAGAATTTCATGCCTGTAATCCCAGTGCTTTGGCAGGCCGAGGCGGGAGGATCACTTGAGGTCAGGAGTTCGAGACCAGCCTGGCCAACACGGTAAAACCGTGTCTCTACTAAAAATACAAAAATTAGCTGGGCATGGTGGGGCGTGCCTGTAATCCCAGCTACTCGGGAGGCTGAGGTAGGAGAATCACTTGAACCCAGGAGGCGGAGGTTGCTGTGAGCCGAGATCGCGCCATTACACTCCTATGCTCTCTCAGTTACACTCTGAGTGTGGGAAACTCCCGTGGAAGGGCTGCGTGCTGTCCTGGGTGCCCACGGGCCCACCCCACAGATTTTGCGTCCTGGCTACTCCCTGTGTGACTGTGGAGGTTAACTTGCCTGAGCCTCGGATTCCAGGTGTGTCGGGTGGGGAGGATAATCACAGACTCCAGCTCATGACACTTTGTGAGAATTAAACAATCTTATAGCCGTGCCGTGCTTAGAATGAGGCCTGGAATGTGGGCTCATTCGGTCCCAGATGCCAATAGGATGATGGCTAATTATTCTACTGCCAATGCGGTGATGCCACCATCTCCTAGGAGCACCGTGAACCATCTGTGCACGTGCAGGGATTCAAAGCCTGCATCTTATTTTTTTCTTTTCTTTTTCAGACAGGGTCTCACTCTGTCGCCCAGGCTGGAATGCCATGGTGTTACCATAGCTCACTGCAGCCTCAACCTCCTGGGCTCAAGTGATTCTCCCACTTCAGCCTCCTGTGTAGCTGGGACCACAGGTACACATGACTACGTCCGGCTATTTTCTAAAAACTTTTTGTAGAGATGGGGTCTTGCTCTGTTGCCTAGGCTGGTCTCAAACTCCTGAGCTCAAGGCAATCCCCGCACCTCAGCCTCCCAAAGTGCAGGGACTACAGGTGTGAGCCACTGCATCTGGCCCAAAACCTACATCTTTCTATGACACTAGACTGCCTCTTCCTGCCTTCTTTGTATGTTTTTGGAGGGTGAAATTCATCTTTATTTTGAAGTATTTATTAATGCTGTCATTAGGCTATGATATGTCATTAAAACATCAAGTAGTACAAGAGGATATGGGCAGGAAGCTTTCTCCTCCTGCCTCAGGCCCCCGTCTCCCGTGCTCTTACCTGGGGCTGGGCCTGGCTCCAGATGCATGGGGTGTCTGTGAAGGCCTTTGCTGTGCCCACATGTGTGTCCCTGGGTGGGTCCTGCTCCCTGATACCCATGGAGCCTGCAGCGATGCAGGCTGCTCTGTACCTGGGGGGTTCAGCTCGCCCCATATCTTGGGGAGTTGCCCACATGAACACATACACATGGACCTTTGGAGCGTCCATGGTCAGTGTGCTTAACACTGCCATGCAACTGCCACACTTACTTTGAAAAAGTCTGAAATCTGAACGTCTTTCACAAGGGAACTCAAGTGTGGTGTAACCCCGTCCTTCTGCCCCTCTTCATCCACACTGGGGTCCAACTCCCTTCTGGCTGGAGCTCTCCCTGCCTGATCAAGCCCACAGGTGGTCCCTCCCTCCCACAGGCAGGGATGCTGGAGGCCAAGGCAGTGATCAGCCCAGGGCAAGAGCTCTCTGAGGGAGGCAGGGTGCCTGCCTGTCATCTGTCCCCAAGGAGCTCTCCCATTCATTCATGTTGGACCTGAAGAGACCATTGGGTCATACCTGTTCCACCAAAGGAGCAGAAGGCAGGAAGGAAATGGCAGAAGTTTCCAGAGACATCCCTGTGCATTACTGGGAAGAGCCCAGGTTTGAGGCTGCTGGGTCAGCACTTGATGCTGTTGTGGACGGGCCACGGGTTGGTTGTGGGAAAGTGAGTTCAGTTCTGGGAAGGGTACCCCTCTTTCACTACTGCCTAGCTACAGATGGCCCCAGGACATCCTGCTAGTGCGTAGTAACATGTGGTGTTGGTCAGAGGGAAGCAGTGGGGCAAGGCTCAGGGCCCACCAGCACCACTCTCACCAACCCAGAACAACAGTCCCACTCTCCGCAGCGGGATAGCCCCAGCCACACTGCTGGGCAGGGTGGGTGCTGGCTTGGTTCTTCTCACTGCCCGGAGGAGGGGAGCAGGGCTGGGGTGGGAGTACGGGGAGATGGTTGTCCTAAAGGGATTTAAACCGGGCTGAAGTACAGAGCGGAGCTATCATTAATTATAAGAAAACGTTGAGCATGTGCTGATTTTCCAACCTGCTGGGACCTTGCTCATCACCGACCACCACAGCACAGGCGTGTCTGCTGCAGTAGAAGGCCCTGAACACCCGTCAGGTCTTTCTCCATGAAAGGAATGTCTTGCTCCAGGTTCAAAACAGAGTAACATGCGTACTGTACCTGTAAGCTGTAATTAGCCTTTCCCCTAATTAGTTGTGTAATGAGTTCTGCTGTGTGCTGGAAATGAATTTTTTCTGTGCAAAAAAAAAAAAAAAAAAGAGAGGAAGACATTTGTTAAAACCCATGGTGCCATCAAGGAGGAGGCTCTTACTAGATACACAGTGAATTCATGTTTTCAGTCCTTACCATCGGCAGTGGGATGAATGATCAGGAACTGCTGTTCTTCCAGCGCGGAGACTCGATGGGCTACCTTGGTCATCTGCACATGCGGGGGCAAGGGGACAGAGTTAGGGGGCTGCACTGCAGGGAGCCAGGTGTTCTGCTTGGAAACCTGACTGAGAAGGTAGGTGAAGTGTATTGAAAACACTAAGTTCCCGGAGAACCGGGATGCCTTATATCTGCAAAGAAATGCAGGGCAGATGTCAGAAGCCCAGTGGTATGGTTTGACTCTGTGTCCCCACCCAAATCTCATCTTGTAGCTCCCATAATTCCCACGAGTTGTGGGAGGGACCCAGTGGGAGATGAATGAATCATGGGGGTGGGTCTTTCCTGTGCTGCTGTTCTCATGATAATGAATAAATCTCACGAGAGCTGATGACTTTATAAGGCAGAGTTTCCCTGCACATGCTTTCTCTTTGCCTGCTGCCATCTGTGTAAGATGTGACCAGCTCCTCCTTGCCTTCAGCATGATTGTGAGGCTTCCCCAGCCATGTGGAACTGTAAGTTCTCCACTAAACCTATTTCCTTTGTAAATTGCCCAGTCTCAGGTATGTCTTTATCAGCAGCATGAAAACGGACTAATATACCACACCCAGCTTTCCCCCACATTAACTCCCTTTTTGGAAGAGGAGGGGGTGGAAGAGAAGAAGGGAAAAAGGAAGAGTTTCCTCCAACTCCAGGTAGCCTTAGAGGGCCATCATTTCACCTGGAGCCTCAGGGAGCTGACTCCCTGGTTGGACTCAGTTCCTTTGTCCAAGTTTCCACTCTGAAAATGCAGTGCTGCCTCGGCCAGGAGCTCTGGCCTCCCTCCCTGCGCACAGCTGGAGAAATGCCGTGTCTGACAGCTGCACCAAATCAACAGGTCTGACTCAGGAGGTCGCATCAGAGAGGCCTTCTGCTCCTCAGTCAAGAGCTCACTCTCGGACCAGGGGTGGTGGCTCATACCTGTAATCCCAGCACTTTGGGAGGCTGAGGCAGGTGGATCACCTGAGGTCAGGGGTTGGAGACCAGCCTGACCAACACGGTGAAACCCCGTCTCTACTGAAAATACAAAAATTAGCTGGGCGTGGCAGCGTGTGCCTGTAATCCAAGCTACTTGGGAGGCTGAGACAGGAGAATTGCTTGAACCTGGGAGGCAGAGGTTGCAGTGAGCCGAGATCATGCTGCTACACTCTAGACTGGGCAATGGAGCAAGACTCCATCTCAAAAAAAAAAAAAAAAAAAGCTCACTCTCCCCCAGCAGCACAGCTCTGGCTGTAGGGAGAGCCAGGAGTCCTGTGCACATCAGGTATCCATGGACGCTGGGACTGACTCCGCCATCAAATATCCTCTTACTTTCTTCCTCATCCCTCAAGTCCTATAATGGGAAATCAGGCGGAACCCAGAGAGGCCATGTTAACCTCAATCCACTCTCTGGTGGAATGATCCTTCGGAGGTTTCTGAGTGGGCTTTGGTGCTGGTGAGGGAGAAGCATGGGGCTGGGGAAGGCAGAGTGGGCCATACAGCCAGGGCAGGCTGGGAGACTGTGGCAGAGGCTGACTGGTCTCATCACATTCTCTAGTTGTGCCCATACACACCTCGTATGCTCTGTTGTCAAGTCCATGGAGGCCCAAGTACCTCTCGGAAAACGCAGAGGCTGCACGGAAGCAAAGGGAGGGAGGTTACCTCTGGCTTCGAGGCCCTGTGAGCGCAGCCCCCAAACTCTAGGGAGGGCCCTGGACCGGGTGCGGGGTGAGGACTCAGGCTCATTCCCACTTGCCACTTGTGTGGCAGATTGTTGGTTTTTTAAAAACACCACCTAAATCATTTGGGTCTTTACAAGGGGCATCAGGCGGTACAACGGGAACCTTAATGTGTGTGAGTGCCGGTGTTGCAATTTTCATCAGCATCGCAGAACCTTAATTAAGCAAAACCCAGTTAATCTGATTCCTAAATAAGTAGGATAACCTCCTCCTTCAACACTTAGGAAGGGCATGGGTGGTAAGAGAGCACATTTCCATCAAGATTTACTTATTTTTTAAAAAGTCCAGGCACATCCCTGCTCTTGGTTCTGCCTGAGGCCCTGCGGTCAGCTGGGTGACAGAAGAGTGTCAGGGGCTTCTCCCAGGGCTGAGGGCCGAAAGGGCTCTGCACAGTGCCCCTGGCCTGCAGGGTAAGCCTGAGGGCGCCCAGGAGACAATGAAGAGGACTGGCTGGTTTTGGGCACAGTGACCCATCAAGACATGATGGCAGCTTTTGTGTGCATTTGAATCAGACAATCTGATTCAGATTTATGTGCATTTGAATCAGACAAATCTGAAACAGCATGATGAAAGAATTAAGAAAGTCTCACTCAATTTGAAGGTGGCACCCGCATTCCTGAGGGAAGATTCCTCTTACATGATTCACATTTTGGACCAGGAGAGTTCCTGTACGAGTTAAAATTTGCACTGGAGTGAGCCCGCTGTGAAGGTGTTGGGAGACTTGGCTGCACCAGCCAGGAGGCTGCTGGGCCCACCGTGGTCCCTGCCTTGCTGGGCGGTGTCTACAGGGCTCGGCCAGCACAGCAGGGCTAGGGCTAGGTGTGGCAATGGGGGCTGGACTCGTTCCTCCAACCTGCAGGGAATGTCAGGCTCTGGCAGGACTGCGGTGGACCAGCAGCAGGAAGCCCCCTCCATTTCCACCTCACTTGCCAGCGCTGCTTAGGGTGGGGACAGCTGGAGGGAACAGCCTGGCTGCCACGGAGCCCTGACCTGAATTCAAGTTCTCGGAGCCACAGAAAAGACCTCTCTGTATATTCTAAGAAATGGGTTCAGGTCACAGAGCTCAGGTTCAGAGAAAAAGGGTTGGGTGACCATAAGGAGGAGAATGCAGGAGCCTGGAACCCCCAAACACAGCAAAGCCCTTCTGTGCCTGGACAGAGGTCTGGTTCCCACACCTGGGTGGGCTCATCTCCATCTGATCCCCACAGCAGGTCACCCTGACAGCCTGACCCCATCTCTGCCTTGTGCTCATGGAGAGCCATACTCTCTGAGGACAGGTGCTGACCAGGTGCCATTTGCATGGCCAGGGAGATGGGAAGGCAGAGCTGAGCCACGTGGACCTCGTTGAATTGCTCTATGGTAGCAATTCCCTCCCAACCATCCCTTCCTTATCTGGTAACACCTGTGCACCAAATACCCATGCCCAGGCATAGAACTCAGGGCAGGGCCCTGCTCGGATTCTTCTGGGAGCAGAGAAGGAGGGCGGCCCGGCAGGGCCTGTGGCACCTGCTCCCCTCCTGCGCACCCTGGCTTCCTCGCCCCCACTGCTGCCAGCGGAGTACTAGCTGTTTCCAACTCGTGGTCTTCATTGGGATGTGATTTGTAGGCATCTGGGGATTGACCACTTTCATTCAAAACATATTACCTGAGACCCTTCCCTCTCCTTCCCCGGGTTCTTCCATCAGCCCAAGGTGGTGACTGTGGCCTGGAGGCACCTGTGGTTAGCGGGACGGTGGTGCTGAAGGGAGGGCTGTGGGGCCACGCAGGCAGGGGGCGGGGCGGGGCGGGAGCAGAGCCCGTCGCTTGGTCCTGCAGGGCTATTTACCATAGAGTTTGAAGTCTGTTATTGGAGAGAGAGCAGAGCCGCAGGTGAATGTCTGGCCTTGATTTTCTCCCTTTGCTGGGAGGATGTAGGTGCTCAGGTAGCCACCGTAATCCTGGAGAAAGCGCAGAGAGAAGACAGTTAGGAGTCCTGGCAGTAACTCAGCATGAAGCAGCCTCGGGCAGGGAGACAGCCCCAGAGCAGCCAGTTCCATGCAGGTTCTCTCCTTTTACAAAATGTGTCACTTGGAAAGTTGTTCACGGGGCAGTAACAAGAGATGAAAAGCAAACTCCCTTCCAACTCAGCATTATGCGACGTGCGCCTTCTCCGCTTCTGGGCCTTGGTGTCAAGGGACGTGAGGATGAAATGCAACGGCGAATTGGAAAGGCAAGTGTGGACTGCACAGGTGTAAGGTGCTGTCCTTCAGGCTCAGCGTCTCTTTATGGCATTTCTTACCGCCTCCCTTGTCTGTGGGTGAGGCCAAGCCACTGCACATGATTCTGAGGGAGGGGCCAACAAGTGGCTTAGGGCGCAAGTCCTGGTCTGCACATGCTCAGCACAAGGCCGACACGAGACAGACGCTCCCAGGTGTTCTGTATTCAGGTAAGTCCTAGACTCCTGCCCTTCCCTGCCCTTGGTGGGGATGAGGAAGCCGTACTGCAACGCAGGCCTCCCCAGAGAAAAGCCCTACCTCCTTGCCTGCTCAGTGCCTTCAAGGCTGGATGCTCAGACGAGCTGCAGCCTCCGAAGGGAAGACCCCGAGGGAAACGGGACAGCACGGAACTGTCAGGTATGTGTGAGAGACAGAGCATGTGGCAGCGTGTGTGTGAGTATATGGGGGTGTGTGTGTGTGATATGTGTGTATAAACGTGTGAACATGTGCATGGGTGTATGTGTATAAGCACATGTGTGAGCATGTGTAATCCTGTGTGTGCCTATACATGTGAGAGTGTGTGCATATGTGAGCATGTGTGTATGCCTGTGTGAGCATGTATGAGTATGTGTGTAAACTTGTGCAAGCCTGTGTATGTGTGATCATGTGTGCCTGTGTGATCATGTGTGCTTGTGTGTGAGCATGTGTGTGTGTGAGCATGTATGGGTAAGAGCATGTGTATGAGCCTGTGTGAGCATGTGTATGTAATCGTGTATGTATGAGCATGTGTATGTAATCGTGTGTATGTATGGGTGAGCATGTGAGCATGTGTGCGTGAACATGTGAATGTGAATGTGTGTGAGCATGTGTATGTAATCGTGTGTGTGAGCATGTGTCAGCATGTGTATGTACTCGTGTGTATGTGAGCATGTGTATAGGTGAGCATGTGGGAGCATGTGTATGTAATCGTGTGAGCATGTGTGTGTGTATGAGCAGGTGTATGTAATTTGTGTGAGCATGTGTGTGTGAGTAGGCGTATGTAATTGTGTGAGCATGTGTGTGTGAGTAGGTGTATGTAATCATGTTTGTGAGCATGTATGTGTATGTGTGAGCATGTGTATGTAATTTGTGAGCATGTGTGTGTGTGAGCAGGTGCATGTAATCGTGTATGTGGGAGGTGTATGTAATCGTGTGTGAGCATGTGTATGGGTAAACGTGTATGAGCATGTGTGTGTGAGCATGTGTATGGGTGAGCATGTGTGTGAGCATGTGTATGGGTGAGCATGTGTGTGTGAGCATGTGTATGGGTGAGCATGTATGGGTATGTGTGAGCAGGTGTGTGTGAGTGTATGTGTGAGCGTGTGTGTGGGTGAGCATGTGTATGTGTGAGCATGTGTATGTAATCGTGTGTGTGAGCATGTGTCAGCGTGTATGTACTCGTGTGTATGTGTGAGCGTGTGTGAGCATGTGTATGTAATGTGTGTGAGCATGTATGTATGTGGGAGCATGTGTAATCATGTGAGCATGTGTGTATGGGTGAGCAGGTGTATGTAATTGTGTGAGCATGTGTGCGTGAGTCGGTGTATGTAATTGTGTGAGCATGTGTGTGTGAGTAGGTGTATGTAGTCGTGTTTGTGAGCATGTATGTGTGAGCATGTGTATGTAATTTGTGAGCACGTGTGTGTGTGAGCAGGTGTATGTAATCGTGTGAGCATGTGTATGGGTAAACGTGTATGAGCATGTGTGTGTGTGAGCATGTTTATGGGTGAGCATGTGTGTGTGAGCAGGTGTATGGGTGAGCATGTATGTGTATGTGTGAGCAGGTGTGTGTGAATGTGTGAGCGTGTGTGAGCATGTGTATGGGTGAGCATGTGTCTGAGCATGTGTGAGAGCATGTGTATGTGTGAACAAGTGTATGGGTGAGCATGTGTGTGAATGTGAGCGTGTGTGTGAGCATGTGTATGGGTGAGCATGTGTGTGTGTGTGAGCAGGTGTATGTAATCGTGTGTGTGAGCATGTGTGTGTATGAGCGTGTGTGTGACACCATGTGTATGTGTGAGCAGGTGTATGGGTGAGCATGTGTGTGTATGTGTGAGCATGTGTGTGAGAGCAGGTGTATGGGTGAGCGTGTGTGAATGTGTGAGCATTGTGTGGGTGAGCATGTGTGTGTATGTGTGAGCGTGTATGTGAGCATTTGTGTATGTGTGTGAATGTGTGAGCATGTGTATGGGTGAGCATGTGTGTGTATGTGTGAGCACATGTATGTGAGAGCATGTGTATGGGTGAGCAGGTGTATGGGTGAGCATGTGTGTGAATGTGTGAGCATGTGTGTGTGAGCATGTGTATGGGTGAGCATCCATGTGTATGTGAGTCTGTGAGCATGCGTGTTGGGAGCATGGAGTGTAGAGAACCCAGGTACCTGACTGAGACCGTGAAGCGCAGGTCATGCCAAACTCCAAGATCAACCATTTATGACCTGCACGATCGTTCCGGTGTGTTCCTTTAATAGGGCAGGGGCACCTTGTCTAATGACAATGAAAGAAGATTTTCATTTTCTGACAAATAATATTTATTGTCAGTGAACTCCACACGTCCTTACTTGTCATTCTTCGTTTTCTTTAAATCTCATTTTCCTGCAGGGCCACGCGGCCTGCTCTGGTTTAAATGAGAGACAGGCAATCTTCTGCAGGGGGGATTTTCGGTGTCGGGGGGGAAACTGCAGAACATAACGCACAGGTGCCCCCTTGCTCTCCAGGTCACCTCTGGGTGCAGGGTGGCTGCTGCTCCCCTGGGCTCTGTGTCCCAGGTCCTGCGATGCCTGACAAAGGCTGCAGCCAGATCACTGGGGCACATGCGAGGAGGAAACAGAATGGACAGGCCGCAACATGCCAAGCCACTAAAAGGATTGACGCTTTATTCTTCAGAGGAGAAATACCATTGTGGGGTCTACGGACCTCTATCTAAGGCTTGTTAAAACAAAACAGAGATGCTTATGCTCTGGAAAGACGCCCGGGATCCACTGGGCAGAATGGCAAAGGAAAGATCCCCAGCACGGAGCTCAGACAGATGTCCTCGGCGGAGCTGAGTGCGGGGGTACAGGGTGTGGGGGTGCATCAGTTGTGCTCTGACAGGTGCACAGGGTCCCCTTTCCCTTTGGCACCTCGGCTGCCTGTGCTTCTGGACCAACTGCCTGTTGAGAAAGCCTCTCTGTGTCCAGAAGTGAACTATGAAAGGCCCTGAGTGGATGGACTATATGCAAGGCACAGGAAGGAGGCCAAGCCCTCAGGAGTGGCATCCATGTGCATTTGGGGCAGAGTGACGACTGGAAAAGACTGACCACGGCCCAGGCTCCCTGCCTTTCAGCTGCCAGTCTGCTGGGAAGTCACTTCCATGAGGGTGGGGAGAGGTGATGGCTATTGACACCCAAGTTACACCTACCAATGACCCAGTGGCTTCGGGCCTC
The DNA here is from genome assembly GCF_000001405.40 of Homo sapiens. Taxonomy (NCBI): domain Eukaryota; kingdom Metazoa; phylum Chordata; class Mammalia; order Primates; family Hominidae; genus Homo; species Homo sapiens. Next base: position 154,881,911 of record NC_000007.14, on the reverse strand, counting down.
ACAGGCAGTGAGTGGACATCTAGGCACCTGGAATGCACCTCTAGGGCTCTGTGCCCGGGCTCTGAACAAGGAGAGAAGCCGCCGGCCCTCCTCCTGACCACTTCACCTCCGGCAGGTAAGGAGGAGGTGTGGGAGGGCTCCTGCATCCCCTGCTTCCGGGAGCAGCCCACAGGGCAGGGCCGGGTCTCCAGTGCATGCTGGGCTCTGAGGTTTTGGAGGCGATGACGTAAGAGGCACTGTGCTGATTACTTGTCCAAGCCTTCACCTGCGGGGGTGTCACAGCAAGGCCTCCTCTGCAGGGCCTGTGCTGAGGGTCACTCCCAGAGGGAAGATGGGTCTATACCGACCCATCTGTGTGCTGGCCTTCTTGAGATCAAGAGGCCCCAGGTCTAGGCTAAGGAGAATGAGGGGCCATGTACCAGGGCCATAGTAGGTGGCGGTGCAGAGACCTAACTCCAAACCGTGGGCCTCAGCTACAGCTGAGCTGTCCCAGGCTACAGCCTTCTGACAAGGGCCACCAGATGGGAGCGGCTCTGGTTTGAGAGTTCACTGCGCGACCCTCCCCACACCTGTGCTTCCGTCTAAGTAGACATGGTAATTAACGTTGTTACTCCACATCGAGTTATCCAGAAATAGATTCCTGCTTTGCTTCTTTCCTGGCTACCATGCCAAGAGCTACAGCAGATGGATGGGAGAAAAGTCATTAGGAATGTATTAGAGCTCTCCTGCGGGGACTTGGCTTCCCTTCTCTTTCCTTCCAGATAATGTAAAAAGAAACTTAGGAAAATGAGCTGATCAAATGAAACCTCCCACGGCTGGAATCACTAAGCACCCAGGCTCTTGATTTTAAAAAATTACTTGCTCACCAGCAGACCACAGACGTTCTCAATAAATCAGGATTAGACGTGGGTAATGGTGCAGGCCACACTGGAACTGAGGGGTTTTCAGACCAGGGTGGCGCAGACTCACCTTCCCAAACACGGCCACGCGCGTCCTGTCAATGTACTGCTCCTTCAGCATCGTCCTGTGAGGTCGAGGAGGGGAAAGAGGGTTCAGTGCACATCCTGCTGCCACTTTGTCTTCCTGTAGCCCAGAGCCATGTTTTCCATCCATTTCAAGGATGAAAACCCCTCTTCAAATAAAAAGCAACCTTAGCATTCCAATATAATTATTTATTGCTTTTATTTATTTAGTGCCAAGTCAGCATGTTCACGTTAAAACCTCAAAGCACCCTTGCAATAACTCTGTAGCACTTCCAGGTATAGAAGCTTCTCGACTGCGAGCCATTAATCCACAGCCGCAGAGCCCCTTCTGGGAGACGCAGCCCCTGTTGCATGGGGTCCATCTGCTGCTATTGGGCCCCCACCCAGAGCCTGTGACTCCAAGCACGCGGGCTCTGGGATGAGCCTTAGGGGTCGGCAGGAATCTGTGGAGCTCTGGTTCTATGCTTCTGGGCTCAGAGTCAAGCCAGTGAGACCCCATCCCACCTGCACAGCCTTCTGTTCCCAATTCCTGGGAGGAGGCCCCTGTCTTGTACCTGTTTGGCCACAGAGGGATTCTTCCCATGAGCTTCCTGCTACGGCCCAGCCTTGGCAGCAGCCGCTTGGTGCTCTGGGCCTCAGTGCTCTGGGCCAGTGCTGCCTGGGTCCCTGCCTCACCCTTGCTGGGACCTTGCCCCGCATTGTGGTCTTCTGCTTCCCCCACGAAGTGGCTGGGGTCCTTCCGGTTTCTGGACCTCAACCAGCAGCAGGACGCCTGCAGGCTGTGGGCTTGTTGCTTGTTAGATGGAAATTATTGTCTGTCTGGATTTTACCTCAAGCCAAGCCATAATGTCAAGTGTGGAGTTAGAGATATTTTTAGACATTTTCTAGTAAAGAGGAGAAAATATAATTTCTTTTCTCAACCCTTATGAGTTCCTGGTCGAGACACTGTCACTGTCCTGAAAATGAAAGTCAGATGAACAAGAGGAAAACCGGAAGAGATTTCCTGGCGTGCGCTGTGCCCTCCACGTGGCGGAGGCCTCAGTTCCAGTGCCTCTTAAGGCAGTGGTGTAGGGGCCCTGTTTACACAGTATTTTAACAAAGAGCCATAACTCTCAGCATAGTGACCAGGCAAAGGAGAGAGCAGCTCCAGTCTTTTATTTATTTACGGTTTTCTTTTTGAGATGGAGTTTGGCTCATTGCCCAGGCTGGAGTGCAGTGGCGTGATCGTGGCTCACCGCAACCTCTGCCTCCCAGGTTCAAGCGATCCTCCTGCCTCAACCTCCTGAGTAGCTGGGATTACACCTGGCTGATTTTTGTGTTTTTTTTTTTTTTTTTTTTTTGAGACGGAGTCTCGCTGTCGCCCAGGCTGGAGTGCAGTGGCACAATCTCGGCTCACTGCAGGCTCCGCCCCCTGGGGTTCACGCCATTCTCCTGCCTCAGCCTCCCGAGTAGCTGGGACTACAGGTGCCCGCCACCTCGCCCGGCTAATTTTTTGTATTTTTTTTTTTTTTTAGTAGAGACGGGGTTTCACCGTGTTAGCCAGGATGGTCTCGATCTCCTGACCTCGTGATCCGCCCGCCTCGGCCTCCCAAAGTGCTGGGATTACAGGCGTGAGCCACCGCGCCCGGCCGATTTTTGTGTTTTTAATAGAGACGGGGTTTCACCATGTTGGCCAGCTGGTCTTGATTGAACTCCTGGACTCCGGTGATCCGCCCACCTGGGCCTCCCAAAGTGCTGGGATTACAGGCGTGAGCCACCATGCCCAGCCCCCAGTCTTTTAAAAGGAGGGAACCTGTGAGAAGGCAATGCAATCTGCCCCCAGAGACCCTGGCAACGGCTGGGACCCTCTCTGGGCTGATGAGCAGGTGCTGTCCCCAGGAAGGAAGGATGGATGTCCTGGCGTCTGGCAAACAGGGGCAGAGGCAGAGAGTCCCTGTGTTTTCAGTATCTTTCACTTAGCAGGTCTCAATATTTTGGGGATAACTATTTTGGCTTCCTCCACTAGCTACGTGAACAAATGAGTAAATAAAAATGAGGCATTTCTGCTGCTCCTTAGCACATGACCCAGGGTGTCTGTGTGTGTACACATGAGCACGTAGGACCCAAAAGAAACAATCGTGAAGAAAATCCCAAGTTGAGCCCAGAGACAACCTGTCTCTAGGAGACAGGAGCCCACCGGCCCTAGTCGGGTTTACACAGCTGCCCGCTGCCTTCCACAGGGGTGGGACGAGCTCCCTTCCACAGCTCATCTCAGCTGCTCGTGGGAGGCTGGCCTGTGGGCTCCTCGGTGAGGATATGGTGGTGGTGGACGGGGGAACTGTGGGAGTGGGAGGAGTCAGGCTAATGTGTCAGCCTCCTGATTTTAGGTTTCCGATCAAATTGGGCTATTTCTTTCTGATGAATGAAAATGCAGACCTCGTTCCTAGGGAGAGCTGAGGGAGGCTTTCTATGGCTTGGCGCCATTGGGCATCAGCTTCCTAAGAAAGTCTGTGCTTTGGCAACGGCTCTAAGCTTTGCCGTTGTCCACACGCTCCCATTCTTTGAGCTTCGGTGGTTTAGGAGTTGGCATTATTGACTTTTTCCAGAACAGGTTCTGCCTTGTTTTGGAACAGATGGTTGGGCCCATTCCTTCTTTTTAGGGCACGACGTGTGTGTGTGTGAAACACCTTTGCCCTCTAATTCCTGTGCTCTTTGGGGAAGATGCCAGGCAGAGCCAAGTGTCGAAGGGGAGCCTGAGGGTGCTGCGACTTTCCCCTGGGCCTGCCCTTGATGGCGGGGAGGCCCCGGGCTTCCAAATCTCCCTGGGAGGAGATAGAGCAGGTGGGGTGAGGAAAGAGCAGGAGATGGCAGGGGAAGCCACACACAAATGAAAAAGACCCAAAGGAGGAGGTCTGGGAAGCCAGGAGAGCACTCGTGCCCCCACCCAGGAAGCCAGGCCCACTCCACTCCAGAGCGCAGCCTGGGCCGGCTTCCGTGTCCTGGGAGTCCTCTGTGGCTGGCACTGCCCGCTGCTGACCCAGCAGCCACCCACCCATCCTCCTTCCACACTGAACCCCAGCATTCCCTTGTCACCCCACATCCTCTGCTCAGGGGCTGGCCCCACACTGGTGTCAGACGGACCCACTTGGTCTCTGGGGGGGCTGCCTGCACCTGTCTCACTGGTGGCAGGTTCTGGAATGGGCAGGGGAGGGCCAGGGAGATGGAAGGAGAGGTTTGCTGTCTGCTTGTGGGGAGACTTTCCTTTCCTTTCTGGAAGTTTCTAAAAGTGGTTTCCTCCCCAACCTGCTGGAGGTAGATGACGAAGCATGGAGCCAGGTGCTACTGAGGGCCACCCCGTGACTGAGGGCTCGGCTTAGGATGAGACCATCATGGCTGGCTGGGCGGAGAGACGGAGAGAGCCTGGGTCGTTGGTGACATTGTTGGTGTCTGGATTCATCAACCTTGAGACCTGACATCCCTGTGTCTTTTGTAGCCAATATAGTTCCTTATTTGAGAGGTGTGTGTGTGTGTGTGTGTGTGTGTGCACGCACACATGTGTTGTTGTAGTCATTGACTTCCAGGCAAAGGCATCCTGGCAGACACTCCTTCCCTGAGTATCTGAGTCCTGAGAGCTCTCCCGCTCCGTATTTCCCAGCTGCAACACGGGTTTCTGAAGCAATTGCTTTGTCTGCCATCACCCAGCTCATAGCTCCCTGGAGGAGGACCGGAACCATTCATTCACACGCTCATTGTTTTCCATTGAAAGACCATTCGCTGAGTACATACCAGGGCCGTCAATCTTTTTCAAAATGAGGAGAAATGTTTTCAAAGTCAGTTGAGTAAAAATTTCCAAACGCACAAAGCACCCTGGTATAATAGGTACAGAGATGCCAGGTCCAGTCAATAAACATGTACTGAGCTGGGCTCTGTGCTCCACCCTCCTTGTGTGCCCGGGCCCAGCCTCACGCTCCCCTGCCCATAACGGTGATGATCATGGTCGCGGCGGGGGTCCCTGGTAGATGCGCTTCTCCCTGCCTTCTTGTCATTCTCAGAACCCAAGTCCACAGTCCGTTGAGCTGTTCCTGCAGCATCTCTAAGGGGTGAAGTTAGAGTAAGTGCTGCAGTCCTCTGTGCCATCAGACTGTGAAAACTGCTTCTACAAAATGAGCCTGAAGGCCAGCTGCAGCCTGGCGCAGTGTCTTGATGTCTTTTTATTTCCAGTGCAACAATAAGATTCAATAAGTCATTTGGAGCATCTGCCCCTTGGTGCTAAGCCTCCTTTTGTTTCTGTGATGTCGGTTGCTCTTGCTGAGTCAGTGATAGGGATGCACAGGAATGACAGAACAAAAGCCTGCCCTTCCTCAGAGCCGGGAAGGGCATTCTGGCCCCACCTGGATGTGCATGGAGGTCCTGCTCTCAGTAACGAGGGTGACCCATTTCCACGGATCCAGCCCCATTCATATTCCTTCCCTTTTTCTGTCCTTCCTTCCTGATCTCTTCTCTCCTCCCCTTGGGATAAATGGCAAAGACATGCGTGGACACTGGCCCGGGTCAGTGACCACAGCGCAGAAAAGCCAAGCCAACCCAACCGGCAATTTCTATCCCCTTGTTTTAGTCAACTCAACAATCTACCCTGCAGTGGGAAAACTAGTTATAAATGTCCCTAGGAGAAGATTCCTAAGTTTCCTTTGAAACTTCTTTGGAATGGCCAAGAGATTTTAGGTAAGAGCAAATTGCATGAAAAATGTGTGCGTGGAGAAAAAGCATTCCCGCACTGTGACTGCGGTGCTGCCCCCATGAGGAGCCCCGTCCCCTCCCGGCCTCTCCTGCTTCCTGGGCGGGTGCTCACCGCACGGCCTCCATCTGGTCCTTCTCCTCCAGCAAGCCCAGCCGCCGCCTCACTTCGTGCAGGAGCTTGGTCCCTTGGAAGCCGCTGCCACGGCCGTCACACTTTACCACCACCGCGCCGTGGCTGCTCACCATCACCGTCTCCCAGCTCACCTCGAACTTCTCAGCCACACTCTGGCTGCCTGGGGTGCCATCCCTGGAAAGAGAATCCCGGGCTCAGCAGGCCTGCTGCGTGGTGGGTGGCGGCTGGTCTAGCAGCTGCCACGTCAGATGACCCCCGTAAGGGATTTTACCCGTGACCCGGCTGCCACACGCTCAACTCCATACCCCAGATTCTGTTGCCCCGGGCAGGTGAGCCAGGTGTTATCCACACCCCATAAAGTGAGGAGGAAGAGGAGACCTCCAAGAGCCTAGGACACCCAGGGCCATCCCTACACACACCGGCGCTGTCTGGGACGGCCACCAAAAAGCATCTATTTGGTGAGGGAAACAATACAAATCCTCCCACCTTCTCCCTGCGGGGACCTTCCCTACACGGCAAGAAGGTTTCTCTTTCCTGGGTTCTAGATGTCCCAGGCTGTACCTCTCAGTACCCATCACAAGTGACAAGGCCGCGCTGACTCTAGCCACATCCCTGGCTTGAAGACGTGGTCTGTCTCTTGTTAAGTCGGAAGTAACAGCAAACCCGCCATATGGGTGGCCTTTCTCCCTCCCTCTGCTCGGGAGTCAAGGAGCCATTGGCTCTGGGCAGTGTGGCCTCCGACCTGGGCTGGCGGCTCCCACTGTGCTCTCCTCCCAGCTCTTCATTTGCGAGCCCAGCACTGCTGGCTGAAAGGCATCCATGGTGGGGCATTTGGACCATGGGATTCGACCAGTGCCACAAACAGGGCTGTTTTCTTTTTCCTCAAACAGGGCTGTTCCCTCCCTTCCTCCCTCCCTCCCCTCCTTCTTTCCTTCTCTCTCTCTCTTTCTTTTCTTTTCTTCTTTTTTTTTCTTTTGTTTGAGACAGGGTCTCACTCTGTCGGCCAGGCTGGAGTGCAGTGGCACAATCTTGGTTCACTGCAGGCTTGACCTCTGGGGCTCAAGCAATCCTCCCACTTTTGCCTTCCAAATAGCTGAGACCACAGGCATGTGCCACCATGCCTGGCTAATTAAAAGAAAAATCTGTTAATCTGTAGAGATGGGGTCTTGCTATGTTGCCCAGGCTGGGAACAGGGCCATTTTCTATGCAGGACTGGTTGTTCCTCATTGACCAGCATACTTATGGGTGTGGGGAAGTTTTTAAGTGATTTTCCCTCTTGCCGGGAAAAAGATGGACAGGAGAGAAAGTCAGCCCCAGGTCCAGCCTGCCTCCCTGGAACAGCAGGGAGCAGTGCCCCAACTGAGAGTGGCTCCAGCCAGGTGACTGCTTCGACCACGGGCACTCTCCCAGCTGTCTGCCAAGGGCTGAGGAGTGGGGTGGGGGCAGGAGGAGCGGGCCAGGAGCGGCGCGCTCGAGTGCTGCATGCTTAGGGTCCTGGTGAGTCATGGTGCTGCTCTATGTCGAGTGTGCCTTTGTTTTCTTTTGGATTTTTTTAATCTGAAGCAGGGGCTCAGGGACTCCAGATCTCCTTGCTATCACATTTGATGTCACAGTGAGAAACAAACAAAAAGACACAGCCTCCAAGGCAAGCTAGCAAGGCCAGAGTGAGTGTGCACCCAGGGGGTGGGGTTGCCTGGCCGGTCCCGTCCGAGCTCAGCAGAGCTCAGCTGTCTCCACCGGGCACGACCACTTTTACCTCTGAAGGGAAGGAGAATTGTTTTGTAAACTGAAATGCTTTTGGGGATTTCCTTTAAGATCACTGAAGAAACCAGTGTGCAGGGGAAGAAAGCTGGTTCGGAAGTTGTTAGCATCCTGGAGAAAGTGGGGAAAATCTGGTTTAGTAAGAGAAAGGAGGCAGGAAACGTGTGTGGTGTGTGTGCACATGTGTGGGGTGTGTGGGTCTGTGGGTGTGGGTGTGTATAGATGTGTGCATGTGTGCATGTGTATATACACATACATGTGCATATGTGCTGCATGTGGATGCGTATGCACACGTATGTGTGTGCATGTGTGTGTATGTGTGCATGTGGGTATGCATGTGTGTGCTTATGTATGCAGGTGCGTGTGTGTGTGCATGTGTGCACATGTGGGTGTGTGCATGTGTGTGTGCCTATGTGTGTGGGTGCGTGTGTGTGCATGTGTGTGCCTGTGGGTGTGTGTGCATGTGGGTATGCATATGTGTGTGTTTATGTATGCGTGTGTGCATGTGTGTGTGTGGATGCATGTGTGCACATGTGGGTGTGTGTGCATGTGCGTGTGCCTGTGTGTGGGTGCGTGTGTCTGCATGTGGGTGAGTGTGCATGCATGGCTGCTGGGAAAGTGTGAAAGCAGTCCAGATATTAAGGAAAGTGGGTTAATTGCAAAACGGAATCAGCTATTGGAATCTGTGCCCTGGGGCGTTTCTATAATGGAACCTTTTTGCTATTTAGGGACTCAGCCCTCAGGAAGGGAGCAGGGCAAGACACCAGGGTTAATCAGAGCTCCATCAGGTGCCAGCGTTTACTCAGGGGGTAGTTGCACTGGCATCCTTAACACAGCCCAGCATAGGCCTCGCTTCAGCCGGCTCTCCCAGGCTACGAGGGGTGCAGGAGTTTCTCCTGCTCCGTGGTCTTGAAAGTACAGACCAGGAGGTGCATTGGGGCATTTGCTCAACGGTCCAGGTGGCCCCCTCTGCACTGCCTCCCCGTGCGGTGTCAGCGCGTGGACATCACCTAGACTCAGGGCTGTCAGGCAACATTTGAACCTATGCACAGGGCACTGGGCCGGCTCCTAGCACTGAGTTCCCTAATCAGACCCAACACCTTCAAGGCATTTACAGAGCACAAAAAGTTGTTCTCAAAACCCAAACCGGAGGCTTTATTAATGAATATAAGAAAGAGCTGAAAAAATTCTTTGCTGGTGAAAAAAGGGCATTCACGGCAGTGGCCAGAAATGCCAGCCAGTGAGACCCACGGGCTCAGGGTGCGGGTCCCAGGCTCCAGCCATCTTGTGTCTCTGTGTCTTGGGACCTGTCCCCTGCCAGCCTCCGGTGAGCCTGTCATGCAAAATGCCACTACGATGATCCCAGCAGCCTCACTTTATGGTCACAGAACCTGAGGCAGCCTGGGGAGAGGCGGTGGGTACACAGCACCCACTTTCCTTTAACCTCTGGGTGTCTCCAAGATTCCTAAAGAACCTGACATTGGGCTAAACGATGTTATGTTTTCAGTTTGCAACAATGTCATTTCTCCTGCTTATCTTTTCTTAAGAGTTCAATATTCCTTTATCATGGGTGTCACGGAGCCCCAGAACGAGCACCAGGGAAAGACAGATGTGACGATACTTACACCACCAGGAGCAGAGGGTAGTGGGTGGTGTCGGTGAAGGTTGCTGGCTTCAGTATCTGCATGGGCAGGTCTGGGGAGAAGCAGAGCACAGCACGGGTTAGGGGGCAATGCTGGCCACGGGGTATCGGGCATGCCCTTGGGTGACCGTGGGGGTGAGGGTGCTCTGGGTGGGGCCTGAGGGGAAGCCCACAGACAGAGACTGGCCCAGGGTTTTCATCCTGAGGACTCTGGCCTGCTGCGCGGCCTTGGGCAAGTCACCCGACCTGTGTGAAGCTTCATTTCTCTGAAGCTTCCATTCAGTCTTGCATATGGGAGTGCACTGAATGCACGGAAGACTCGATGGCCCGGGCACTCGCTAGCAGCAGAATTTCAGGCAGGGAAATATGGTGCCCTGAGAGCAGGAGGGCTGCCTGCGGCAACAAAGGCATCTCTCAGCATCTGATCGGGGATGCTGGGGATGGATATTTGGGAGCAGGGAGGCAGGGAGAGGAAGAGATAGAGGGTCAGGGGAGACAGGGGGCCGCCTAGAGGGGAGAGGGTGCCGGCCCATGGCAGTGCCTCTGTGCAGAGCCAGGTGGATCTGTGGGTCTTGCTGTTGGCAGGTTTGTGCTGGGTGGCTCTATGGCTATGCTGCAGCCACAGCTAGGGGAAGCCAGGGAAGGATGGTACAGCCCATTGGATCCCGTGGCTACCAAGGTCACTGGATCTGGTCCTCAGCAGCATGAAATCCAGTGGGTGAGGGAGAGTGGGTAGGAACCAAACCTCAAAAACCTGCCTCACCAATTTCTTCTGTGCCCCCTACCTTCCAACAAATCTTCCCATCCAAGTTGAATTTATTTGTTGATGTTAACTACAACCCAGATTACCAAAGGCACAGCAATTAAATTGGAATTAGCGGCTTTTCAATACAATTACTACACAGATACACTGCAGGCTTGGGTGGCTGGCTGGGCAGCCAGCTCTGACCTGGCGTCTCATTACTGATTCGGGCTGAATGTTAATGGCTTGCAAATTAGCTCAATGGCCCAGGGACTGGCGGAGAGGCAGGCCTTGGACTTCATCATTTAAATTCCATAAAACATGGTCTGGGCTGCTCCCTGCCACTGATAAGCCCAAGGGCAGACCTTGGAAACCATGTTCTGACTGGCTGAAAACATTTCAGGGGAGCCCTTCTGGAAGATGTCCTACTTTTCTAAAAAATACAAAATAAAATAAAATAAAGAAAAGCATTAGCCTCTGGTAGCATAAAGTAAAAAAACAAAACCAAGTCAGGTCGGTAGGGCTGACATCTTTCAGATTTCCTGCGATCCCTAAGGGGGTCTTCCTGATGCTGGGCTCATACAGGTGCCCCACATCCTCTCCTGGCATCTGTACCCACCCACCTTTTAAGGAAACCCCCTGCTGGACAGAGTGTGTGGCAAGGGTGGGAAAGCTGGCTTTGTGCTTTGAAAGGTCTTTTCTGCATTTCCTAAGAGGAAGGGATGACAGTCACACACCAGTGCTGCAGGCTTGGGAAGCGTTACTGGGACAGCAGTGGGTAGAGTGGGCTGGAGGAGGAGGAGGCCAGGCCTAAGGAGCTCAGAAAGGGATCTTGCCAGGGTGACAGTCTGGCCGCCAAGGCTGCGGAGGAGCCTCGAGCTGAGAACAGAGGAGCTTCAGAGACATGCCGGGGCAATGGTTTCTCCATTGGGCTGGGATAACACACACATTTTTTTTTTTTTTTTTTTTTTTGAGATGGAGTCTCATTCTGTCACCCATGCTGGAGTACAGTAGTGCGATCTCAGCTCACTGCAACTTCCGCCTCCTGGGTTCAAGTGATTCTCCTGCCTCAGCCACCCCAGTAGCTGGGATTACAAGTGTGCACCACCACACCCAGCTAACTTTTGTATTTTTAGTAGAGACAGAGTTTCACCATGTTGGCCAGGCTGGTCTTGAACTCCTGACCTCAAGTGATCCGCATGCCTCGGCCTCCCAAAGTGCTGGGATTACAGGCGTGAGCCACCGTGACTGGCCAATACACACATTTCTTGGCCAAAGCAGCTTGTCACAGCCTCCATTTTTTGTTTGTTTGTTTGTTTTTTGTTTTTTGAGACAAAGTCTCACTCTATTGCCAAGGCTGGAGTGCAGTGGTGCGATCTTGGCTCACTGCAACCTCTGCCTTCTAGGTTCAAGTGATTCTCGTGCCTCAGCCTCCCAAGTAACTGGGACTACAGGCACATGCCATCACGCCTGGCTAATTTTTGTATTTTTTTGTAGAGATGGGGTTTTACCATGTTGGCCAGGCTTGTCTTGAACTCCTGACCTCAAGTGATCTGCCCTCCTCAGCTTCCCAAAGTAATGGGAATCCAGGCATAAGCCACCATGCCCAGCCCTTGTTTATGGTTTTCTTGAATTTCTCTTCTTCCTCCTCTAGGCTGGGCATGATGGCTGACACCTATAATCCTGGCACTTTGGGGGACTGAGGCAGGATTGCTTGAGCCCCGTAGTTCAAGACCAGTTTGGGCAACATAGTGAGACCCTGTCTCTACGAAAAAAAAAAAAAAAAAAGAATTAGTTGGGCATGTGGCCTGCCTGTGGTCCCAGCTACTCAGGAGGCTGAGGTGGGAGGATCACTTGAGCTCGGGAGGTCAAGGCTGCAGTAACCCAAGATCGTACCACTGCATTCTAGCCTGGGGGACAGAGTGAGACTCTGTCTCACACACAGACACACACAAAATTATTCTTTTTCTCCTAGACCATTCCCTACTCATTTCGTTCATGCCCCCTTCCCTGGCGTGGTCACCTTCAGGGTATTTTAAGAGAGACAGCCTTTGGACATGTGAGTGTGTTGGGGGCAGGGGTGGGGGTGGGGGTGGGGGCGGGAGCGGATCTGAAGTGCATCAAAATTCCAGAATGTTCTGACTTTCAGAGGTGAATGCAATGTCCAGAAAAGTTGTGATAGAGCATAGCTTCCTGTGGCCAAATGGCGGGGCCAGAAGTTTTTGGCCCGGACCTGTGGTGGGCTGCAGGGAGGGCGTGGTGAGCACAGGCGAGTGAGGGTCCCTGTGCAGGGCCCACACCTGGGCTGTCCTGCAGGCTGGGACTCCAGGGCAGCCTCCAGACCCAGCCACACTGCACTGCACTTGCCCTTGCCTAAGACCCCTCACGTTGCCCTCTTCTCTGGATTGCACGGTCTCCTCTTGTGAGCCCACCTGATGCTGACTCTAGGGACCATGTTCAAGTCCCACGTTCCGTGAGCATTCCCACATGTCCCCAGCCCAGTCTCATGCTCTTCTCTGAATTCTCGTGCTATTTACTTTCTGCTCTACGCAATGCAGCTTTGCAGCACGTACTGTTTGGGGGACCTGTTTTTGTTTCGTGGGGTGAGCCTTGGTACCTGCTCTTGGGAGCTGAGTCTGTTAGGTGATTGTGTCTCCTCTAAGCTGCTGAGCACAAGGGGGCTGCCAGCGAATACCCTAGGCTCCAGGCGACACGCTGCTGTCTCGTGTCAGGGAAGGGCAGACAAAGAGGTTCCAGAGACGGTCTAGGGATGGCAAACGCAAGGTGTGTGGCTCCTCCCCCTGCCCTTTCAGCTCAGTGTTACTTATCAGCCTCAACACGCTTTCCGCCGAGCTCTGGAAACCTTCCCTTTCAACAAAGAGCTCCTGCAGTTACTATCAGTCAGTCGGAGTTTGCACAGGAGGGAAACCCGTTTACAGCCTCAGAGGTGATGGGTAAGTGGTGTCTGCATGAATGACTCAAAGACAGCTTCAAGGTTTGAAGTCTCAGTTATTCGACACCAACTTACCACCAAAAGGCTGCTATGCATAGAGGTGGGGAAGTCTGGAGCGGGACAGAGTTCTGGGGGAAGACAGTGAAATCCGCTGTGGGCATTTTACACTTGGGTTTCCAAGAGTAACGACCTGGTGGGCAGTGAGGACACGGGGCCAGCCGGGTGACTTGGGAGCCATCTGTGCGGAGGTGGGAGTTGAGGCTCCGAGGCTCTGCCTCCCTCCTAGAGCTGTGAGTCCAGGTCCAGCTAATGCTCTGGGGTGTTTAGTGCTTAGCAACGCCTAGCACAGAGTTAGTGCCCAGGAGAACTTACCGAATGACTGGAGGGACAGTTCAAGGAAAGAAGGGCACAGGCAGAGAAAGGCAGAGTGAGAAGCATTTCCTAGGGAGTAACAGCACTCAAACCTCCTCACGTAAACCCTGGCTGCAAGGACGCCCCTCATCAGCCCATAATCCACCAGCTGATGAGGCAGGAAGGACTTCAGATGGCACAGAAAGGGAATTTCCAGAGGGAAGAGGTTTTTCTGGACGGTGTCTTGACACGGTCACCAAAGAAGGAGAGCGTTGGAGTCTGTGGTCTTGCTTTGAAGCAACTGTCAGCCTCTCAGGGAGAGAGATCCTGTGCCCTGCTTTTTTTGGTTTTGTCACCAGAGTGAGCATCTTGGTTCTGAACACAAGACACTCCATGCCAGAGGAGCTGAGGGGCAAAGATACACCCCCGTGCTTGGGGAGTCTTCCTTGCAGGGCACCTGCTGCTGATGACTGCACTGTGTCACAGCCCACGTTTTCTTTTTCTTTTTCTTTTAGAGGGGAAAAACGTAGTACTTACTGTAATCATCAATCTCAATGTCCCTGTATTCCACTTTAGGCATCTGTCGGTCATTTATGGCCTTCTTGACATGTTCATTTGTTTCTAGGTCAAACATTTCTGAAAGAGAGGAAACAGGGACACACTGAGATGCAGTGGTCACTCATGGAGGACCTCTGCGGGCCATGGCTTTTCATGTGCGTAACTGCTGCTTTCATCAGCCTCAGAGGTGATTATTATTATTTCTAGTGTACAGAAAAAGAAACTGGGCATTAAAAAACACGCTCAAGTTATGCGCTCAAAAGCCTAGACTCAAATCTGGAATTTGGGTGGATTAAAGATTCTCCCCACCGTCTTAGGCTTTCTCCTTCCCCCACCAGAGGTTTTTGTTCTCCGTGGCGTCACACGCACAGGTTTTGGTATGATTCTTCCCATGACTGCTGGTTTTAAGAAAACCTACATTACACATCTGTTAGGACAAATGGTTTTCCAAAAATTGTGGCCATAATAACCAGAAAAGGAAAGGTGGGTAGAAACTAGGGTATCATCTTTATTAAATGTTCCCAGAAATAAAATGGATTCTGATCTCTCTCCCAAAACAGAAGATAAGCTGGTCTCTGGAGAGACCTTAACTTCGGTGACTGTATTTGTGGACAGTGGAGTCGTGTGAGCCTTGCTTCACACTGCAGTGGGACTGGCTGTCCTCCCTCCGTGGTAGAGACCAAGGTCAGTTCTGCCCTGTGGTGTGGATGCGCTGGACCTTTGTGCCTCTGCCGCGACAGCACACACACGTCCTCGTTATCTATTTCTTCAGATGCAAAGAAGTCCCCTGAGGAACTCTCCGTTCATGTACTGAAATGGCCATTCTGTTTCATTTCACCATCTGACGTGTCATAAAAACCACCCAACTTCCTTTCTCCCTTCTCACACTAAGCCTACACATGGGGATAACTTGTGGTTCATTGTGAAAGGGAATTTTTCTGCAAGGAACTTTGCCTTTGGCTCGTCAAATCACTTGGAAGCAGCTGCAATTTGTGCATTTGTTTAAAGCGTAAACAAATGATCACAAACAATGCTAGAATGGATGTCCAGTCATCCTCCCATATAACTCCCTTGAAAAAAAAAAAAAAAGCTGCTCTGCAGGTGGGCGCTTCTCCGGGGCAGCTGGAGGTCAAATGACCGCCCATAACTAGGAGAATCTGGACGTGTGGCTTTGTGTGGAGAACATGGGGCTGTGGCTTTATTCAAGAACTCTGCCCAGAAGGCCTGGCAACCTTCTGTAGAGGAACAGGGGGAAATGGAAGCTCCCAGCGCTTGTGACGAGTACATAAAATGAAAATGACTTGCAAGTTGCTGGACACATTTGAATATTGAGCTTTGATAAAAAATAAGGGGAGAAATAGTGACACTAGTTTTCAAACAGGTAGAGTTTTAACAAATCTGACGTTAGACCACCACTGGGAAAGGTTCCGAACACCACGTAGCATGCGAGAAACGTGTCCCTTGCAGGACACGTGTCCCAGCAGGAAACACAGCTACGTCTGCAAGGGGTGTCTGCAGTGGTGAAGTCCAAGGGAAGTCCAAGTAGACTTGACCTTAACTCTGAGACCCAGAGACTTGGCTGCAGAGGTGGCGCACTCTCCCTCACAGGCATGCACGTGAGTTAGGGGAGGTGCACTCCACCCCAAGGGGCCTGCATGCCCCTGCGCCAGCTTCACAGCCTCAGCCCATGTTCCTAATGGATGGGCGGCAGCACTCATTGGTGCTGAGTCCAAATGCCCTCAGCCCTTTAATGCAATGCTCCAGGCACACACTCAGGTGAGAGGAGTTGGTTTATGAGACAGTGACTGCATATCATTCATGTTCTATTCACAGTTACAGGAAAGGAAGACTAGCAGGGAGTGCTGCCTGGTAATGAAGAGAACAGCATTTCCCAAGCTCTTTGCTGCCCCAGGGCCTTTGCACGTGCTGCCCTGTGTTTGAAATCTTCCTTGCTAGCTCCTTCTCCTCCATCAACGCAAGCGTTACCTCCTCCAAGAGGGACCTGACCACCCTATCTCAGGCACCTGTCAAGCTCTCTGGATACACTTAACACCAAATGAAAGTTTTGGTCATTTTCCTGGCAGCAAATCCTTCTCCCTACCCCTCGCCAAGGTATCAGTGTTCAGTCCTATCCCAGAGACGAAATGCACTAGTTTTGGGTACCCGGGGTAGATGGGTTTGTGGAAAATCGATTCATATCTTGGAAATTAAGCATCTTTAGATGGTAACGAGTCTGGGTTTCTACCCAAGTCTTTCTCCTTGTTCCCATGTGGCCCCAGGAAACTAAACAGGACCGAGGAGAGGTCCTCCTGAGTGTCTCAGGAAGCTGCAAAGGTCTTCAGGGCTCAGATCTCTTGAACGGTAAGAGTTGGAAAAACTGAGGCCAGACTATCAACCAGTGTTTCCCACACAGCTCAGACCCGAGGACCCAAAGCAAACTGCATTAAATTGATGGAAAAGTTTCTGGTGTTTAGAAATTGATGGAAAAGTTTCTGGTGTTTAGAAGTTGATGGAAAAGTTTCTGGTGTTTAGAAGTTGATGGAAAATTTTCTGATGTTTAGGAGACTAATGATGCACCTAAGTTAATTCACTCGACTCTGGGACTATGAGGCAGTTCATCCACACGCTCCAAACTCCAGCTTATTGTAGGAGACCAGTGCCTCGATCTCATGAGGTCATCTCGACGCCTCAGCTGTAACCCTTGGAGAACCTGTGGTCTCTGCTCCTCTGCCTGCTGACATGATCATCCCAGGTGCAAAACAGGTGAGGAACTTGGGGTGTGCAAATGTGGGTCAAATGATGGAAGTGACAACCGATGAAGATCAGGGGAACTGGCAGGAGCAAAGGTAGAAAGACCCTACCAATGAGAACAGAGATGGGCTTCTTGCTATCAGTTAGCTTCTGCTTCTGGGTCCCAGAAAGGGCTTCAGCTGGGGGGGTCTGCTAGTGGCAAGAGCCTGTCTGGATGGCCAAATCTCAAACTGAGAGAAAATGGGGACAGACCCTCTTACAGCTGGTTAAAGTACGCTCTTGTCTCCATATATATGCATGTGAATTTGATGTTTCAGCCGTCAGTGTGCGATCTCAAATGCTGGTCATGAAGGAGAAGGTTAAACTCAGGGAGCAATGTTCTCTGCTGCCTACTGAGTTAAGCTTGCCTAGAGCTAACGGAACACAGGCTGGCCACCAAACAGCCCGTTACCAGTTTCCGGATCTGAGAGTTCTGGTTTCATGTGGGAACGCACCATGTTCTAATCGCTCATGGACTACACAGGCTGCGTGTGAATACCTCGTTCCTCTCTATTGAAATCCCACCCTTCACAGGAAAGCACCAAAGCAACAGACTATTAAATTTAGTTAAATATTAGATTTCTCATTTAATGATTGCCCACACAACTGGTTTTATCAGCAGAGAGCTGACTGTCCCACAGGGGACTTGAGTTAAGCCATTTTATTTGTTCCCATAATTGCATTCAAAGAGGGCAGGAGCTCAGCAGAGAAATAAGAAAAGATTGGCATATTCCCTGAAGGACTTTTCTTTTGACTTCAGGGCAGTGGGGACCTCCAGTCTGGAGCACACAAATGGCCACTCTTTAATTAAATGTGAGCCCCCTCTAATATTTGGTGGAATTAGCTATTATCAGATCTGGACACAGTGAGACCGCAGAGACTCAGGCCTGCTCATGAGGCTGCTTCCCTCGCTGCGTCCCATGGGCAGGTCGTGGTGTAGCTGTGCACTGTTGCAAGACATGCTTCCAAGTGGCCCGGCAGGTTCAGGGGATTGATGGAATCACCACTGTGCTAAATTTTGGAAAATTGGTGACCAGATCCAATGAACACCAATAGGCAACGGATCTAAAAGAGGAGAGAGCAGCCGCTTCCCTTTCTCACATTTCTACAAGAAATAAAACTGCAGGATGGTGTGTGCACGCAGAGGCTTAGGCAGAAGTCTCTCCGGCATCTCCCTGTTGCCTTGGCCTGACTTCCCCTGCCTGGGTTTTCTGTGCCTTTCTAGTCCAGGCCTCTCCTGCTGTATTTCTGCTCACTCCTCACGTGCACCTTCCCCTGCGGCCATCAGTAGGACCCCTCTCTGCCCCACCTCGCCCCCTCCCTGTGCTCTTGCAGCTGCCGTCCGCTTACCCCAGGGCTAGGCCATTAGTCATATTCGAAGACCAGATTCAGGCCCAGAGCCCGCATGACTACTGTTTAAACTTACTCACCTTAACTGGAAATCTCTTTTCTCTGAGCTCCATTTTTGTTTTTTGAGACAGGGTCTTGCAGCCAGGTTGGAGTGCAGTGGTGAAATCATAACTCACTGCAGCCTCGAACACCCGGGCTCAAGCAATCCTCCCACCTTAGCCTCCTGAGCAGCTGGGACTACAGGCATACACCACCATGCCCGGCTAAATTTTGTAATTTTTGCAGAGGTAGGGTCTCATTGTGTTTCCCAGGCTAGTCTCAAACTCCTGGACTCAAGAGATCTTCCTTGCTGGGTGCAGTGGCTCACACCTGTAATCCCAACTCCATCTCTACAAAATATAAACATAAAAAAATCCAGGCATGGTGGCACACACCTGTGGTCCCAGTTACTCAGGAGGCTGAGGTGGGAGGACAGCTTGAGCTCTGGAGGTCGAGGCTGCAGTGGGAGGATAGCTTGAGCTGTGATTGCACCACTCCCCTTGAGCCTAGGTGACAGAGCAAGACCCCCATCTCAAAAAAAAAAAAAAATCCTATGAAAGGATTGTAGAATCTTGGGGCCAAGATGCTAAATATTACATTTCTTAAAATCATATTGTCCTTCCCTCCACATATACATGCAGTGATCAACAGAGACATGCTTTATGAACAAAATAGAAAAGACAAAGGAAAGGGTTCGGGTGCGGTGGCTCACGTCTGTAATCCCAATGCTTTGGGAGGCCAAGGGAGGAGGATCACTTGAGTCCAGGAGTCCGAGACCAGCCTGGGCAACATAGGGAGACCTGATCTCTCCAAAGAAAAATGTAAAAATTAGCCAGTCATGGTGATGCATGTCTGTAGTCCCAGCTACTTGTGGGGCTGAGGTGGGAGGATTGCTTGAGCCCAGGAGGTCAAAAAAGAAAAAGAGGTCCTCCCACCTTCGTGGGATTACAGGTGTGAGCCACAGCACCCAGCCTCTTTTCTCTGAACTCCGAATGTTGAGTTGTTAGAGTCAGTCTGACACAGTTTGGGCAACTATTATTCTTTTTGCCATATCTTTTTTCCTCCAGCCAGATTTTAAGCAACTTGAGGGCAGGGTCCCAGTAGGTGGCATTTATTTTTGGTCCTTCTAGCATCATGCTGGGCCCATGGCAGGTGTTTGATGCCAGAGGAGTTGTGCATTGAGGGGACTCATGTGTGTGTCCTCCAGCCCACGGATGAGCGGGTGCAGTGGCTGGCACAGTGCCCAGCCTGCAGGTGCTCCTCGAGGCACCGAGAGCTGCTGGGTGGCAGCGAAGCCCAGCTCTCCTCCCGCATTAGGTAGTAGAGAGGAAGAAGCACCTGCAGACATCCTGCAGGGCGTGCAGCTCCATGCGTGGCTTGCTTTCCACTCTGTGTTAGCCAAATGCCAGCTTGCCCACCCAAATGCTGGACTGAAGTCTAACACGTTCCAACAGCAAATCTGCAGACACTCCACCCACCAGGACAGCTGCTCACGCGTGCAACCCTGTGGGTCCAGAAGATTTCGAGTGCAGACACGTGGGATTCAGGAGACTGGTTCCCAGGCTCTCTGCATCCATAGGAGCCTGCTGGCAAATGTGCTGAGAATGGACATGCCTGATTCGCTCCAAGGAACTGCTCCTTTCCTGTGCCTCTTTCATCATGGCCTGACACAGGCGTCACGAGGGCAAGGAAGGCCTTGGAGCCCCCTCATCTGTCCCTGGGGCATCTTGTACACAGGTGGGCTCCACATGAAGGATGAGGGACCACCAAGGCTGAGTTCAGTAAGAGAACTCCCCCAGTAATGGGTAAGAGCCCCCAGTAACATGGTCGGCTTGTCATCCTTTGATTTTAACAAAATGGAAGGGGAATCTCACTGAGCTAAAAATCAATAGATCATTGAAAATAATCCTTAATGACAGAGAATGGATGGGCCACAATGTTTTGGCATATAGCTCAGGCGTTCAGTGAAAATGGCACTGCTATAACAAGACTCCTCTCTCTCCATTTATTTACATGAACACATTTTCAGACATTCTACAGAAACAAAAAGAAGCGACCACCAAAAGGAGGGAAAAACCAGGAGCGCACACGTTTCTGACAAGGTCTTCTCTGGAAATGAGTCAGGTGTGCTCATGAACTGAGTGAAAAACCACCACACCCAGCTCGCTAAGAGATGCATCTCAGAGCAATCATAACTTTTTATGTCCAACAATTATCAAAGTATGTAATGTATCCTAATTGCTTGATGTGAACAAGTGATAATTATGATAATAATTCCATCCAACAAGTAATGATTATGGCCTTATGGTCACCGGAAGTTAAAAAGAAAAGACCTTTAAAATATTTCCAAGATTAAATGACGTTAGGACAGAATTCTGGGGTGACGGGCGGACAAATGGAATGTAAATATCAGCTCGAGGAGGAAAAGGAAGGATGTAAAGCTAAGAAGAACTTGTTCCAGAAATGTTTAACTGGGCAGTGGTAAGTATCAAATTGCCACAATACTTAGATATCATAGGATTATGTAATACTTTTATTTTAAAATAAATATGCTAAAAACTTATTTTGTACAGCTTTGAATTAATGAGAAAAACTTTAGGTGACAACTTAAAAATGTGTAGGGGAAACATGATTTTTCAAAAATTATCTTAGGGATTCATGAGCAAAAACTACTTGAGGACAGATGGCCCAGTGTCCTCTGTCTTGGCATGACTTGGCAAGGTCCCCTCACATAAAGGCCACTTTATAATGAGACTTTCTCTCTTTGGCCACCAAATTGCTCCTTAAAATATTTGAAAGCTGTGGGTCTTAGGTAGAAACTTGCCTGATGCAGCCATGTTAAGACCTAGGGCTGAAGTTAGGCACCAGGCTGCTTTCGAAATTTTTTTTCTTTTAACATTTACTTTCCTTCATCATCTTTTTACATTTTTAGTCTTTTTGGTTCTGCCCCATATGATCTGCAGGAAAGAGCTGGCTTTTATCTCCAGGTCTGAAATGGGTTTGTGCATTTGCTGGACGGCCCCAACCTTGGTGGTGGCTCCACGGCTGTGATGGGGCAGCTGCCCGCTGTGTCCTGGCCACTGTTTCTGAGAGCCAGGGCTTTGCCCAGTTGGCCTGCAGGGTGAGAGGCATGAGGACCTACTCTCCAGACACCCACCCAGTCGCCTGCTGCTGCACCCAAGGAGGCAGCGGGGCTGTTCCTTCTTTGTTAGGACTGGACAAGACCCAGGTTTTGAGGGCCACAGGCTGTAGGATTCTGTATGATGCTTCGCCACCCCAGCAAGTGCCACACCTCCCTGGACTGGATTGAGATGGCAGCTCTTCGGCCCCTTTCCAGGTGCATCTCTCCCTGCAGGGCCTGCAGAGGCAGCCCCTCATTGGAGGCCCCCCTGCTGGTCCAGACTCTCATCCTTTCCACCATGGCCCCCAGCAGCCCTCCTGTCTGCAACCTGGGGTCCTTCCATCCATTCTCTGCACAGCGACCAGAAGCTTTTCGAGAGGGACGTCTGACAGTGCTCCTCCTGGGTCCTGCAGGATGGCGGGCAAACTCCTTGGCGTGTAGCGTGACAGTGACATGTGGGCCCTCTGGAATGCCATGCTCCTGATGTCTCTCCATGTGTGGGCGCCCTGTGCTTGATGGAAGGGGAGCTGTGGGCACAGCCTTGACAGTCTAGGAGGGGGTGCCTCAGGGAGAAGGTGGGGCAGGGGTGCGCCCAGCAGCACTGGTGCAGGAACAGAGGCTGGAAACCAACTGCATCTGGCGTTGCTTCATGGACCCACCTGGGCACCACTGGTGGTAGGGGCTGTTTTTGCTTTCTTACAAAGACCCAAATGAAGAGAGTAGGAGGTAGAGAAACCTAACTTTTGATGCCATAAAGGAGTGGGAACCAGGCTGCCTAGTGATCCCAAGCTCCCACATGCGCTTGCAGGCCGCTGTGGGGTGCTGTCAGCCAGTGTAGCCAGCTTCAACCCCGCCACACGCACGCTTTCTCTGCATGGCTGTGGGGCTGCATTGCAAGCCACACCGCAATTTCGACTCCCACACGTCGAGTTGGCATCCACGTCTCTAAGTGGGCCTGCCTTTCATATTTACATTAAAGCCCGCAATGTATTCACTATGATTTTGTTGGTTTTTTTATCCCAGTACCTAAGTTGTTTGTTTGAATATCCAGGCACCAAATGAGTATAGGTTGGTCCCAACCATAATTACCTTCTTAAGGAAACAGCTTTTAAATAATTCAGAGTCACATCTGTGAACACCCCGCAGGCTCTGTTTGTAGATAAGATTTTCTAAAGAGGAAAAAAGTCAAATATTCCCAGGGTGGTTTTGGGGTCAGTGGGGGAGAGGAGGGGAAAGGACAAAGAATTCTGAAACAGTAATTTCAAATTTCACAGCAGGGCTGGGAGAGGATAGTATGATAAAGACGGGTCCCAGCCTTCCAGAGCCCCCTTTGCTAGCTGACGCACAGTGCCGAGGCTCTGCCCTGTAACAGAACGTGGGCCACACCTCAGCTGCCAGTCATGGCGTCACACAGCGGCTCAGGAGCCGGCTCCCCGAGGCCTCCTGTCTTGCCCTGCCCAGCTGTAGGCCATGGGCCCCGCTTTCCTGGCTCAGCCCCACAGCGCGGGTTGGAAGCGCTGCTGCTTTGCACACTGTTCAACAGAGGCGTGAGGTGCAAATGCCTGTGCTGGCATGGCCTCACCAGGGCTGATCTAAACCAGGGGTGATTTTTGACCAGCAGCTCAGTGGTCACAGAGGCTGCTGCTGTGAGCACATTTCCCAGATGGCAGCGACGTGAAGGCCAGGAGATCCTGGGTCTTGGGGTCTGGGGCTGCCTTTCCCCCCTTGTCAGACATCTGGTATCAGCCCCCAGCCCACAGTCAAGAGCGCCTGCTTGGTAGTCAGATAAGACAAGAGTCCGGGCCTCGCCCTGAAGTTTGCTGTGGATCTCAGATGAATTGTTGAACCTCATAGGGTTGGTACAAGGAAGGGGCCTGGTGCTGTGTGGAGAGCCCAGAACTGCTGCTACGATTACATTCAAAAGAGAATAATGGATGGCTAGCCAAAGACTGCTGCCTGGGGGCTAAGGGGCTGCCATTAGAGGGTGAAGTTCAAGGGCTGAGCTCTCACAGTGCATGGAGTATGACCCCAGCCTGCACATGGAGGCTGAGCTGCTGCAGGAAGCAGAGCCCTTAATTCGACGGGGCTCCCACAGGTTTAACAGCCACCAGGGCCTGAGGAGCATCTCTTCCCTGTGACGTGGAAGGCTTCTCAGAGCAGGAGAAGGTGCCGTGCCGCACGCTCACCCCAGAGCTGGCTCGGATGGACCCCGGGGGTGGTGTATGGGCGGAGAAGGTGCTGAGAACGAGCTGCAGGTGTGACTGCTTCTGCCTCCCCAGACTCATCTCAATGGGAGTGCAGGCCGGGCATCGCTCTGGATTTGCAGTTGTCCTTCAGACCGCATGAGGGCAGGCGGCTGAGCAGCGCCATGCAATGACCACATGTCTGGAAGAACAGGCTCTGTTGGAGCCGCACTGCTTGCGTCCGAGATGCAACTCCTCTGCTTTTGCTTCCTCGCTGCATGCATGTGGCCCGATCACCTAAGCTGTGGTGCCTCAGCTTCCTTAGCTGACAAGTGGGGATAATAGCAGTTCCTGCCTCACAGGCTGTTGAGAGGATGAAATGAGTTAAAATATGTCAAGTATTTGCCACAGCACCCTGCCCCGGAGCAAGTGCTGATAAATGCTGGTTGGGGCCACTATTGTTACTACCATGGCTCCCTGTGACCTCCAGCCTTTCTCTGGCCCCCTGATCAGAACACGGTTGTCTGAGTTGTTCAGGATGGAGCATCAAATGGAACAAGTACAAGTGGTGTGGGGTTTTGCAGAATCCTGACGATGCAGAACCGCTAGCTGGCTGAGTGTTTGGATGAAACAGGCATCTGCAGGGATGGGTGACTCACTGCCTGCCTTTGTGTTGCTCCTGGAAGTCTTCAGCGGCCTTTTCAATCGTGAAAGAGGACAACTGATCTCAAGCTTACCTGAGGCCCAAAGGCTGATGTGTGAAGTGCTGGCCTGACAATGGCTTTGTCGGCTGCCTGATATGCACATCCCCCCGCAAACCACATGCTGTGGACCCTTCATCCACTGCAGAGGCCACGAGGAGGCTCTGATGTGGTCCAACCACACCACGAACAAGATGCTGCTGGAACTGGGGGCCTGGAAGCACCAGGCACCTGCCTTCTCATCCAAGATGCACCAGTTTGACAGACAAAATGAAAACTCAGTGCATTTTGTTTGGGGAAGACACAGCTGGGTTGGAGATGGGCTGTGAAGTGCTGCAAGAGGACATCAGACATATCAAAAGGTAAACACACTGAAGAAACCCCACACGCCTCCCATGGCAAACACCTGGAGGCTGGAACTCAGGGCTGGGTTTGGCACTTTACCAGGCCCTGCCACACTCACTCTTATTTCCCAGGTGGACTCAAAGCCATTCGTGCAGCTATGATGTGCCAACCCTCAGGGATGGCCGTGCAAGGAAGGGATTTCAGGCACTTTTATCCAGGCATGGGGAAAAAGTGGGTGTTCAGGAACCTGGAACCCCTCAAATCATGAAGTCTGAATGTAACATAGACACTGAGCAAGATGGGACCCCTACTGTCCTCCTGGGGATGGGAACGACAATCAACTCAACCACATTTAATCATTTTTTTTTCCAAGTTAAAATGGCAGCTTAAGTTACCATCCTGAAAGAGCTTGAACTACATTGACAGCCAGAAATGCAGAAACAGGCTAGGGCGGGATGAAATATTCCTAGAGTTTGAATTAGGCTCCAGGAAACCCAGAGTCAAACACTGCTATATAAATAGGCTCGTAAAATAAATGTGACCAAAATAATTCTAAACGCCGTCCAGTTTCCAATTAGTCAGCACTTTGCTGAGATCAAGCGCAATGGTGTCACCTTCAGGTTCACTGTTAAATTTCACACAGAGAAGAAGGGAGTACAGGCATGTAACGCCAGCCCCATCCTGTGTGCACAGTGCTTTTTATTTCTTAAGCCGCTGGGTCCCATCTCTTTGCTTCAGGGAGTCACAGTCACCAAAGTGACAGCTCAACTGCAAACGGCGAAATGCTTCCTAAAAAATTCCCATTTATGCAGCTCCGCAACGGATATGGATGGCAACCTAGGGCCTATGGTCTGTCAATATTGATTGGATTGATTGGTTAATGTAGTAGCCAGTCCTACAGAGGAAAAGAAGTGGTTGTTTTGTTTCCCAGCAGAGTTAACAAAATTTCCTGGATCTTTGAGCATATTAGCATGTTGCACTTGCTGGAAGACATTTGGTCAATTCTTACTGGGACTCTCTTCCGAAGAATTGCACCTCAGCCCACCTATAGATTACCTTATTTTTATAAATGGAATAAATGAAATATTTTCTCAACAGTGTCACACACACCTAAGATACAGGCCGGCTTCATTTTCACTCACACATGAGCCTTGGAAACTGTGTTGACTTGATCCAGCACCGTGGGAGGCTTTAGGAGCCCCAAGGACTGATCACATCCAGGCTGGAAGTGGCTTAGAAGTCAAAATGCATTTCCCAAAAGTAGGGACTATATTAACCTTTGAACTTGAATAGATTAATAATAGCTTCCTCCAAAGAAGTAAAAAGCATTTAAGGGAATGACTTTTGTAAGAAGAGCCATATGCTATATCATATTTTTCAAAGCTGAAAGATACTTTTGTGTTTTTTATTAGACCACAGATTAGAAAAAACTTTTAAATTTGAAATAATTATAGATTCCTAGGAAGTTGCACAAATAGTGCATAGAGTCCTGTGTCTCCACTTCCGGGTCTTCAGTGGTGGCATCTCACAGAACCATCGGGCAACAGCTAACCCGGGAGGCTGCAATGCTGTGAGCTCCATTGGACACCTTATCTAATTTCTACCAGACCATCAATTTTCAAGAAGGGGAAAACCTCACAAATACCAGAAAGGTGTCCATGGACTCTAAATCTTATCAAATACTCAAAATGAAAATATACATTTGCTTAAGGAAAAAAAAGATGTCACAGTTGAGGCTCTATGCAACATCGGCATTTTTTCAGGGAAAATTCCACCTAAAGAGGTCTAGCACAGGTGTTTCAAACATTCACTGTCATGCCGGAGTATGTCTGTCAGACTCCACCGACCCCAGGCCTTGGTGGAAGTTCTAGCTTGGCCTCTGCGGCCTCCTGGAGGGCCCTTCACAGCCTCGTGCCCCTTAGAGTGGGCAGAGGGTGGGTGGATGCAGTGGGGAGGTGAGAGACCCAGGCAATCGCGCCCAACATCCTTCCGGGGATACCGCCCCCATTGCTCAAATGGCCCAGATTCCCAAACCTCGCAGGTGAGGCTGGAAAGCAGCCTGGGAGCAGGTGAACCTTTTTGCTGGGGAAACCAGCCCCTCCTCTGGGGAGGAGCACAGGAAGGCCATCCCGCTTCTTCTCAGCACGGGGTCCCTCCAACGGCCATTCTGAGTGTTTTTGTATATCCATTCTGACATCCACTTTATGGCTTTTTGTGGGGGCTTTAAAATCTATTAATTTATTTCTGGTTTTATGATTACTTATGCTTTGGTTTTGTATTTCTAATAATGATTTGATAGCTTGGCAGACTATCATCATTATTTGGGATTATTGGCTAAGTGCTGTCTCTTTAAACGAATCTATTTTGCCCACTTTGGAACAGTTTGACCACTTCACGGTGTCTAAACACACGTTTGGAGCCTCCTTTCCAACATGCGCCTCACCGCCGCCGCCTCCAGTTCTCCTGGAGCTTGAAGTACCACCACAGAGATAGGAATCAGGGAGCCGCTGATGCTCGATGGTCACTGGAGACACGGAGTCACCTCTGTCCCCAGACCTAGGGGAACTGCGGACCCGGGCCATGAAGTTTGCCCTCCTGCCAGGGAAGGGGTTCCTGAATGTGGAAGGGAGTGGGAAGGATTCGGGGGAAGGAGGACACAGGCTGCTTTGGGTTAGACAGAGGGAGGGCTGGAAAGGGAGGGACCGAGGGCGAGTTCTCTTTGCTTCTCAGCTGTGCTGTGCCTCTGCCTCCCACTGCACACAGCACACATCCCTCGCGTAAACACGGATGTGCCCGTGGCAACCTGTGTGGGGTCCCTCCAAGCAAACACATGCCACCTCTAGTGACCCTGGGAAGTCTTTCAAAGACTCTCCTTGACCAAACTTGAGTGAGGCTCCTCTGAGTCCTCTTCTTGACCAGGCTTCAACCTTGATCCTAACCTGTCTTCGGCCTGCATTGCCCAGCTTTAGCAAGAGGTCTCCACCCCTGATATCTGATCACCCTCCGTAACTGTTCCTCGTCCTCCACCTTTGAGCCTAAGTCCTTGTCCTGCCTTCAGCAAGGATCTTGTGAGGTCAGCTTAGCAAAAATCGCCTCCCACTGATGCCTTCTCTTAGCAGTTTTCCATCCACGGACCCCTTTCTCTGGTCACTGGCTATAAACCCCCACGGGATCTTGCTGTATTCAAAGTTGAGCCTGAATCTCCCTCCCCTTTCACAACAGTCCTGAAAAAGCCTTCCCTACCATTTTACAAATGGCAGAATAAGTTTTTCTCTGATATCCTGTGCAGCATGGATGCAGAGACCCTCCATGCCGTGAAGCTCCCAGACCCACAAAGACAGATGAGCCTCCATGTGCCCCTCAAGTCTTGGTGCCACATGGCAGGTTCTCAGTGGGGACGGACTCATGTGAGGCTACAAAGCCTTTTGAGCTGGCTGTTCAGAGGATGTCAGTCTATGACCTGGGTAGGCCTGGAATGACCCTCCAGGCTCAGCACTTGTGAAGGGGTGTGGGGCCCTCTGGCAGGGGTATGCGGACTTTGACTTTCATCATATTTCGTTGATATTGGTGATCAGCATGGCCTATTCTGAACTGCTAGGACATGACTCATCCCTCTGTCTCTGAGTAGGAGAATGTGGGCCAGCTGATCTCATAGAGTGTTTTGCTTCCTTTCTCCTGAGTCTCAGGAAGATTTAAGGAAAAAAAAGAGCACTTACTTTTCTTATCTGTTGTGTTGTGCACCGTCACCATAGGAACACCAGGACCTGTGTTGGGTAGAGAATAGCCAGGAAGAAAACAAAAACGAAGCCATTAGTTTAGCCGAGAACAAGAAAACAGGCTTTTCTTATGCCACGTAGATAGACGTGCGGAGCCTGGAGAACCCGAATTCATGCAAGAGTAATCAATGATGGGATGGCAGAGGCCAGGCCGGCAGGGGGGCCAAGGCACAGCTCCCTACCTCTGCACCTGTGTTAACTGCAACACACCCAACTCAAAGTCCATATTTTCAGATTATTGTAATGCCATAAAACATCATTCTATGAAGCATTACATTTGGTTTATATCCTCATAACATCATTTTTACCATACAGACACACATTCCAGGATGGCTTTATGGGTTCTTATAAATTACTCAAGCCTCAGTGCTAAGTCTGCTGGCTCCTCCAGGAAGGATGTCACTCCATCCAATGGGTCTCTCATAACACCTTGTAAAAACGTATTCATGTAACAGGAATATTTTGAAAATGTCAAACTATATTTCAGTTTTTCCTTGAATCACTAGCTGGCAGCTTCCCAGCTGCAGGAATGTTGCAGCCCTGAGAAGTGAGAAGGAAGGTCCAACTCAGGACCAGGTGGCCCCTGATCTGTTTTCTCTGCAGGTGACTTCTCGATTCTTCTTAGCAAAAGGAGAGTCCAGAAAGAAAGAAAAAAAGTCTCCCTGAATTATTTTCTATATCTTTTTGAAAACATTAAGAGGCAGGCCTGGTGACTTTTCCAACCTTACTTTAGCCACTGTCCTCTGCACTCACCGGCTCCAGCTAGCTGGCCTTCCTGCAGGGCTGGAGGCATGTCAGGCTTGTTCCCACTGAGCCGCTTGTTCTCACTGCCTGAAATGCTCTGCCCCTAGACACTGCCATGGCCTGTGTTTCCTTCATTTAAATGTCTACTCAAATGCCATCTCCAACTATCCCATCTAAAGGAACTCCCCTCCATGACCATGTGGTCAGCCTCCATTCTCACAGCTTTCCTGATCTTTGTAGAACTCATTACCACACACTACGCTATTGGGACCTTATAATATGTAATGATCAGCATACTTGCTTGCTGTCCTTCTCCTCATCTACTGCACTAGGATGTAAGCTCCGAGACAGTCAAGAATGTGTCAGATTCACTGCTGTTGTTTTCTGCATTGAGAAGGGTGTTTTGAATAGAGTTGTGCTCGATTGGATGTTTGTGGAGTGAATGCTGAATGAGAAAGCACAGAGCATGCAGGAGAGGCAGGAAAGGCAGGAGAGGGAGGAGAGGGAGGAGAGGGAGGAGAGGCAGGAGAGGCAGGAGAGGCAGGAGAGCCAGGAGAGCCTGTCCCTTTGGCTCAGGTGGATTGTGGGAAGATGCAGGGAGAAAGAGGAAGTGGGAAGTGGGTGGTCCCAGGGAGACAGATGCACTGTGGGAACACTGTGGCCAGGGCTGCTGCTTGCGCTCTGCTTCAGGCTATGGACCCAGGATGCCATGGACTCACAAGGGGTGGCCACAGCAAAGCTGAAGCATGCACACTATCTTGGGCAGGGGGATGGGTGGAGTTCAGTATTCCTGCGGTCATCATCAAAACTCCCCACACGCTTCTGAGGGGCCGTCTGACAACTGGTTGAAAGCTAGGGAATCTGCTATGATCCCACCATGCTGAGGGCTTCAGGGCCTCACTGCAGAGGCCCCAGAGTGGACACCCTAGTCCAGGGCCCAAAGAGCATGTGGCAGAAATGCAAGGAGTCCTCTACCCTTGAGAGGTAAGGTGGAAGGTCTGGCCAGTGCCCATCCACAGGTCCAGATGAGCTGAGACACACAGACTGTGGGTCATGCTGGCCTTGGACATCAGAGAAGAGGCCTATCTGTTGCCCAAGGACTGGATCCAGTCTCTACCCCATGCACAAAGTCCAGGAGTCCAGGGCCCTTTTCCCCAACGTGGTGCCCCTCTCTGTTCACCCACAGATGGGGCTGCCAGATGATATGCAGGATGCCTGGTTCTATGTGGTGCTCAGATAAAGAATAAGTATTTTCTTACTGTAAGTGTGTCCCATGCAGTATTTGGGACATACTACAAAAAAATTATCTGTGGTTTACCTAAAATTCAAATGTAACTGAGTATCTTAAATTTTTATTTGCTAAATATGGCACCCCCTACCCAGTGAGGGAACAGCGATCTGAAAGTCCACATATTTATACCCAAAGAGGCAGC
The DNA here is from genome assembly GCF_000001405.40 of Homo sapiens. NCBI lineage: Eukaryota > Metazoa > Chordata > Mammalia > Primates > Hominidae > Homo > Homo sapiens. The sequence goes on along the minus strand of NC_000007.14, from coordinate 154,851,590 downwards.
ACTTACCAAAAGAGATTTAAATGCCAGTTTAAATTATTGAGTCAAACTAAGTTTCTTGGCTCTAAGATTCATTTCCCCCCCATGGGGAGCTCAAGTAGAAGAAAGAATCAGTTATTGAAAAATAAAGAACCTATAAGTATTTTCTCTGCACATTTCAGGGTGAATAAATTTGAAAACAGAATATCTCTTATGTTCTTATTAATAATGTAAACAATTATTATTTATTTAGTGCCTACTAAGTAAAAGGCATGCTGTTAGATATTTTTATGAATAATTTCTAATCAAATCCTCACAGCAGCTCTGCAAAGTAGATATTTCTAACCATATTTTACAGAGGAAAAAAACCACAGGTGTAGATAGTTTTAAGTCTTTTGTCTCATCCATACAATAAAAAAGCTACTGAGCCTGAATTAGTCGCTTTTAATCTTTTAATTCATAAACTTAATATATGTTTCTAAAAGACACTAAAGAAAGGAATAAAGTAACAGTGATCTATTTTATCCCCACTTCCCAGAAGTAACCTAAATGTTGCTAAAATGTTCTTAAATGTTTGTCTGCACATACATGGTCATATTTACACATAAGCACGTATTTTAAACATAGACAAAAATAACATGAAAATGGTTGCATGTATATCTGCAAGCTTTACAAAATCTTAACATTACACACCGTATTGCTCTATTTTAAGTTAGTTTTTCTAAAGTTTGTTTTTTGAAAGGCTAAACAACATTGGCAAAAATTTAGCCAGACTAAGAAAAAAAGAGAGAAGATGCAAATAAAATCAGAAATGAAAGAGATGTTACAGCTGATAACACAGAAGTACAAAGGATCTTAAGCGACTACTATGAACAATTACATGGCAACAAATTGGATAACCAAGAAGAAATGGATAAATTCCTAAAAACATATAATCTACCAAGACCGAATCATGAAGAAATTGAAGAGATCAATAATGAGTAAGAAGATTGAATCAATAATAAAAAGTCTCCTATCAAAGAAAAGCCCAGGACCTGATGGCTTCACTGCTGAATCCTACCAACATTTAGAGAAGAACTAATACCAGTCCTTCTCAAACTCTTCCAAAAAATGGAACGTGAGGGAGTACTTCCAAACTCATTTTATGAGGCCAGCCTTACCCTGATACCAAAGCCAGACAAAGAGACTACCAAACTCCCCCACCCCCGCCAAAAACCCCAACTACAGTCTAATATGCCTGATGAACATAAATGCAAAAATCCTCAACAAAATACTGGCAAATCATATTCAATGGTACATTAAAAGGATCACTAATTGGAAAACCAAACATCGTATGTTCTCACTCATAAGTGGGAGCTAAGTATGAGGATACAAAGGCATGAAAATGATACAATGGACTTTGGGGACTTGGAGGAAAGGGGAGGAGGGGGTGAGGGATAAAAGACTACAAATTGGGTTCAGTGTATACTGCTTGGGTGATGGGTGCACCAAAATCTCACAAATCACCACTAAATAACTTACTCATGTAACCAAATACCACTGATTCCTCCAAAACCTATGGAAATAAACAATTTTTTTAAAAAGGATCATTCATCATAAACAAGTGGGATTCAGCTGTGGGATGCAAGGATGGTTCAATATACACAAATCAGTAAATGTGATTCACCATATTAACAAAATGAAGGCCATGCAATCCTTGCAATAGATGCAGAAAAAGCATTTGACAAATGCTTCAACATCCTTTCATGATAAAAGCTGTCAACAAGTAGGTATAGAAGGAATGTTCCTCAATACAATAAAGGCCATCTATGCCAAACCCATAGCTAACATCAAAATCCATGGTGAAGCTGAAAGCTTTTCCTCTAAGATCAGAGAAAGACAAGGATGCCCACTCTCACCACTTTTATTCAACATAGTCCTGGGAGTCTTAGCAAGAGCAATTAGGCAAGAAAATGAGATAAAAGTCATCCAAATAGTAAAGGAAGAAGTTAATTTTTCTGTTTGCTGATGACATGATCTTCTGTAAAGAGAACCATAAAGATTGCACCAAAGGAATGTTAGAACTGATGGACAAATTCAGTAAAGCTGCAGGTTACACAATGCAACACAAAAATCAGCAGTGTTTCTGTATACTAACAATGAACTATCTACAAGTAAATTAAGGAAACAATCCCATTTACAATGGCATCAAGAAAAAGATACTTAGGAATAAATTCAAGGAAGTAAAAAATATGTATACTGAATACTATAAAAATTGATGAAAGAAAATTGGAGACGACACAAATAAATGGAAAGATATCCCTTGTTCATGGATTGGAAGAACTAATATTGTTAAAATGTCCATACTACCAAAAGTGATTTGTAGATTCAATGCAATCTCTATCCAAATTTCAGTCATTCTTCATAGAAACAGAAGGAAATTGATTTTTTTCACAGAAAAATCCTAAAATTCATATGCAACCACAAAGACCCCAAATAGCCAAAGCAATCTTGTTCAAAAAGAATAAAACAGGAGGCATCACACCGCCTGATTTCAAAACGTATTACAAAGATGTAGTAATCAAAACAGCATAGTACTAACATAAAAACAGACACATCAACCAATGGAATAGGATAGAGAGCCCAGAAATAAACCAATTCATCTACAGTTAATTTATTTTTCACAAAGATGCCAAGGACACACACTGGGGAAAGGACAGTCTCTTCAATAAGTGGTGTTGGAAAAGCTGGCTATTCACATGCAGAAGGAGGAAACTGGACTCTTATCTCACTCCTTATACAATAATCAACTCAAAATCGATTAAAGACTTCAGTGTAAGACCTGAAATTGTAAAACTACTGGAAGAAAACATAGTGAAAAAGCTCCATGACATTGGTCTGGGCAATGATTCTTGGCTTGGACCCCAAAGACACAGGCAACAAAAGCAAAGCTAGGTGAACGGGATTGCATCATCCTAAATTTCTGCATAGCAAAGAAAGCAATTAATAGAGTGAAAAGACATTTCATGAATTGTGTTGAAAATACTGGCAAATCATATATCACATAAGGGGCTAATAACCAAAATATGTAAGGAATTCAAACTACTCAATAGCAAGAAAACAAACAACCCTATTAAAAATGGGCAAAGGACCTGAATTTGTCAAAGAAGACATGCAAATAGAAAATAGATACATGAAAAATATTCAGCATCACTAATCACTGGGGAAATGCAAATTAAAAGCACAATAAGATATCATCTCACACCTGTGAGAATGGCTATTATAAAGAAAAAAAAGCTAACAAGTGTCGGCAAGCATGTGGAGAAAAGGAAACCTTTATATGCTCTGGGGGGAAGGTAAATTAGTAAAACTATTTCATAAAACAATATGGTGGTTCCTCAAAAAAAAACTAAAAATAGAATTTCCCTATGATTCAGCCATCTCACTGCTGTGTAAAGATCCAAAGGAATTGAAATCAGGATGTTGAAGAGCTGTCTGTACTTCCATGTTTACTGCAGCACTATTCATAACAGTCCAGACATGGAGACAGCCTACCTGCCCAGCAACAGATGAATGTATTAAAACATAGGTACATATACACAGTGGAGAACTACTCAGTCTTAGAGATGAAAGGACTTGTGTCATTTGTGACAACACAGATGAATCTGGAAGACATTACGCTAAGTGAAATAAGCCAGGCATAGGAAGAGAAATGTCACATGATCTCACTTATATGTGGAATCTAAAAATGTTGATTTCGTAGAAACAAAGAGTAGAAAGATGGTTACCAGAGGCTGAAGTGAGGGGGCGGCAGGTGGGGAAAAGGGAGTTATCGGTCGAAGGGTACACAGTTTCAGTTAGACGGGAGGAATACCTTTTGGTGTCTATTGTACAGCATGGTGACTCTAGGTAATAATAATGCATTGTATATTTCAAAATTGCTAAAAGAGTGGAGTTTTAAATGTTTTCACCACAAAGAATGATAAATGCGTGAAGTGACAGATATGTTAATTAGCCTGATTTGATCATTCCACAATGTATATATGTATATAACATCACATTGTACCCAATAAATATATGCAATTATTAATGATGAATAAAAATGAAAGAGCCCCAAACCAAACAAAATAAAAGAATATGGGGAAAACAATAATAAATAAGTAGTGTTGAGTACAAAAAAAAACAAGACATAACAAATAGCTACGATGTCATTTGCATTCCTTCCCTAATCCCAGTCCTCTCTCGTCCCAGAAGTGACCATCATTTTGAAGTTAATGTTGATCATTTCTCTGCATATTTAAAAGATATTTCTACCACATGGCTATGTATTCATAATAATATACATGCCATATATAGTATGATATGACATGTCTCAATGTAACATATTTGGTACGGTCTTGACATCTAGTCTGGCCACTACAAGAGGGTGAAGCCGTGTTGGGGGTGTCAGTGGGCACAGCCACTCTGGAGAACAGCTTAGCAATATCCATGACATCTGAAGATGCTCATGCGTATGACCTGCGGGCTCCACTCCTGGGAACACATCTCAGAGCATCCTCTGCACCTGTGCACAAGAAGGCAGGCAGAAGATTGTTCCTAACAGCAACTATGTACAGGTCACAAATGGGAAATTACTCAGCTACTCATTAGCAGGAGATTAAATGAATAAAACGCAGTTACTCACATGGCAGAATATTATAGAGCATGCAGAATGAATTAGTAGATCTACACCTATCGACATGGGCCAACATGAAGATTATAAGGTTAAGCGAAAACATCTAGTAGCAGAAGGGTTAATACTATAATATACAATGATGTAAATAATTTTTAAAAGTTGTAAAACTTCATTTTTGAAGAGATGCATAGTATCCCATCATATGGAAATATAATAATTTATTGAGTCCATTGTCTGTCTACTGGTGGATATTTAGGTTGTTTCCTTTCATTTTCTGCTATCTTAAAACAGTGTTGCTGAAAAACCTCTTACATATATCTTTGCACACGGGTAAGACTGCATCTGTCGTTAAGCTAGTTGGTAGCACTGCAGTTGCTGTTTCAAAAAGGTTTTATAGTCAACGTTCATGAAATAATCTTGTGGTTTCAAACACATAACTCCTGACTCTCAATGGTGTGAAACAAGGAAGCTGACTTTCCGCTAATGTTGCGTCCTGGTAACCAGGTCTGCAGCAGCCCGGCTGTGCTCTGCTGGGCTATCCTCCAGGATGCGTCTTCTTTCTAGGATCCTGGTTGAAAGGTCAGCCTTCATCTGGAACAGGCTGAGCTCACAACAAAAGGAAATGAGCAAGGGGGGCTTGCAGAAATGCACGATGAAGGGGGAGAAAAGAATATAAATGTATTTGTTACCACTCCAATGGTAAAACTGGTAAATTATATATATATACCCACACATACATATAATTTATTTATATATATTTATATATACATTATATATGTATATTTTACCTCAATAAAAAATAAATTAAAAATAAATATTACCAAAAATAATTTGCATAACTAAAAAATGTCCTGGACATGGTGCAGTTCATGTCCACTCTCATGCTGTTGGCCGAGACTCATCCCATTGGTCCCAACAGAGCAGGGATGAGTCCGTATCTCCACAGAGGCCCTGCAGGCCACATGGCCATGTCATGCTGTTGGCCAAGACGCATCCCATTGGTCCCAACAGAGCAGGGATGAGTCTGTATCTCCACAGAGGCCCTGCAGGCCACATGGCCATGGGGTGGAGGATGATCTTTTTACAGGGAGGGGCTGTGAAACATGGGGAACAATAATACGGTCTACACTGAAAGTCGAAACAGTTCACATTTTAGTAAATATTGTCTAGTTGCTCTCCAACTGATAGTGTATGGAGATCTAGGTTGTATCTTAAAAAAGTTTTTAAAACCACTCTAATGGGTAAATGTTTGAATTTTTAGAAATTTTGAGTAAAGCTGGACATCTTTCTTTTTTATTATTATACTTTAAGTTCTAGGGTACATGTGCACAATGTGCAGGTTTGTTCCATATGTATACATGTGCCATGTTGGTGTGCTGCACCCATCAACTCGCCATTTACGTTACATATATCTCCTAATGCTATCCCTCCTCCCTTCCCCCTTGACATTTGCATTTCTCATAGGTTTTCCTGACTACAAACTGCCCTCTCTCATCCTTCGTCCACTTTAATGGCATTGCTGTTTTTTATGTTATTTAGAAGCTAATTGTTTCTTACCACGTTGCTGCAGGTATTTCTCCCGTGTGCTTTCTAATTTGTGATTGAAGAAAGTGCCATAAGTACCAATAATAGCAAGTGTCACACTGAGTTGCAATTTTAAAGCCATAGCTGCTCTGACCGTGTTCCAACCCCATCTCACACAGACAGAAAGACAAACACATTCTGAAATCCTTGGGCCACGAAGCCATGTCTCATCCCCTCCACCTGTTCTGAACCTTGGACTCAGCGTTGTATAAAAATGTTTGACGAACAGATTAATGGTTAATGAATGAATGACCTCCCAAGCTTATAATTGGCTATGACATATCAAGGTGGCAAATTTAAATCAGGCTAAGGAAAGGTCTCTCAAGACCATTCTTGGAGTCCTGGTTTTTCTAATTCAGGCTGTGGTCTCTCTGTTCGTACATAGGGAATCCCCTGCCCTTTTCACTAAGTTCCAAGGGTAGCAGTCTCCATGTCTAAGATCGGAATTATATTCTGTTTGTGAAGCCATATGACAACCAGGCCATCTTCACTGATATTTTAATATAGAATACTTCTTTACACTAGTGGAATACAAAGAACGTGAATAAAATTACATTTAAGGAGGCCACTAAACAAAAGTTGAAAAACAGCTCCTCTGTATAATTTTGTATCTGTTGATTCCTAATCCCAGGCAGTCTAACTGAGTCTCTGCCCTGAGATCAGACCCTCTGGTGGTCTGAGGTCGGCTCTGCAGGCCGCCTTCGCATCCGGTTTCTCTGGCCCAGGGGATGCATGCCCACTACTGTCTATGTGAACTGTAGGACCACCACAGGCCTCAAGGTTTCTGTGATGGCCCCTGAAAACTGGCAAATAATTCAGGAAAACATCTAAATCAAAATACAATTTCTCTAAATCAAAATACATTTTCTCCTAATAAGGAAACAGAAGCAGAATCCTAATTAGGAATCAGATACTCAAAATTTGTGCTACTTTGGCCAGACTAGACCCATGTTAGCATTTACCTAAGATTTCTAGAGAAGAGGGGACATGCCGAACACACGAAGAACATACACAGAATTTTGGGGAAGCTGGTACCATTCAAGAGGAACACTTTAAACCTATCTGAAACAACAGAGAATACTTTTACCAAGGACACCTATGAGGGGTTTTTACCACATTGGTTTTTTACTTGTTTTCCTCTTCTTCCAAATGATCTTATGCAAGTCTGGTCAGTAAAACTTATTAAATGATTTGTTTCATACAATAGGAAGCTTTTGCCCTTTTGTCTCTGATGCCTGTAAGACAATCCATCTGTATTGCCTTGGCACAGATTCTTGTGGCTAAACCTTAGGACTCCACTTAGCTGCTATTCTTCTGACAATTCATATTCATAGTTTCTTTTTTACTTTGCATGTAATTCAACAAATAGGTATTGAGATGCCACCATGTGCAAGGCATGGTGCTAGCTGCTGGGGAAACAGACAGAAATAGACAAAGCATTTACTCTTAGGGAGCTCAGAGTCCAGTACGGAAGACAGACTTGCATGAAAATACGCTTTGATGCCATGTGGCCAGTACAACCACCAGACGCGGTCCATGGTTCAGAGGTCTATGCGGGGACTCCTGTAAGTAAAGAAGGGGTCAGGGGACCAGCTATTTTGTGATTCCAGGTAAGCAGCTTTCCTTATCTGGATCTCAACTGCAGGATACAGGCTTGCTAAGGTCTACTTTTAGTAAGAGCAACAGCAGCTTCAGCAAAAACAACAGCAGCCAACATTTTTTTCCTACTATCTGCCTGGTACTGCACTCGGCTCTTAGAGACATTCTCTCAACCTCGTCACAACTCTCTGTGATGGGGATACCTTCCTCCAGAGATGAGAATTCCGTGGTCAGAATCTGCCTTTGCAATGTCAACATTTGCCATGGTCATGGGAAAGGATGGAAGCAGATGGTGTCTGCCTGTACCGACAAAGAGGTTCTGGTCTAAGTCTGAGGGAAAGGAAAGAAGAAAGAAAAGAGGCTGAGAACACGGGATTGCTTTTCTGTTTTTTTCCCAGCCAATATCTCTGGTATCTTTATGTTTAGGTCTAGTCTTGGAACATAGGATATGCTGTTATTTATATATTTATTTATTTAAGACAAGGTCTCGCTCTGTTGCCCAGGCTGGAGTACATTGGCACTATCTGGGCTCACTGCAACCTCTACTTCCCGGGCTCAAGTGATCCTCCCACCTCAACCTTCCAAGTAGCTGGGACTCCAGGCATGCGCCACCACGCCTGGCTAATTTTTGTATTTAGGATACGCTTTTAAATGAAAGCATACAATCATATTTCATTGTGAGTTCCTTCCTGGTTCAGGTCAAATATTAGATATCTGATTCTCTATGCATTTGTCTAATGACACACTCTTATGTGCGTGTTCCCAAATTCACGTGAACATATGCATCAGCAAAAACGTGTTCACTAGGATTCTCTCTGCCTGGTCCTCATATTTCCTAAGTCCTTGATAAATAAGCCTGCCTCGTGGCTGGTGCAGCCTTGGAGCATGCAACAACAGCCCTGATGTTCAAACTGAAATATACAATGGCACGCCTGCTGATAGCAGAAAACTGATGGTATCTGCTCAGCCTTTGCTTACGAAGAGATAACCGCAATAAAAACAACATTTGGCCCTTTAAAAACTTTGGTTGGTGACACACACTATTTTGGCTCAAGTTCAATATCTGACTTTCAAAATTTATATTGTTCCTGGAAGGGAAAATAAACAAATGGAAGCAAGTGAATTCACAACCCACATATAAGGTCGTTTTTGCCCTGTAAAGATCCTGTGACCAGAGGGACAAAAATAAAAAAAAAATCAGATTACCAAAAGAAAAGCTTTGAATTACACAACAGACTTGTGAACAGAAAATATTTATTTCTGTGTCTCTGGTTTGCAGCCCCAGGCATTTTAGAGCATTAGTTTTCACCTGCTCAACTGGAGGGAGAAATGTGACAATTCCAGAGGAAAACGAAGTAATTAAAAAGGACACAAAACTGTAAAAGAAAAAAGTCATCAGAATAAATAAAAAAAATTCATAAAGACAGGGCTTGTCTCCCTTCCTCTCGTCTGTATCCTCAGAGGATGTTTATGTGACAGATAATTTCCAACCAGCAGCTAAACTCCTAGTATGTAAACAATGGAGATTCAAACAGCCTGGCTGGCACCACTGATATCTCTTAAGCATTGGTGAATGGTTTCAAAGAACAGCTGTGAGCAGAGGCAGGCTCTGGCCGAGCGAGATAATTGGCATGGCCCGCTGCGAACAGGCTCCAGATCTCTTTATTTGCCCGTTCATGCATTATGCATGCCTGATGCATAAAGTTTATACATTGAGGTGATATTATCATACTAATAAACAGGGAGCTAGCCAAGCTACCAGAACTACTGCGGATAATTAAAATATTTGTTCCGAGGACAGCATTTCCTAGTCAACACTGCCGACAGGTTTTGTTGCCGTTTGATTTGGAAACCTTGTTATCGCTGACATCAAACCTGGGATTGAGGCTGTCCCCACCCCCTCCACTCCGTGCCCCACAGCATTTAGTTTTGCTTCAATCCAATTTTATGTGTCCAGGGAACTTGAAAGTGATCCTATTTCCCATACAGCAGTCCGAGGAGCGCGGCTCGAGGGGGGCCGTGGAAATGGATGGGTTGTTTTACACGCTCACAAAAGATGGGGAGGCAATGGCACGTTGACTTTTTATAGTCACAGGGAACCTCTTGCTCTAGAAATTACTAGTGACACTCAGGGCTCATGATAGGCATTTTGAATAAGGGAAACCTTCCCAATCATAAAAAAAAGAAGAAAAGAGAAGGTTCTCAGTACATTCCCAAAATTCAGCTCGTACCTTTGGGTAGTTGATTTGTAAAAGCCTTAGGGGTTAGGAATTATCTGCATTGAACTCACAGCATCAGTTTTATGCCCCTTGGAGTGACGTTTTCAGGTGTTTTACATGATTCACAGAATTCCAAGTATGAAAGAAGGAACTTAGTATTTCAGTTTTGTGCGCTGAGGCAAGCCTGCAGGGGGGCAAAGGCTACAGGGGGGCAAAGGCTACAGGGGGGCAAAGCCTGCAGAGGGGCAAAGCCTGCTTGGAGGGGTGGGCAAAAGCCTGCAGGGGAAAGGTACAGCGCCCACTGGCTGTTTCGTTCGCCCCGACTGAGCCCACAGCTAGACTGTGGATGGAGTGTCTGGCCCCACTTCCCGGCCTTCTCAGCATACTTCTCGCAGCTCCTGGTATGACCCTCGCCCTCAGATTGTCATAGCACTGAGCACAGTCTGCCATGTTGTAACTCAAAGTTCTGCAATGACTTTCGATCCGAGCAATTAAGTTCTGATTTGATTTCTAGTGATCTAGTTATGTCTTATCTCTTCAACTGTACTTGGAACATAGGAATCTATTTTGTACAACTTTGCATCCCACCTAGGAAAACGTACATTGACTCGTTAACAGCAAGTCGCCAATTGACAGTCGCCGATAGGATGAATGGGTGGATAACTCGCGGGTGGTGCACATTCCCTGGGAAGGTGAACACTTGGCAGAGTCAGTTCAGAGTTGGCGGCGCATTCTCTAGAATAGCCTCTAAATCGCCAGCTACCTGTGTTAGAGGTTAGCTTTGCTTTTGAAAAAGTGCACAAGATCATTGAAATGAAGTTTGGTAATGAAGGTATGATAAAATTCATGTTTAGGTAACGCTGCCAGCAGTTAAGCATACTAAGAAGTAAAAAGTTGTATATTCCGTATGAGTCTGGAACGTAAAAACAGTTTTACAAGAGGAAATCTAAAAACTTCCGAGCACATGCTCATCATGGGAATAAATGCTCAGCTTCCCGAGACAACGCTTGCGTGTACAAATTATGGTGTGTTGGGAAACTCAGGCTCCTTTTCATCAACAGAGTGAGCATGGAGTACATGGGAGTCCATCTTTGCTTTCACATCTGATCAGACCTGGACACGGGACAGGTCACTGTAGTGAGGAGGAGACTGGAAAGGCTTCCGCTTCCTGTGGATTCCTCAGTCTGCATGCAGGCTGAGGTTGCTGCCCATCCTCCTCTTTAGCCCCTGATGGTTGGTCCACCGTGTGACAGCAGAATGGAGGAATGTGGGTGGCACCTCGCCATGGCCACCTGCTGGGTGTGTGTCCTGAGGGTAGCGACTTCCATTCTCAGCTATCTGTAAGGTGGGAGATGTCACTACCTGCAAGCAATGGGGATGACCAGGTGGGCTGACCCATAAAGCTTCAGACACTTGGTGGGCGCTACCTGTGATACAAAATCACCTGCTTTTCTTTTTGGACTCGAGGATGTAGCGCAAGCAAACCCCGTTTTTTGAATGGAAGTCGTTCCACGCTCTGGCCTCTCTTAACCTCCACCCTTGATTCCTCATTAGTTCCTCTCACTGTGCCTGCTAAATACCTCCCATCTCCATGCTAATGTCCTCAGCGCTGTCCCCCACTCTCCTGCCCGAGGGTTTACAAAGAGTTGTGATGTGGCACTCCTCTGACTGGGACCTCCAGTTATTTCCACTGTCCAGAGGCTTAGGTTTAAACTCTTGACGTGAAATACAAGACCTCTGTAGACCTGACCTATCACACACTGTGGCCCAGCATTCTGGACTCCTCGTTCCTGCGTGGGGGCTGTGCTGTTCTTTGCCTGAGCACCCGCTCTTCCCTCCCAGTCTTCCTGCTAAACCTCTACATAGTGTTCAAGATTCAGCCCCAGCATCTTCTCTGTGATGGCTCTCTGCCTCCTCCCTCCTCTGTGGCACCACCGTAATAACAGTAATGGCAACAACAACGGTTAACAATCCCGCCCCGCTGATCATGTCCACAGTGTCCCAGTGCATTACATGCACAAACTCATTCATTCCTTAACGTAGCCCCAGGCAAGAGGCGCTACGTCCCCATTTCACAGAGGAATAAACAGGCACAGAACTGTAAGTGGTAACGCCAGCACTGGAAGCCAGGCACTTTGGCCACAGACTCAGTCCTCTACTGGGCTCCACTGGGCTCCGTTTGCTCCCTGTGTGAGTCTATGTCTTTATCACAAAGTAAAAGTAAACCTGAGTGTTCAGTGTTGGCTGCACCACTAGCTAGCTCAGTAGACTTGGGCAAGTTACTTGAATCAGCTGCTCTGTAGTTTCTTCATATGTGAAATGGGAATGATACCACCACTCATCTTAAAGAGCTGTTCTGAGCATCACATAGTAACACACATCAAATGCTTAGAATGTGCCATGCCCTCCTAACCCTTCAGTAGGTGTGTCTAGTATTGTTATTATTTGCATTCTTATCTGTATTTCTTGTTCTTATTACTATTTAATCAAGGAGCTATTAACATCCATTCACTCTGTTGCCTGGGGCTCTGTGGACGAATGGGCATATGGTGAGATGGTTGGTTGGTGAGGGTTAGTGGAAGACCCTTCAAGAAAGATAAGAAGCCCCAACAACAGGAGTATTCTTTTACTGAAACCCTGTTCACGATGAAAACTGGTCTGTTCTTAACACTTGTTCTTAGGTATGAGCCACTGGCATTCCTGCGCGCCAGTCTTCCATCCTCTTTTCCTCGAGGGACCCACCGGCCAACCAGATGTGCTGTTGTCCTGAGAACTGGCTCCACATTTTGTGAGATGTTTAAAGTCCAGGGAGGTCACTTATAAGGAGGCACCTCTGTTCTCCAGGTGCACACACAAAGCCTCCCGTTATCCGGTCTTGCACGTGCGTCCTTAGGGGCCAGCACCCTGGCTGCCTTCCAGAGTCTGCCCGGCTTTTCCATCCCATCTCTGCTCCCGAAGGCATCCCGCTGCGGTCCTGGGCATCTTGCACAGAAGCCCCTGCAAATACCTACTTACATAAGCCACGTACACGTTCTGTGCTATTCCACGGTGGCTCTTGGTGCAATTTGTTTTTATTTCCTGCAAGCAGACTTTTCTTATTACTTAACCTTTTTGGCCCCACATTTCTTTAATCTGCAAAATGTGGCAATGGAACCCGATCAGAGATCTTCAAAGCGAGTCCCCAGAGTCTCTTGAGAAGCCGCTATTTCCATATTGGGCTTCCCAGTAAGTTTCCTTTTGAAGAAGGGGCTCTGTGGCTTAAAACAAGTTTGAAAACATTTGGATTAGCGGATCTTGGAACTTCTTTCTGCTCTAACATTCTGTGAATCTAAAAACATTCCTGACATCGTCTAGCTGGAAGCTCTTAGTTCCATGAATTATTTAAGAATTATTTTACTGCTGTCATTATGCTTACTGTTTTCTCCTTGTATTCCTGTCCTCGTGAACACGGAGTGCCACCAACCAAACCTCAGGACCCGAGAAGCATCCTAACGTGGCTGCTGGGTCCCTGGAGTGCCCTGCAAGTGGAGACGCTGCCTACTCAGTTTTTAAACTAAATGAACAATTTTTAAAAAAATGTAAGATCGCTTGGGGGAATGTGAATATAAGAGTCTTATTTTCTTTGCTTTGAAATGGAAATGATAGAAAAGGAAGTGAGAAAAAAGAAATGAACACAGATGTTGGGTCTTGGCTAATCATTGTTCTAGAAAACCTCACCAATACTGGGGAAAGGAAAGAAATGAGCAATGATACTCATACTAATAGAGTAAACGTGGTTTAGTTTTCCCTCCATACCAGCTGTGGAAGTGAAAGAAATACAGAGATTTTGTCAGGTTTAAGTTGAAAGCGGAACACAAAGTCTCATTCTTTCAGAAGATAAAGGGCCACACTATACAAGACCAACTGAGGAAAAAGTAACAAGGAAGAGCGCCTCGCCCACCAGAAATTGCCACAAATTCTGTCACTGGCCCAGGGACAGAAAAATACTCCCATGCTGGTACCCACACTCTACCTGCCCCCACCCCCAGAGCTGGCTCAGCAGTGGGATGAACTGTGGCTCCTGGGCGCTCAATTCCAGCCCATCCCAAATGCACATCCCACGTGTGTGTGCGTGCATGCACGTGAATGTGTCTGTATGCATACACGTGTGAACATGCATGTATGCATGTGTGCGTGCATGTGTGAATGTGCCTGTATGCATGCATGTGTGCATGTGTGCATGTTATGCATGTGTGTGCATGTGTTTGTGTGCATGTGTGCATGCATGTGAATGTGCCTGCATGCGTGTGCATGTGTGTGCATGTGTGAATGTGCCTTATGCATGCGTGTGTGTGTGCATGTGTGTGCATGTGTGAATGTGCGTTATGCATGCATGCATCTGTGTATGCATGTGTTTGTGTGCATGTGTGTGCATGCATGTGTGAATGTGCCTGCATGCATGTGTGTGTGTGCATGCAGGTGTGTGAATAAGCACACATGTGTGAGTGCATGTGTACGTGCATGTTGGCCACAGACATGCCCACACCAGCCCAGGACTCATTACTAAAATTCAGGCTGGGTGCAGTGGCTCACTCCTGTAATCCCAGCACTTTGGGAGGCCGAGGCTGGCAGATCGCCTGAGGTCAGGAGTTCGAGACCAGCCTGGCCAACATGATGAAACCCTGTCTCTACTAAAAATACAAAAATTAGCTGGGCGTGGTGGCAGGCACCTGTAATCCCAGCTACTTGGGAGGCTGAGGCAGGAGGATCACTTGAACTGGGGAGGTGGACGTTTCAGTGAGCTTAGGTCACGCCATTGCACTCCAGCCTGGGTGACAAGAGCGAAACTCATCTCGAAAAGAGGTGAAATCAAAATCAAAATAAATAAAATTCACCCTTTCCAGTTTTTTTGTTGTTAAAATAAAATCTCTTCCTCCCAATTTCCTCCTCATTTTTTGTCATGTCAGTGAGCAATTAAGAATAATTTAAACAAAATTAATGATGTAAAACACCACAATGAAATATTTTTGTAACACATAATGAATGCTCTGTGGAGAGGAAGTGGAAATATAATTCGAACAGCCGCACAAGTGACAATTTTAATTACTTCTCTCCTGCTTTAATAACCGTGTTGTGAAAGTGCGACAGAACAGCTGTTCGATCTCAAAAACACCAGCCTCCAAACTGCACACTATTTTTATCTGGAGGCTCAGCTCCCCAGGTGGGTTGGGCATGGGTGAGGCAGTGCTGTGTGCTTCAGAAGAAAATACTGGCAGAAGAGAGAGAAGAAAACACGTCGACCAAATGCATATTTCCCCCAGCCAGGGGCCTCCCCTCCATGCAAGGGGCTGCATCTTCGAAGTGAAGCCTCCAGAACCAGAGATGCTTCTGAAAGCCGGGCGGCAGGCGGCGGGCAGGCAGGCAGCAGAAACAAGGCTCGCGGTAATTAAACAGAAGTGGGACCCAGAGATTAGGCCTCAGGCCAGCTTTGGTGCATCAGAAATGAGCGGAAGGTTTGGGAGCCTCGGAG
Organism: Homo sapiens; assembly: GCF_000001405.40. Lineage (NCBI taxonomy): Eukaryota > Metazoa > Chordata > Mammalia > Primates > Hominidae > Homo > Homo sapiens. The sequence continues at coordinate 154,836,049 of NC_000007.14, read as the reverse complement.
GAACATTCCTGAAGGTCATAGTGTGCCTGAGGTGCTCATTACAGGGCCCACTGCTGGGACACAAACCGCTTTAAAATCACAGGAATCCTTTCCACCATCAGAAGCCGCTTTCTTAAACAAAGCAGCACTCACAGGCATATCAGGTGGAGGTTGTATTCCTTCCTTTTCATTGATTCTGAGACACCCCCAGCTGTAAGATGAACCACTGATTTATTAATCATAAGATTTTACAGAGATTGCCTAAGAGGCATTCTGATTTCAGAAAATGAAAATAGGAAAAGTGTGTCTTGGAAGCAAAGAATGGGCATTTTGTACACTCTGGGCTCTCAGCCTCTGAACTGCATCTGAATCACCCGGATGGCTTGTTAAAGTGGACACGGGTGGGCACCAGCCCTGTGTTTCTGACTCCATGGGTTTGTGATTGGGGCCTGAGAATGTGTGTCTCTAACAAAATCCAGCCACCAAAACACTTTGGGGTCCACTGCTCCAAGGTAGTGATTTAAAGCAAGCTCCTTGTCAGCTGGCCTTAAGTCAGAGAGGATTGTAGGTGGTTGAAGAAGGATTTGGAGGAGTAGGTACCTGGGGACTGGATCAGTTTCCTAAGGCTGTCCTAACAAGGTCCCACAGACCGGGCAGCTTAAAACAACAGAAATAGATTGTCTCACAGGTCTGGAGGCCAGAAGTCCGAGATGAAGGTGGGGGCAGGGCGGCAGCTCTTTCAGCTTCTGGTGGGGGCCATCAGTCCGCGGCTTGTCCTTCCTTTCCCTGCCTCTGACGTCGCACAGCAGCGTCTGCCTCCCGTGTCTGTCTCTTCTCCTCTTCTTGGAAGGCCACCCCTCGTATCAGATCCGGGGTCCATCCTACTCCAGTATGGCCTCACTTTAATTAGTTACATCTACAATGATCCTATTTCCTGGGCATTAGGACTTTAACACATTTTGTGGGGAAATAAGTCACAAAAGGGAGCTAGAGGTAGGTCTTAGGGTCCACTGCTCTAAGGTGATGTCAGAAGAGCTCCATTTGGTGCACACTGACCCTATACGTCTAAGTCATTCTCATTCTCCCTTTCCCTTACATATCATACTTAGACTGTATTTTCAGACACCCCCAAGCCAGCGAAATACGGCACAGAAGCAGTCACTATCACAACAAACCTTTGCAGGGCAGGGGTGCCCTGCGGCAGTGTCTCCTAGAGTCTTTCTCAGACCGTAGACAACTGGCCCCAAATCACATCAAGAGAAAAGGGGCTCTTCCAGTCGCTGGCCCACAAATGATAATCATTTCTGCAATGAATACATTCAACTTTACTTCTTTGCCGTGAACATCACGATCCCACAGCAGCGGAAGAGGCAGGGTCTAGTGAAGGTCTTGCACTTTACGCTTTAGCGCTTCTGCTCACCACCGTGCAACCCTAGTCTCCGAGTCTCCCTCTTCTCACATGTGAAATGTGAACAATAGTGTCGTTTCTAAAAGGTAAGTGACATAGATGCTCTTTGCAGTTCTTGGCCATTATTAGAGCGAAATAAATGGGAGCTGGTTTTTTTTGTTTTTGTTTTTGTTTTTGTTTTTCTTTGAGATGGAGTTTTGCTTTTGTCACCCAGGCTGGAGTGCAATGGCATGGTCTCAGCTCACTGCAACCTCCGCCTCCTGGGTTCAAGTGATTCCCCTGCCTCAGCCTCCTGAGTAGCTGGGATTACAGGCACGCACCACCACAACTGGCTAATTTTTTTTTTTTTTTGTATTTAGTAGAGACGAGGTTTCACCATGTTGGCTAGGCTGGTCTTGAACTCCTGACTTAAGGGGATCCGCCTGCCTCGGCCTCCCAAAGTGCTGGGATTACAGGAGTGAGCCACTGCACCCGGCTGGGAGCTGTTGTTAATAGTGTAAATATTCCTCAGTGGCAGCTGGGATTTCTAGGGAGACAGAGACAGATGCTAGCTTATGAGCTAGGGGAGGCTGAGTGTCCGCCCACCCTGGCAAGGCACAACTCATCATTGAGTTGTTTCTTCATCTTGTTTCTGTTTGGAAACGGTGCTGATGACCTCACTGGGCAGTGAGTACTCAGAGGACAGGCGTCCTTATTCTTGTCTGCGTGAAGATGAGCTACATCCGTGCAGCCCCGGGACCATCCAGGCCTAGCCCAGGCCTTCCATATCCAGTTCTGCTAAGGCCACCACCAACTCTTGTACCCAGAAAGAAAATAAAACTCCTTTGTCCACATAATTTTCCTTTGTCCTTAAATTTCCTTTGTCTATGAGAATCTTTGGTCATTTTAGTGTAATTTTTTGCACAGAATGGAAACTCATCAGCTGCTATTAACTGGTGGCTATGTGAATTTATGTTGCCAGGCATCGGAAACAAGAGGTGAATTCTCCCCATATGACAGGAAATTGGTGCAAATGACCAGAGCCCCCCACCTCTGAGATACGGAGTCAGAGTCGGAGCTACAATGACGGATGACATCAGCATCAATGTCAGCATCCCCTCCAGCATCACCACCGTCTACCAGCAACAGGTCCTGCTCTGAGTGTTTCAGATAATAAATAATTTACACTTCGTCAGCCGTACAAGGCTGGTACTACTATCCCAAATTTGTAGATGAGGCAGCCAAGGCACACAGAAGTCACTTCTTGCTCCTTCTCGATGAGGGGTTGTCTGCCTTTTCCTCCCCACACCCCATTTTTACCAGTTACCAAACACTCCTTTTCTTGGCTTCCTACAGCCCTTATGGTCTTTCTTAAACACCTTGCCATCCCATCCTCTGCCTTTGACTGTCCTCCTGCTGGCTGTGTGTGCCTGTCTCTACGACAATATGCTGGCAGGGCACTGGGACCCCGGGACCCTCACTCTTCTGCACTGCTCCTGTGTGCATCGGAGCCCAGGCTGCTTGCATGGCGTGAGTGAGATGCCTCCACTTAGCAGAGGTCTCAGCACGTGCTAGTCCCTTCCCCAAGCTTGGGTCCCTTGACTGGTTTCCCAATGGGATTCATTTTCCTAGACTTCAGGCTACTTGAGGGCAGGGCCTCTGTCCTCATCTCCACAAACTCAGCATTCTGCCTGGCATCTGCCAAATATTGGGTCCCAAAGAAAGACTTCTCGAACTGGAGGGCTCGATTCTCTGTGTCCCCACAGGGTAGTCTTGACATTGTCAGTTGTGGCAGTGGCGATGTGGTGTGTGGTTTACATGTTGGAGGCAACACCATTCCCTGGGAAGTTACCAGTCACTTGCAGAACCCATCACGGTCCTGCGAGGAGAAGCACAAATGTGCAGTACTGCAGTGCCCTCTTGTGTCTAGGACGTCACTAGGGTTCAACACACTTAGGTCTGTGGAGGAGATTTCTGGGACTGTGTCAGCAAAAATGTTGGTGTTTCCCTGTGCACAGGAGAGGGCAGAGCGCTGTTCACAGGCCCTGGGGTGTGCGGATGTGGGAGGAACTCTGGCTCTTGTGTGGGCTCAGCTCCTGATCAGCTGTGTGCCCTCGCGTGAGACGTAACGAGTGTCTTAATATTCTCATCTGTAAAATGGGTGGTGGCTTTGCTACTGGGAAGGGAGATGGTGAGCTCCTGGGCTTCCAGCAGCTTCCAGGCTCCCAATGGTATGACCCCATGATCGGTTGTTGGGTAGAGACTTCATGTGTGTCTGTCACTCCCCAGGTCTAGCACGATGCCTCTTCATGCAAATGCATACTTATCGTTGGTTCCAACAAAGTCCCTGGCACATGGATGTGGAATTCCTTGGGTCCTCCAGGCCCCAGAGCATGTCTCTGTCCCAGCATTGTCACAGTGAAGGACAGTCCTCCTGAGTACCTCTCTCTCCCTCCAACACAAGCCCCTCAAAAGCATCGATCTCAAGCACCCAGTTCGTTGCCTGGCATACGGCAGCCACTCAGGAACTGAGCCGAACGCATGAGGGAAAGAAGAGTCATAACCTGTTTTAGGGAAATGAAGTGCTGGTACAGTGGCTTCCTTGAAATTGTCACGAAGCTACTGAGAAAGAAATCAACCTGGCAGGGTTTTGCTTTCTCAGTAAGATGAATTGCATTCTTCTTTGCAAAGTCTCATAATACATTATTTCATGTGGGTTTAACTTGTGATGAAGGAGAGGGCCATAGAAGCCTATGTATTTTTGTAAAGATTTGTCAGAATCTCAAGCTAGCAGCTGACTATACACAGCTCAGTTCCTACTGGTGCTCTAACTGACAGGACAAGAGAGGAACTTTCTGACAATAAGTAAGGCCAGAGGAGGCGCAGATGTGGGTTTGATTCCTCAGTTACATGAATTGCAAAGAAACCCCGTGGTATATGAGTGGTTCCCAGGTCTCTGTAAGCTTTCTTGTCATGAAAAGGAAAACTTGATTATGGCTAATAAAATGCTCCCACTCATACTGAATGGGAAAATGTATCTGGATTGCCAAGTCTGATTTCAAGAGATTTTTTTTAAAAAGAAATAATGTTTGTAACATTCATAAACTGTCACGTCACCTGAAATTGCTACTTGCTGGGATGAGAAAATAAATTGCAGTAGAAATTAGCACAAAAATGCAAAGATGATGTGCAGAAAGTTTTCTTAAGAAGAATCAACATCCTTTCAGCAGCCTCCCTTTCTAAAACTTTTGCAATAAAGAGTTTTTTTTCCCCTTTTTAAATTTCTACCCAGCTCTGCCTAAATTCTAGGTAACCCTACATCAGTGGCCCCTGGAGTAGGGAGGGTCTCTACCACAGCACTGTGGCCTGTGTGGTCAACCGGTGATTGAAGATCTCATCAAAGCCACTCCGAGCCTCATGCATCTGGCTCCTGACTGCTATTGAAAGCCCTTGGTGGCAGGTGGCCTGGAGAGCTCTCCACAGTGGACGACTGGTCGTGGATTGGTGTGGATTCATCCTGTGTGGTCTCTTTGTCTTTCCAGATGGAGAGGTCTGTGGTCCTTTTTCTAAGGCAGGGCTGACGTTGGGGCAGGGTGGCTTCTGAGGGTGAAGGAGGGCACCCACTCACCGTGGGGATGACACGGTCACCTGGGCGTGGACGGTGAGAGGCAAGAACAGAGTCCGTGGTAGAGAATCCTGGAGAAGGTTCACAACTACAGCCATGCTGCGAGAATCGGTTCTGTGGCTGTCCAGCAATAATGGATGTAAACATCCAGTTCATCTACCAAAGGGATCTTAAGCCTGGTGATAGAATGAAGGAACTCATACTTGAAACATGAACTGGGCAGCAGCAGTTATCTGAGGGGTAGAAATGCAAATGCTTCCTCTCCACAGGGCGTGCACGGTGTGTGCTTGGAGGTGGCTTTCAAATGTGGACGTATAGATAGTAGAAATAGGCTGTGAGCAGCAACCCTGCAAGCCATCTGATCAAAATGAAGTACGATTAAGGCCGGGACAACCCAGGAGGCAGGTTCATGCCCTGATACTTGGTGCAGGTGCTACCCTTTGCTTAGAACCAGTTGGAGCTTTCTGTGTGGCAAACTTCCTTTTCTTCAAGAAACCACCTTGCTGGTAAGGTTTTTCCACTGGACAGTCAAATTGTTCTAGGGCTAGACAGTGGAATATTATTCACAATTATCTATGTCACAACGTTTATACAGCTCTACTTATCTCAATCTACCTTTCAGAACTGATTTTCCATTATTTTCCTTCAAGCGCTTCTTTGTTGGACCAAACTGCCCCCGGCATGGCCCCCCAGTCCCCCGAGTGGCTTCTGCCTCCTGGCCTGGCCCCGGCTCTGCCTCTTCCTGGAACTTGTGGCAATTAGTGGCTGAGCAGAGACCTTGTGAGAGCAATCGATAGACAGAGGAAGCCAGATGGAAAGGAGGTAAGGACCGAACAGGTGATCAGAAAAAAGGCAGCAGCGAATGTGGATTTTCAAGATGAAAAAGATAGAGACAGGAAAACGTGTTCAAAGGCATAGCTGGAAGACTCAAAAAAATCATCAAGATCACTTAATACTTGCTCAGGATATACTTACAAAGCTGATGTGAACCAGAGAATTTTAAAGGAAGGTGAGGATTTTGACGGCCTGAAAGTCTGGGAAGGAGCTATCGGGTGGTGAGAACGGCAGCGGCAAGAGCACAGCTGCGGGAGGGCACAGGCAGTCTCGAGACTTGAACAGCAAACAGAAAGGGCCCAGGGGTCTGTGCACCAGCATCACAGGAGGCACTTCTGGAAGGCTGACTTTCAATTGTGGAGGGCCCTAGATTCCACATGAGGAGCAGAGATGGTGTTTGGTGGTGGTGAAGGGTGGGAGGGCTTTGAGCAGGATGGAGGAAGCATCTTACCTATGGCAAGTGGTCTGCAGTTCCTCTTAGAATTACCAAGCTAATCACAGGAACCTCAAAGTTCCCATCTGGCTGAGACTGATGCTCTTGCGTATGATGCCAGCTAGCCCCCATCTGCTGAAAACCATCTAATTGTTGTTGGCCATTGAGCCGATATTACTCTTGCACTGACTCCCAATTTGCTTGGAAATTCAGTCCCTTTCCTGCTAATATCTTGGTCTGTTTTTCTTCTCTTTTTCCCTTCCTCCCTCTCTCCATTTTCCTTCCTTCCTTCCTTCCCTCCTTCTGTCCTTCTTCCCTCCCTCCTCCCTCCCCTCCCCACCATTCCCCTCCCCTCTCCTCCTCTCCTCCTCTCCTCCTCTCCCCCTCTTCTCTCCTTTCCTTTTTCTTTCTTATAGGGTCTCACTGTGTTGCCTAGGCTGGCTTGCAGTGGCACAATCACAGCTCACTGCAGCCTCGACCTCCCAGGTTCAAGCAATCCTTCTGCCTCAGCCTCTCAAGCAGCTGGGACTATGGGTGCATGACACCATGGCCAGCTAATTTTTGTATTTTTTGTAGAGACATGGTTTTGCCATGTTGCCCAGGCTGGTCTCAAACTCTTGAGCTCAAGCGATCCACCTGCCTCGGCCTCCCAGAGTGTTGGGATTACAGGCATGAGCCACTGCGCTCAGCCTCTTGGTCTGTTTTTCTTATTGTCTAGCATGTGGCAAATGCATTGGGTGTTTGAATAATATAAATATAAATGTGAATTATAATTAGGCATTTCAAAATACAATTATCTGCATTATTGATGATAGCATGACTTACAAAGGTACGAGACCGAGACTGTATTTGATGTTCAGGGCACTGTAAATAATTGAAAGTAGGGCTGAAAAACTAAAAAACAAATTCTGAGGTGTGTAGGCTACTGAGAGTTGACTCTGAAACAAAAGTCAGTATGCCACGATTTTAAGATTTATGGCCATCTTAAAGCTGAGCTAAGTGTAACCTGTTTACCTGGAAGATGGTCCTTGTGGAGGCATACTGACATCTGCATGGGTCAGAGCCCAGGGGAAACATGGTTAGATTTTGTGCCTGAACTATAATGATCATACTCTAGCATAATGACCTTCATGAAATAAATATACCGATTACTAGAACATGTACACATTCTATCTGCTTAGGTGTTTAATGTAGCCCGCTGGAATATATTAGAGAAGATGAAAATGTCTCAAATGGAGAAGAATAAACTAGGCAATGCCTTTTCTATCTGGCTTCTCATTTTCTTTAGCAGCTATTTCTTTAGAAAACTTTTTAAGTTTTTGAGAACAAGACTTTGTCATTTGCCGGTGGCTGCACGCTTGGTGACAGGGAAGAGCACTTTCCAACCTGAAGCTAGTGACCTTCACGCTCAATTCCTTTGCCAGGCACACAGTTTATTCATTTTTGTAAAATTTTATCTAATTAAAAAAAAAAGATTTTACAGCAACTTCAAACTTAAGGAAAGCTGCAAGTACAGGGCAAAGGACTTTGCCCCCTGAAGCATTTGAGAAGGAATCCCTGAGCTGATGCCCCATCTTCCCCAAATGCTCTTGGGGCTGTGTATCTCCCACGAATAAGGCGTTCTCCTCCAGAACCACAGCATTACCGTTACATTCAGGAAATTCACACAGGCGCACTCCTACAGGCTAATCTTCACACCCCATTCGAGTTCTGCAAATAGTCCCAGGAAGATTCAGCTGAAAGTTCAGCGCTGCGTTTAGAAAGACAGGGACTCACTCCACTCCCCCCAGTTCCAGTCCAGCACCACGCAGGTGTGCCTCCAGTTTCCACCTCCCCATATGTGTGACTTCCATCCCCAACAGGGAGAAACTGGGTTTTCATCTTCTTTACTGTTCTTACTTGATCTAGCTCCTGAGTCTAAGACATTTTCATCACCATCGCTGCTACCTCTCCTTGCAGACACCTTCTCCTCACTCCGCTTGGGATCTGACACCCCCCCACAGGACATCCTTTCTGGGAGACACCCCCTCCTCACTCCACTTGGGCTCCGACACCACCCCCCCCCCGCCAGCCGTCCTTTCTGGGAGACACCCCCTCCTCACTCTGCTTGGGCTGCGACACCACCCCCCTGCCAGCCGTCCTTTCTGGGAGACACCCCCTCCTCACTCTGCTTGGGCTTAAACACCCCCAGTGGGCCATCCTTTCCAAGAGACGCATCCCTTACTCTTAGGCTCTGATTTCCCACGACAGGCTGCCCCTCTGCGCAGACGCCCTCTCTTCCTGCCCAGGGCTGACTCCACAGCCCAGGTGCTCCCAGGCGGGCAGATGCCTCCACCTCCTGGCTTGAGCTCAGGCAGCCCATGCGGGGCTACTTCTCTGTGCAGATGCCCACCTGTCTTCACCCAGCTAAAGGCTTTGAGACTGAATTGGTCAGAAGAATAAAGAAGGGAAGGGAAGGGGAAGGGAGGAAAAGGGGAGGAGGAAGAGGGAAAAGAAACAGATAAGAAAGAGGATGAGAATGGGGAAGAGCTGATTGAGATGTTCAAAATCCAGTGGGTGTCTTCAAGTGTGTGTGTGTGTGTGTGTGTGTGTCTGGGAGGGGGTGGATTTCAGTGTAGATTATGTATCTCATATGCCCGTAACATCTGATTTAAAAATAGTTTATATTACCATTCTAAGTAGAAGCAAGTAATAAAAACTTCAGACACTTCTTGTCAACGTAGCTTAAACTATGTGCTAGGAGATGATGTCTACTATGATAGATGCTATGTTGTGTTTCTAGGTTCTCCATATTCATGTTCATGTTGTCTCACTCTGATGGACTTACAGCTACAAACTATGAAATAGTGGCTTTAAAAATGTGTTTAAAGTGGTGTATCATTCGACAGCTGTCTAACATTAACTAATACCTTCTTCTGGGCAAGAAAATTAATGAAAGTGAAAGCAGATGTAACATTTAGCCAGACGTCTCTGCTCATTTTTCTCTGCATGTGACTATTTTAAGCACATGGATGATCCTACTTTATCTCCATTAAGAGAAAAAGCTGCAGGCCTCTTTGGTCCCACATTTCCTGAAGAAAGCACTTTGTAAGGAGATTTTTCTAATTCATTTTTCGAATCTCTCCCTTCTCTGCCCTATTTAGGCTTTGTCGTTGCTGTTGGACAACAGTGCCGAGGAGAAGGTTGTTGTTCCATGTTTGATTTGTAGCTCTAGCACATAGAAACCCTCTCGATTTTCATCACTGGGAGGTTCTCAAGAAGCCTTTGGGTGTTGGTGGAGAAATGGACATCTTCCTCCTTGTGAATCTCCATGAGTCCGTAAAATAATAACCACTGAACAATTCAGCTAGGAGACAGTTGGGAAGATAACAAGGAAACTGGCCAAGGAATCAGGATTACAAAGGAAAATGTCACCCATGCTAATATTTTCAGGGAGTACATTTTTAATATGGGATATTGACCAAGAATATACACCCAATTTAATGTCTAGAAGATAAAGAGTGGTATAGGAAGACAGAGACTTTATCTAAAGCTAAGCCAACATTTCTTTTCTCAACAGTTACTTAAGACATATTTTGTGTCCATAAAACTCTTTGTTCCTATTTGAAGGCTTCAAATATTTATTAAACTCATACACTGTGCCAAACTCGGAATGTGCAGGATTGGAACTGCTCACAATCCTTATGATTAGTTGCAGCTCCCATTCTTGTAATGATCATGGGTTTGCGTTTGTGAAACGTAGGGTGAAGTAATTCCCTTCTGGACTGATTCCTCTGCAGTTACTCACTAGGATATAAGTTTCTGTGTGGTGGGATGAGTGGCTGGAACCACCATCTGCTACCTTCTCACCTAGATGTGAGCTAGCCCTGGTTTGAGAAGCTATAAAACTGGTGCTCATGAAACCAACAGGCCTTGTGAGAATAAATGTGTGACCCTGATCTTTGTTTTCTACCTTTCCCTTAGGGAATGTTGCAGGTTTGTTTCCTGTTCCTTCTCCACGTGCTGTGTGCCAAGCACAGAAAGCCTCAGTGACCAGCTACTGAATTAACCAGAATATGAATGAGAAGAATGACATTGGAGAAACAGCAGTGTGGCAGTTGGGGCACGGGAAGCAGTCCTGACCCCACTCTTAACTAGCCATGCGCAAGTCCTGGGCCCTGGCTTCCTCAACACTGAGGCAGCAAAAGCAGATTCAACAGTCACCACAACCCCTGTCGTGGCAGCATTCTCTTTTCCTCACATGGACAGATGCTCACGTCGGTGACGAAGGCACTGAGGTGCCAAAGAGCTTCCCAGAACATCAAGGGAAGACTGACTGACAGCTGGTAGAATAAGTGACAAATATCCCTTTTCTTGGAAGACAATTTATGCGTGCTGAAGTGGGAGAAATGTATTACTATGAACGCTGTCTTACTCAACTCTGTTGCATAGCTCAGAATTCAGTACAGGTAGATTTAAAATAGTCTTACATACAGAGCAGTTTAAAAAGTATTGTGGATTTCTGAGTGTCCAGGTTGGATCCTTGACACTTAAGCACATCCACTTCTGTTATGGCTCCCTCTGGCTACATAAGCTTTGGTGATTTCTTAATGACCAAGTGAGTAGCTTGTAAGCAAGGCTGAGAAACAGGAAGAAGTCCTCTTTGGCCATCTGGTATATTGATTCAAGTGAACACCACTCACTGGTCACCTGCGGACCAGATGTGGCCTGCAGGTGTTTCATTTCGCCAAAAGAAATATTTTTCAAATTGTAATGGGTTGTCAACATTTAAAAATCATATTTTTATATGGAAATATGGATTTAGTACTTCTGCTGAAATACTGGAAGAACTGGCAATCTAACAATTTCTGAATGGCAATGACTGACCAGAGCTGAGTCACAACGGTTCCTGTCAGAGACCGGGGGTTCTCTCCAGTGGCCTCCGTTATATGACACAAAGAGGGGTTCACTCATTTCCATTCCTTTCTGGCTGCAGTGGGCACCTGCGTTTGCCACCTTTCTCTTAAACAACAAGGAATTGCTGAAGCAGAAATGCACAGCCAGGGAAGCAGCTGATTTTCTCTCATCTTTTTCCTCCTCATTAGCATCAATAATTAAGTTTGGGACTGATTCTTTTTATGTCTTCATAGCTAAAGTAAAAACTTTTGTTAGGAGCTAGTAGATACTTCCCACCTCTTCTAATTCATTTTACTAAGCATTAAGATAACATTCCTGGATGGGCACGGTGGCTCCCACCTGTAATCCCAGCACTCTGGGAGGCTGAGGCAGGTGGATCACCTGAGGTCAGGAGTTTGAGACCAGCCTGGCCAACACGGTGAAACCCTGTCTCTACTAAAAATACAAAATTAGCTGGGTGTGGTGGCACATGCCTGTAATCCCAGCTACTTGGGAGGCTGAGGCAGGAGAATCGCTTGAACCCGGGAGGCAGAGGTTGCAGTGAGCCGAGGTCTCGCCACTGCACTCCAGCCTAGGCAACAAAAGTGAAACTCTGTCTCAAAACAAACAAACAAACAAACAAACAAAACAACAACAACAACAACAAAAACATTCCTTAAGGAATAAGTTATCTACTTTTGAAATATGGGTGGAAGAGATGAATAGGTATTTTACTGTTGACCAAAATGTGTCAGCAGTCTTTGTGTAAGGCGAGGAATCCTCTAGTCAAGCAGCACTGTTTCCTGATCTACAACTAAGAAACAGACTTTTCACCAATAGCCACTAAGGAGAAGAATGGAATTGACTTTGTCTTGAGGGACTGACAAAGATCAACTTTTCAAAATGGGTAATTCAACAAAGTTTGCAAATAGAAATTTTGACTTCATACATGCAATGAATTTTGATGATTATTCAGGATGCACTTCAGTATCTCTCCATGCATTCGGTTTTTTATTATTACCATCAGCACCACTGCATGGAGCAGAGAGAAGGATCTTTGGAGAAGGTGCCGGATCTGCCTGGGTGCTGCAATGGGCCCTGAAGTTGCTCTATTGAGTCAGTATCAGAGAAGAACAATCACAGACTCTTAAACTGGCAAGGACCTTAGTCCATCGAGTCCAAAATAATCCAAAAAGGGATCCTACACAAATGTGCCTATCACTGGTCCTCTAGTTTCTGCCTGGAGAACTCCTGGGACGAGAGTTTGGCATGTCCACCTTCACCGTATGTCCATATATTACACACGATGAGATCCATACAATGATGGTTAGGACTTTAGTGACTTTTTCTTTATGTTAAGTTGAAATCTGTCTCCCTAAAACTTTATCCGCAGGCACCAGTACTTCCCTCTGAAGTAATAGAGAAGACACATATAAAGTTGCCAATAAGGTCTATGTATTCACTTTGAAAATTCATTCAGACCCATTTACTGTGCATTAAGTATAGGGTGTAAAATTGCATATTGCATTATGGTTATTATTATTTTACAGTTAGGATCTTGCTCTGTCACCCAGGCTGGAGTACAGTGGTGCCATCATAGTTCACCACAGCATCAAACTCCTGGGTCAAACTGCATATTGCATTATTTTAATTGTTTTTGATTCTCTTTCATTGTTTACAACATTTCTGTTTAAAAAATTAAATCAGTGTTCACAGTTCCAGGTCTTGTGAGCAGGCTTTTATAAACGAGGGCAAAAAAAATAATGTCTTAAAGAATATTTTGGCTACTCACAATATGAGAAGCAGCTTTCATTGTAACCTAAAAATGGCATGTGTATTAACTTATTTTCCAGGAAGTTCTAGAGTAAGATTATGACCCTAACCTAGGTCTGCATTGGCCCCAAAGTATAGTATGGTAGTGCAGCTTTTATTCATCCATTTAAAAATGCTAATTTATGGAGGACACTATGCCACAGCTCTTGCACTAGATGTCAGGATCAAAGTGGTGGGTCAAACAAAGTTCCTATACTCACTGAACTACACGCCAGTGGAGAAGATGGGCATCTGAAAACATACACAGAAAAATCAATGGCAGGAGTGAAACGTGCAAGAGAGAAAACAGGATGAAGAGCAGGAAATAGGATGGAGGAGCAGGATGAGGGCTAGAGAGCAATTAGGGTGGGGCCTTTGAGAGGGTGCCAGGGAGGCATCTGTGAGCAGAGGTGTGGATGAAGTCGTTGGGGGCGGGGGGCTGACACTGTCACTGGCTTTGGTCCCTAAGGTCCCTACAAGCTTTCACTGGGTCTTCTTGTCCCCTGAACCCACAAAGTGAATATCGCAATCTGGCACAGCGTCAGCTACACATAGTCTGGGCTATGGTTTGAATGTTTGTGTCCCTCCTAGATTCCTCTGTTGAAATCCTTACCCACAAGGTGACAGTGTTAGGGGGTCGGGCCTTAGGGTATGATTAAATCACGAGGGTGGAGGCCTCTGAATAGGATTAGGGTTTTAATAAAAAAGGCCCAAGAGAGCTCCCTTGCCCCTTCCACCATGTGAGGACGCAGCGAGATAGCACGCCCTCACCAGACACCGAGTTGCCTTGGCCTTGGGCTTCCCACCCTCTGGAACTGTGAGAAATAAATTTCTGCTGTTTAGACACTGCCCAGTTTATGGTATTTTGTTACAGCTGCCAGGATGGATGAAGACAGTCTACTATAAGGCTGCTGCACAGATATCAGTGAAACAGTCTTGCCTCTGGGAGCTCAGCATTTGTAAAGGGATGGACAAGATGCAACGGCGTAAAGGCAAAAAATGCCCTCAGAGCCCCAGGGAAGGAGGGAGCGAGGATGTGACCAGAGAAAGTTTATGAGGTTGAATCTCGGAGGTTGTATCAGATATTTAAATAAGTTGCTAGTTTGACAGGTACAGAAATAACATCAGGGAAGCTTGAGACATGTATTCCACACTGGCTTTTAACCGGAAGCACCGCTGTGGGTCTGCAAAGGCTTACTGTGAATTTCCTGGAGGATGACGGTGATTAACAAGAGGCTGTAACTTGGACCTGTATCTCTTAATTAGTAGTTTACATTTTGTAGTCACCAAAATGGTCTTACTGTTTCCTTTGATTGAACTGAAAAGCAAATGCTATACTTTGACTTGAGGAAACATTTTAATACTAACAAAACACCATGTTTTTTCTGTATATATATATGTGTGTGTGTATATATATATGTGTGTGTATATATATATGTGTATATATATATATATGTGTATATATATATATATATACAGAAAAAAAATATATATATATATATTCACTTAACATTTCATTTGAAAACTGATTGTGCCTCTAAAAGTGTTTGAAAGCTCTGATAGAGGAGTAGTGTCATTACGAGGCTGGATAAGTAGGATGTGGCCAGATTGTATGCAGCCTTGAATGCTAGGCTAAGAGTACTTTAATTTTCCTACCTGCCAATCAATCGGTCAGTCATTTCCCTCTCATCTATTATCTGTCTATCCATGTTGGATCTAGTGGCAAAAAGGACTGAAGGCAGATAAGGATGATATGAATGCACAGATAAAAATAAAATAAGCTTAAAATGAGTAAGTGAGGCTATCAGAACAATGTAAAAAGAAAAAAGAAAAGACATCAGGAAAAAGATTAAAAATGTGTGCTATAAAGACCTACCCACATATGCCACACATTTCATGCTAAGCTCTCTAGCAGCCAACACAGTTTAGGGAAACACAATTCACAGCCCATTAGATAGGTTATGAGAAGCTCAACCATTCCTGGTGTTGAGACCAGAGGAAAATTTATTCCAAATGACCCTCTGCAGAGAACATCTTGAAGTACAGTAGCCAGAAGGGCATCCCCAACACCGGCCTTAAGAATATGCTTTCAGTAAACATGAAGAACACGTTTCATGGGGCCAGTCTATATTTAATTAGTTGGTTCAGTTAACAGGTATGAGCCACTGAGCCCTGCCTGTAATCTTATATAATTTCTAAACTTGAATTGTCAAGTTTTATTAGGAGGTATGTATCGTTAGATCTTCTCCAAAATTCTTAGAATTACACTCATTAGGTTTCTTTTCCCTAACGACTCAAAAGCATGGGGAAAGTTTTTTTCCATCATATCTTGATTTATTTCTTCCCCCTTCCTTCTCCCCAATCTCTCCTTCTAAAGCCTCTACCAAGAGATTACATTCGTTGGATCTATTTTTCATAGCTCTCAAAAGTGTTTGAATGTTCATCTTTGTCCAGTTCTTGGGTCCTCTGGGAAGCCTTTTGGTTGTATTTTCTAGGGCACTTTCTGGTGTTGTTCTGTTCATAATTTTGACCAAACAAGAACACTTCAGGAAGTGAAGGGAAGAAGCACTAGAAATAATTAAGAAGCCGTATTCATTTACGTCAGCGTGATCCAGGCTTTTGGGGGCAACTGGGGTATTTGACTACTTTACCTATTCAGTTCTTCTTCTGAATTACAAAAATTTGTTTTGTAAATATTGTAAGTCTTGAGCAGTCAGCTTCCTTCATTTTCACAGCAGCCCACTCTTTACCGCTCTGTGTGGTAAAGGTGACGCCTTCTGGAATCTCTCGGAGGATATTTACAGTCGGTCTGGCTGCAGCAGATGGACAAGATCTTTAAAATGCTTCTCCAGGGATTTCCTTCCCAGGCGCTCGGTCTGAGGCCTCCCTTTCGCGTGTCCCGTGTGCTGCAGTGGTGCCCTGTTGGCTATACTCTCGTCCAGGTGGGGCCCAGGCTGTGGACACATGGCTTCAGCAGCCATAGAGCCACTCCCTCCGTGAATGCGGATTCTGATGCCAGGTGGAGACAGGGCAGTGATGAAGGGATGAGGGGGCCTCTTGCAGTGCTTGGGGCCTTGGCTTTGTGGCCACCTGCGGCACAGCTCCCCTTCCAGCCCCACCGTCCACTCTGGAAGTCTCCCTGGCCAAGTCTCCTTTTGTCTTAGGGGCAAAAATGGGAGGCGGCAGCATCTACTCTGACAGGTGCTCCACAATTCAGAATTCTAAAAAAACAAACTTCTTTTTGGTCTTCATTTTATAATCATGTCTTTTGCCAATTATGTTACATTCCCTTGTGTCTGGCTTTCACTTTAACAGTGAACCATTTATGTTTACTTTACAAAAATTCTTCAACATTTTAGTCCATTGGGGCCCCTTCCTAGTGGCCCAGTGGCATTGTTTTTGTTTTTGTTTTTGTTTTATTTCTTCTATCATTTTACTTAGAAAAAAGAGAAATGTATGTGCTCTGGAAGCCATTTTGAAGAGAGATATTCTTTAGGAAATACCATCTGGTCATATTCAGGCAGAAGCAAGGTGAACTGGCTAGTGGGAAATCTCACAGGAAAACTGACCAGTAACAAAATGGCTTTTATTACCCAGAGCTGGGGCAACAAGGATAAAAGGAATGGACACATTCTAGAGTCATTATTTATTGAGTTGAATTAATTAATTAATTAATTTATTTATTTATTGAGACAGAGTTTCACTCTTGTTGCCCACGCTGGAGGGCAATGGCATGATCTCAGCTCACTGCAACCTCTGCTTCCCGGGTTCAAGTGATTCTCCTGTCTCAGCCTCCTGAGTAGCTGGAATTAAAGGCACGTGCCATCACGTCCAGCTAATTTTTGTATTTTTAGTAGAGACAGGGTTTCACCATATTGGCCAGGCTGGTCTTGAATTCCTGACCTCAGGTGATTTGTCTGCCTCGGCCTTCCAAAATGCTGGCATTACAGGCGTGAGTCACCATGCCCAGCCCATTATTTATTTTTAATGGACATTTCAGATGAAAGACTGCAGGACATGGCCTCTGATGTAGAAAGGCACACTCGTACCAGGTTCAGCATACCTGCCACTGCCCAGGAATGGGAAAGGTGTTGAGTGGCAAAGTGAGAAGCTTCTTTTCCATGGAAGATGTTTGTTTGGTTGTTACTGAGGAGGAATATGAGTGGTTTGCGTGGTGTCTGGTAGCATTTACTGAAGAGTGTGACATGTTCCAGAGTATTCATGTCACTTACATTAACAATATAACCTGCCTTGAGAATCCCTTTCCTTGTTCTTGGTTCATGCAGCCTCAAAGGGAATGGCTCCAAATGTTTGAGAGACTGAACAGATGTTCTTACAAACACACCAGCAATGCTCCAAGGAGCTTCAAACCGGTTCTAAACATTCACTTGGATAAATTCAAAATTAAAAAGGGCAGCTGAGGTAAATTTCTTGGAAATTTTGATATAAGAGATGTCTAGAGGATTAACTAGTTTGTAGAACCAAACCATTTGTTTTCAAATTTGCTGTTGGGAGTCAATAGCACCCTACATGTTTGAGGCTAATAAGACAGTTTTATCAATGAAGACGCAAACTATGTATTATTTTTCTAGCTCTGGGACTACTCATTTACGGTTAGGCATGAGTTATTAGCAAATAATTTGACCAGCAGTAGAATATTTAATTCCTATGTTGGGATCATGCAAAGGGCATGCCTGCTTACACTGTTGATCCAGCACTCTGAAGGGGTGTGAATCAGTATCACCCCTGAGCCACTCTGGAAGGATCTGGAGATTTCTTCTCCCTCATTCAAAAGATGTATGACAGAAGAGGTGCCCTTCAGTTAGAAACCCTGGGCAACAGCCTCCCTCAGGAGAGTTTCCATGACAGCCATTTCCATCCCTTCAGGTAACCGAGTCTCAATCTGCGTCTCTTCATGCATGCCCTTTTCTCTTCTCTGAAGTGACATGCTGTCACTTCTATTTTGGCTGGCCATAATGCTTCAGGAGTCTAGGCCCTTAAAAAAATAAGCCCCTTCACCTCATTCTGCAGTACAAGGTGAGTTTTAGGATAAATCTCAAACTTCCAAATGTATGTCATCTTGGATAATATGGAATCTGAAGTCTCACCATGTGGAGGTGTTCATTCATTTCAGGGGATTACACCAAACATCATAGATGCATGGCATGTGGCTGCCACCTGCTCCCCCATGACTGTGGGTGACACACATCACTAATCAATCAGGACATTCATGACATCATCCATCAATCACTCAGGACATTCATGACATCACCCATCAATCACTCATGATGCTCATGTCATTAATCACTCAGGACATTCATGACATCATCCATCAATCACTGAGGACATTCATGACATCACCCTTCAATCACTCATGACATCCATGGCATCAATCACTCATGATGCTCATGTCATTAATCACTCAGGACATTCATGACATCAGTTACTTGTGACATTTATGACATTAATCATTCACTCATGATGTTCATGACATCATCAATCGATCACTCATGATATTCGTAACATCGATCACTCATGATGTGCCTGACATTAGTCACTCACTCATGTTTCATTATATCATCACTCATGACCCTCATGACATCATTCATCAATTACTCTTGAAGTTGCTCATATTAATCACTCACTCATGATGTTCATGACATCATATATCAATCACTCATAATGTTCATGACATCATAAATCACTCATGATGTTAATGACATCATGACTTTTGTGACGTCATCCATCAATCGCTTACGACTTTCATGACATCATCCGTTAATCACTCATGATGTTCTTTCCTGCTGAACCTGCACTTGGCCTCAGAACCCTTCTCATCCATAGCACTGCAGCCAGTGCCTTCCCAACAAGTGGAGCTGGTTGGCTGATTCCTGTTTTTCATCCCTGCCTTACTCACTGCTCTGACTAAAACCTGGGGAAGAATAACAAGCACCTTAGTATACATATTTGCAGGACACCTTAATGGCACCTTCGTGGACATTTCCCCTGGTTAATTATGTTTTGCAGCGAGAGGATGTAGGAGGGGCATCTGGGAGCTCCGGGCACCTGAAGGCATGGAGGGGAAAGGTCACAGCAGAAGGAACGGGCAGGTGCTAAGAAAGCTGGAAATTTACTTCTTAACTTCTGCCAGGAACCAACTGTGAGGACCACGGTGGACACATGCACTCTGGAAGCCACCAGGTACTCATTGCCATGCCTGACAGTTGATTTAATGTTTTGTGGCTCTGGCATCCATGGCCGCTTCTGGAATTTGCTAGTGTAAGTGCAAGATCCAGGGGTTCCAACCTAAGCCTGCTGAGGTGCTGGAGTGCCCACTAACATGTGGGAAGGGATGCTGCTTCATTGACTTCATGCACGTCAGCCACCCCCAGCCTTGGCCCCAACTTTTGGATACTGAGTGGGTAGCAAGTGGATGTGTAAGAAACTCAATTGATTACTAAGGTGATGACAATGATGAAAACAATTATGATAGTTAACACTTATTATTAAACACTCACTATGTATCAGATGCCATGGTAAGTACTCTACATGCACTATCTAGGTTAATCTTCAAAACAGCCTCACAGGACAGGTACAGTGGTGCCCCATATCCACCAGGGACATGTTCCCAGACCCCAGTGGATGTCTGAAACCAATGATAGTATTGAACCCCATATATATAATGTTTTTTCTGTGCCTACATACCTAATTATAAAGTTTCATTTATAAATTAGGCATAGTAAGAGAACAATAACTAATAATGAAATCAAACTATTATAACAATATACTGTAATAAAAGTTATTATGAATGTGGTGTCTCTCTCTCTCAAAATATCTTATTGTTTATAATATTTTCAGAGCATAGTTGACTCTAGGTAACTGAAACCTCAAAAACTAGAACTGTGGATAAGGGGGGACTGCCATACTGTTATTCCTCCGATTTTCAGGATGAGGGTGTGGAGGATTAAGCAAGGTTAACCAAGATGCCCAAGGTCGCGAAGCTGTAGGTGGCAGAGTCCAGGTTTGAACCCAGCTCTACGGTTCCATACTCCATAGACCTCCCTTACTGCCATTTCAATCTCCTGTGATTTTGATAATGATGGCAATGATGGTGATGACAGAAGATCTTGGGGAATATTTAATAGTAAGAAGAATAGTTATCAGATTTGAGTCACTGTATTTTAGGCTCAGGTAATAATACTTTGGTTCCACTCAACTTGGAGAAGGAGAAGCCTGTCTTGATAAACCAATCTGCTAAGTCTAAGACCAAACTTCTTAAAGTCTGGAAAGTAGCTCCCTAATCATGGCTCAACACTGAAAGGGGCGGGGGTGAGAGCCCAGAGCTGTAAGGGATTCATGAACACAGACTGTCCCGTTCCCACTCAGAGCAGCAAGTGACTGCAATAATTCCATCCTCGGCTTCAGGAGAAGGAAGTTTATTTAGCTATTTTTAAACATACAAAAAATGTTTCAGTAGGAAGCACCAAATGGCCAATTCATACACGGAACTCACTTTCCTGGTGGCATTTGGACATTTCTTAGAAACAGGATTGATTGAGTCGTTTTCAAAAACTTGAAGGAAAATAAATCATACTCTTGAGATTCATTTTGAAGAGAAAAATCCAGTTCTCTCAACAGAGGCGAGGACTGTGAAACACAAATTATGTAAATTGGGCACTTCGATTCTGTTGTTCAGTGGCTCTGGCGGTTGAATTTAGATGGGTAGGAGAAAACCCTACAGAACTTGTTATGGCTGTATGCCACTTGACTGTGAATTTTGCATTATGACAGGGAAGAAGTATTCCTAGAGAGAATCTATACTGGAACTGCTCTTCTTCCTCTAATATGCTAGAGTTGCTATCCAAAGATATGGTAGTATCACATTACTTCCTTCAGTGACCCCCTTGCTGCTTCCAGAATGCAGTGAAACCATTAAGAACTGTCTCTGGCACAGTCTAGTGTGGCTGCCCTTAATTTTGTGTTCCTGAGAAGAACAAGCTGAGCACTCTTTCTTTCTTATATAAGAAGGCAATGCAGTCCTTAGAAGGGAAGTGTTGTGGGTTTAATTAATGGTGTCCCCCCAAAAGTTACACTGAAGTCCTGACCCTCGGTTCCTGTGAATGTGACCTTATTTGGAAACGAGGTCTTTGCAGGTGTAGTCAAGTTAAGATGAAGCTACGCTGGATTAGGTGGGTCCTCATCCAATGATTGGCATCCACATAAGAAGTGGGAAATTTGGATGCAGAGACAGAGGGGGAAGACCACATGAAGATGAAGGCAAAGATGAAAGCAATACATTGGTAAGTCAAAAAATGCCAAGGACTGCTGGCAACCACCAGAAGCTCGAGAGAAACGTGGAACAGATTCTCCCTCACAGCCTCCAAGAGAAACCACACTGGCTAACAGCTTGATTTTGGATTTCCGGCCTCCAGAACTGTGAGAGACTAAATTTCTGTTGGTTTAAACCATCCAGATTGCGGTAATTTGTTAGCTGTCCTAGAAGATGAGTCCAGGAGGTGAGTGCTTTTTTTCTTTAAAGATGGAATTGGGTTTATCCAGGACTAGAAGGTGAGACCACCCAGCCTTCCCCTGTCCTGGGCATCCCCAGTCATCTAAGACAGCTGAAGACTGAGTTCCTGTCACAGGCGTTGGTCTGCGGGTGAATACACAGCCACTTTCATGTTCTCTGACTTCTCATTCATCCCTCCTGTAAGGGGATGAAAATCAACCCTGCCCTGAAAGTCTTGGAGAATGTATAGGGGTTTATCAGGTAGTCAAAGACAAAAGCATGGAAATGTGAAAAATGATATTGAGTTTAGGGAATTCTAAGTAGATATATTTACGCTAGAATATAAATTTCAAGGAATCAGAAATGGGAACATAGTCATCAACTGTTATAATGTAATTAGAAATGTACTTTTCAGGCCAGGCACCGTGGCTCAAAGCCTGTAATCCCAGTACTTTGGGAGGCCGAGGCAGGTGGATCACCTGAGGTCAAGAGCTCAAGACCCACCTAACCAACATTGCAAAACCCCGTCTCTACTAAAAATACAAAAATTAGCTGGGTGTGGTGGTTGGCGCTTGTAATCCCAGCTACTCAAGAGGCTGAGGCAGGAGAATTGCTTGAACCTGGGAGGCGGAGGTTGCAGTGAGCCCAGATTGTGTCATTGCACTCCAGCCTGGGTGACAAGAACAAAACTCCATCTCAAAAAAAAAAAAAAAAAAAAGAAATGTGCTTTTCAAATTGTAAAGAACTTAACAAATAGAAGATTATTTCTTTTACTACCCATTTCACAGGGTCATTGAGAAGACCAATTAAGTATGTATGCCAAAAGCTGCTTGGTATATTCTGGAAAATCATCATAAAAGGTTACATCATAATACAATATTTAGAATATAGCTGGCTTCACTTCCAGACAATAGAGAGGTGGACAGAAACTCTCTGTATTACATAGATAGGTGAGTTTCCACAATGTTCCACTGAGTTTGGCTTACAGCTGATCCCTCGCACAAGTATCCAGGGGTCATCTGAAACCCATGTCCTTTAGATATAAATATTGACACTCAGAGATGGGATCCAGTGAGGTAGTGAGTGGATATAGTGGCTATAAGCATTTCTGAACCTCTATTTATATATTGTATTCGAATATATTTTTAATGTAACTGTGCAAAGTAGAAAAATAATTTATGGGTTTGTATGTACAATCAAAAATTAAGGAATTGGCCAGGCACGGTGGCTCATGCCTGTAATCCCAGCACTTTGGGAGGCCGAGGTGGGCAGATCACAAGGTCAGGAGATTGAGACCATCCTGGCTAACACAGTGAAAACCCGTCTCTAATAAAAATACAAAAAAAAATTAGCTGGGCATTGTGGCGGGCACCTGTAGTCCCAGCTACTCAGGAGGCTGAGGCAGGAGAATGGCGTGAAACCAGGAGGCAGAGCTTGCAATGAGCCAAGATCATGCCACTGTACTCTAGCCTGGGCAACAGAGCGAGACTCTGTCTCAAAAAAAAAAAATTGAGGAATTAACCTAAAATAATTATTATTTAAGTTAATAGTAATTATTATTAACCTAAAAATAATTTTTAGGTTTGTATGTACAATAAAAAATTTTAAGGAATTAAGAATTATAAACATAAAACATAAACATATAAGCATACAAATGTCAAATATTGAGAAGCCGCTGAAGAAATGTTAATGAAAAATTAGAGAAAGCACACATTGATACTGCTAGATGGAACTCTATAATGATGTTGGACAAAATACACTGTGGAAGAAAAACTGAACATTAGGAGAAGATCAGTATGCCAAAGGACTAACGAAATAGAAATACTGTTTGCAAACAACTGATGAGCTACAATCAGCTATGATTACAATGGACTGAGTGTTTATGTCCCCCCCACATTTATACATTAAGTCCTAACCTCCAACGTGATGGTATTAAGAGGTGGGGCCTTTGAGAGGTGATTAGGTCCCAAGAGTGGAACCCTTGGGAATGGCATTAGTGCACTTATAATGAGGCCCCAGAGAGCTCTGTCACCCTCTTTCCCACCACATGAGGATACAAGGAGAAACTGGTCATCTGTGACCCAGAAGAGGGCCCTTACCAGAATCAACCATGCTGGTACCCTGGTCTTGGATTTCCAGCTTCCAGAACTGTGAGAAATAATTTTCTGTTGTTTATAAGCCACACAGTCTATAGAACTTCACTATAGCAGCCCAAATGGACTAAGACAATAAAGTTATATTGCTGAATATAAGTTATAATACTGAATATAAGTTACAGGATAGGTCAATATCAGCTAAACTTACCAAAAACTGTCCTAATGGAAGGCCCACAGAAAGGCAGGAAGAATGTTGAAGTCTATATGAAACAGTTATAATTTCATGATTTTATACCCAGCCCTTATGTCCTAATGTGGTTTGATAGCCTATATCTGCTCTCAGGGACATGTCTTTTGGCTGGTTGGTATCCACCTTGTCCTAGTTGTTAAATCCTTTGATGATCATCCCTTCCTATGCCCAGACAACCTGAACTACTTACACTTCCCTCCCTGTGTGACGGGATGAACAGCTTTGAATGTGGGCATGTTTACAGATTTTACCATAGAGAAGCCTCTCATTGCCAGTACATTTATCCTCAACCTAAAAAAGGAGGATTTTTTTGGTTCTGGTTGCAACTAGAAGACTAAGTTAATTTATATAACAAAATGCTGCAGGAGGAGGGAAGGAGAAGAAAACAAGAGTCTCTAATGCTAGGAGTGGAGACGTTATTTTTGTCACAGGTTTCCAAGAATCTCTCAGAATAACTTGGGGTGTGAAGGAAACAGGACAGGACATGAGCATTGACTAAACGTTGCTCTAGACTACACATCTGGGTCCATTTTAATATCTACTGAGAAACGTGGAGAAAAATAAAATTATTTTAAATTATCTTTGTTTATTAAATCAGGTTGCTTGTATTCACTTGATCCTGATTCACATGCTGCAAAAGATTCCATTGCATAATCTTACAACATTTCTTGTGCTTTTTCTCAGGGTGTACCTTCCACTTGGACTGCTTTTTCCCATTCCAAATCCTACCTACTCATTTGTTTTAAATGCCACCTCATCATTGACACCTTCCTTGAGTCTTCTCCTCCAGCAAAATGCCCCAAGCAATCCAAATGGGTATAATCACTTTCTCCTTTAAGATTTCATAGCAATTGATCTTCTCATCCCTTAGGCAATCATCGCCAATGCCTGCTCAGCTTTCCCCATGGCAGGACGAGGCTCAGCTTCAGGGTCTGCCAGGTCAGTTATCACTGGTAACTGCTTCCAGGTTCAAACAGTTGGCTGCTCCTGTCTCCCCATGTACTTTGTTGTCTTTGTAAATTTAAACCTTTTCAGAAAATCTCTTTTTATAAGTGGGATTTTGGTTACCTCCATGGGGAGAGTTTAATTTGGGCATTCAAAAGTTACTTTAGCCAGAAAATAGCTTATTATGTAAACACTTTAAAGAGCAATTTTGTAGAGAAGAGGGCTAGTTTATGTCTACCTTAAGATGAGGCAACAGGCTAAATATTTAAATAGATCTTAAATGATTCAGGAAACCCTAGCGTGATAATTTCATAATGACTAAGAGTTCAGTTTCTGAATCAACAAAAGAAAGGCAGGGTGGAGACTGGATTAGATGCTCTGAGATCTATTCCTATCTTCAAATTCTAGGAATCTGTTTGATTATTATAGGGATCCAGGCATTGGCAGGAGGAGCATCCCATCCTTTCTGAAGGTGAGATTGTGGAGGTGCCCAATGGGCCAGGTTAGTTGTGTGTGTGTGACCCAGTGTGGCTGTACTTGGGGACTGGGTCAGTCGTGTGTGTGACCCAGTGTGGCTGTACCTGGGGTCCGGGTCAGTCATGTGTGTGTGACCCAGTGTGGCTGTACCTGGGGGCTGGGTCAGTCGTGTGTCTGACCTTGTGTTGCTGTACTTGTTCTTTGCTTCTGTTTTCCTCCCAGGTATCAACTATGGAGTCATCTCTTCACAATAACTATTTGCAGACCACAACACAAGCCTTGCAAATACATAAACATAAAAAGAAATACGAATCTCCCTTGGGACAGAAGGCCAGTGGCAGACTAGAAATCCGCACAGGAGCCACCCTATAGTGCTCTCTAAACTTTAACACTCTGTCCAAGCAGCCTCCCAACACCAGGCTGTGTTTCTATCTACCACGGGCTCCATGTTTACATCCACCATGTGGGAACTGGAACTTCCCTGCCTAAATCCATGGCCATGGATCTCCTGGGAGAGCCTTTTGGATTTCAACCCAGGGCTGCAGCTTATGGAAACTGAACCATAAAAGGCTTCCAGTTGTCAGAATGAGGCATCCAGACTGAACTTGAGCTTGAACTTAGCAGGGAGCTGTGACCTCCAAAGGGAAGCAGCGAAAGTGTTTGTTAAGTAAGGGCCAGGTGAGGTGGCTTTTGTCTGTAATCCCAGCACTTTGGGAGGCCAAGGCAGGTGGAACATTTGAGACCAGGAGTGTGAGACCAGCCTGGCCAACATGGCAAAACCCTGTCTTTACTAAAAATACAAAAATTATGTATCCATGTAATCCCAGCTACTTGGGAGGCTGAGGCAGGAGAATCGCTTGAAACCGGGAGGCAGAGGTTGCAGTGAGCTGAGATGGCACTAGTGCACTCCAGCCTGGGCGGCAGAGCAAGACTCCATCTCAAACAACAACAACAACAACAAATAAGCTGTTGGATTCTGGATTCTGGGAGGGTCACCATGTGGAGCAGATGTTAGTATGTGTTAGGAATATGACCGAGCAGCTCAGCCTCAAACCACGATTTAAACTTTTTTTCTTTCTCCTCTCCTCTTCTGTCTGCTCCCTGTCTCAAGATACAACTTTGAGACAAGCTGCGTATGTGTTACCTTTCATCTTGAAACACAGCCTCAGAATGTGCTGTCGCCTCCACTCCCTTTCTTTTCCCATTCTATGCTCTCATGCCTTATGCACATTTATTAACCCGGATGCTTGTGGAGCACACACCATGCTTTCTTATCTGGTCATGTATTTCCTTAAAACCTCCAGGAGTCAGCTCCTGATAGGACCCAGATACCTCCAGAATTCTTTCTTTAACAAAAGATTACTTCAAGGATGAAACCCGCTCATGGCTGAAGAGTGACTACAAGGCTGACTGTGATTAACTGATAACCTGGTGGGATCCACAATGGTGCCAGCTCCTTCATCAAATGGGACAATAATTAAAGAGGGGCCACCACAGCCAGTCACACTCCTTGGCACCTCCTAACCCCCCAAGCTCTTCCCCATTCCAAACCCTTCTTCTTCTTTTTTTTTTTTAAAAAAAGAAACCCTGTATTTGCTCCACAAATTGAAGAGTGGAATTGCTTTCTGCTCTTCCCCTTGGTGGCATAGGTAATAAAGAAATATCACTCCTTCATATCACAACTCATTATTATTTTGACTTCTTTCCATGAACGGTGAGAAGCCAGACCCTTCTTGCTGGTTATAGTAAGAATTTGGGAAATACAAATCCATAAAGTTGCTGTCTTGACCAGTGCAGACCTCAGATCCCAAAGGCTCTGCCTCCTGCCTAGGCCAGACCAAGCCCCTCTGGCAAATGACCTCTGTCCCTGACTCAGGATCTCCACGATGGAGGCTCTGTCACCTTTCTCATTCAACCTTTGTTGCTTGGGGCACTCTTCTTGAAATCTACTTCAATTTTTCACTTCTGTGTTTGATCATGACCTCCTGTGTGCTGAAGCTGCCTCCTGCTTCTGAGACAGGATTGTGGATTCTGATTATGTAGCTCCTCAAAAGACTCTCTGGCTCCTAGTGGGTCTGCTTGCCACATTTTCCCAATCCCTATGCCCCGTCAATCCCTGTAATTTCCCAAGTTCTTATTTCAAGAAGATCCCGCCCTAGGAGACAGATGTCACTGGGCTAGGAACTGGGAGACCTTGATGCTGGCCCTCTCTGTGTCACTGGCTCATTGGGAGTCAGGGAATCCACTCAACTTCTGGCTTAGGGTTTGCCATCTGATACATGAAGTGGGTCAGTTAGATCTTAGGTTCTTTCCCCTACAGCACTCTATGATTTCAGATACTTGGTGGCCTCCTTCTTGGGACACACAGGAAAGAGGAATTTGGTACCATTAACGTTGCGGGGACTGGGGCACTAATGTTATATTTCAGTCGCACCCCCCTCATCCCTCCGTGGTCTCCTTGCTGTCTTAGAAGAATGTCAGGGGCTGAGCTTGTGTTGAGCAAGAGGCTGAGTGTCCCTGTTCTGCGGATTTTCAAGATTTTAGATGACACTGATAAAAAGAGAACGAAGTCATGAAGTCATGAGCTCTCTAGTAGCTAGCAAAGGCTAGCAAAGACATTGCTCTGATAAAAGTTATTCATTCTCCACCTATGGCTTAGGGGATTGAAACTCTGACAGAGGAGCAAATTGCTCCTGATCTTAGTCTCTGCCTGTGGCATATTTTCATTCTTTGAGGTCATCGCAGGAGATCATATTTTGTTACGACCATATTTAGGATGACTTACCTTTCCATGGGTTCATATCATATCTTTCCAAGATACAGACAAGCAGCAAAAATATCCTTTGTATCCCATATGCAACATGGCCTACTCTTTTGTGTATGCTGGTTGGTGTGATCAAACTCTTGCAGTTTGGGATAAATTATCAATGAATTGGGACATAGGGAAATATTTTTCTGAGACTTCTTTAACATAACCTCAATCCTTTTTTTCTTATCTAGTCATTTGAGATGGAGTCTCACTCTGTTGCCCAGGCTGGAGTGTAGTGGTGCGATCTCAGCTCACTGCAACCTCCACCTCCTGGGTTCAAGCAATTCTTCTGCCTCAGCCTCCCTAGTAGCTGAGATTACAGGCATTCACCACCAGGCCCGGCTAATTTTTGTATTTTTAGTAGAGACGGGATTTCGCCATGTTAGCCAGGCAGGTCTCGAACTCCTGACCTCAGGTGAATCTGCCCACCTTGGCCTCCCAAAGCGCTGGGATTACAAGCGTGAGCCACCGTGCCTGGTGATATTCAATCATCCTTAAATATGATTGAAAAGTTAATCTTTGAAATTGTTTTCCTATCTTTATTGATGGATTGATGGCTTTGGCTCATCACTGTGTAGGATATTTGCCCTTCCTAGCTCATGGGACTATTATTTTTTGTGGACAATGGGAGACAAACTGAGAGATTACTGGCACAGTGTGCACAGAACACTCTGATAAGCTGTACACCTGTATGAAACGTAAAGTAGCCCCACTGCACCAGGCTCTGTGGGGGTCCAGTCATCTTGCACCATAAGCAATGTTATCAGGTAGGCGGGATCCTCACCTGTTCTGGAATACGCTGTGCTCCCACCACAGCCGCTGCCCCCTCCCTGCAAGTGTGCCCACCCCCTCCCTGCAAATGTGCCTGCCAGGGCTCTTTGCCCTGACGGGGTGGCAGGAGCTGACCTTCGCACTTGAGCAGGAAGAAGTCCATGCTATGGCTGAAGGAAGCGCTGAAGTAGGTGCAGTTCTCAACCAGGTCACAGGAGAGGCACTGCCTGTTGAAGTTGCCCACCGTGTTGGCACTGGAAGAGCAAAGGACGCAGGTGTGAATGTGGGCGGAGAGGAGCTGCCCTCCACGCTGGGTGCCGCAAGCTGGTGGGCTCTCCCCATGAGGGTGATCTGCGGAGCCCTGCTACAGACCCCCCGGGCCTCTCCCTCTGTCTCCCTGCTGGAGCCCCTGAGACCACCCAGCTCCATTTCCACCTTCCTTTGCTGGTGGGTCCCTCCCACTCTCAAGAGCTTTCAGCATCCTTGCTTGTGGGAGGGCTGGAAGGCAGTCACCTATGCTGCCTTCTCCAGGCTCTGCAGGTGGCCTGGTGTGAGGAGCATGGAGCTGTCAGTGTTATATGATCTAGCACTCTATCTGCACGTGTCCTGTCCCTCTGAGTGGATGGCTAGCAATCTGAGAACAGTAGACAGAGTGACATATCTTCAAATTATCTGGGTTCCAAACGCTGGCATGTGAGCAGGCAGGGGCTCCAGCAGCACCAGTGGAATTGAACTCTGGCAGCTTCCAAAAGCCACATCCCCTGACAGAGTGAAACCTCGAGAGCTCGCGCTTCCCACTCAACGGAGCTACACAAGTGGGAACTGGCTTGAAGATGTTACCTGGGACCACTGTGGTCAAGTGTCATTTCAAGTCAAGAAGGCCTAAAATGTGCTCCCTAAAATGGAAAGATCCTAAGATACCGGATCTACCTGGAAGAAGTTCTTATCTGAACATTTTGCCGCAGGAGGGTCCCCTCTAACCATAGGTTTCAATATGAAGTCTGTTGTTCCAGGAGCAAAGATATTTCACGGGAGAGAGAAGACAACCTTCTCATTCTGTAATTTAGAGGACAGGGGCCACAGGCAGCCTCTCATGTTTATTAATTGGTGACATGTGTATTTCAATTTTCCTAGTAGACACATGGTGACGATGGAACATCTACACGGACTGGCTCCCTCATGCTGACCTCATCCTGTCCGCATAGCGGCCGATGGCTGGGAAGGGAGGCTGCGTTCACCAGGGGGGCTTCCCAATGTCCCAGCAGTGGGGCGGGGGCAACAGGCATTGGCACCATTTAGACAATGCGCCACTGGCCTCAAGCCTCAGGTCTCCCCTGAACAACATCCTCTTCAGCGGCCCAGGTGCCTTTAGGTGTAACTGGCTGCAGCCATCCCATGCAGAGGCACGGGGGAGGCAGCAGACACCCCCTCCTCACCTCTGTGGCCCTGGTAGAAAGTGCCCAGGGCTAATCTCACTTCACAACCCAAAGCCTCCTTTAGTGAGAACAGTGACTGGGCAGATGACAGGACTAAATGTAGAAGAGGGACACGCCCTAGAAAAAAAACCAGTCCCCCTCCAGGGTTCAGAACACAGGGTCCCTGCCCTCTTTGAGATTTGGAAACTTGTCCAAAGTCGCACAGTTGGGCTGTTGAGAAGGGAAATTGCCTTTAGGGCCTCATCATAAATATTAGCCTTCTACTTTATAGCTATAGAATATTTGTGATTAACCTTTTTTTTCTAATCAAATTTCATTTACCTACCCTGATCCCAAATAACTTTAGACTGCTTCCAAACTGAGGAGCTTCGAGATCATGCTCCCTGTCTTCCTCAGGGCAGAGTTCCCCAAAGCCAGTGAGCTACAATGCCGGACAGCAGGGCCGGCCTCCTCGTGCTGACCCACGGGTTTGTTTCCAAATCACACTCTGCTCCCTACAAAAAATCTGTGGTGGGGCAGGGGGGGCAGAATTCCTCCGAGGTGACATTGAATAGAAGTGAAAAGGAAAGACGGGTTAAAGTCCATCCGTTAGCCAAAGAGGCAAGTGGGTGACAGGGAAAACCCAAGTCAACAACAGCAGAAAAATAAAGCTTCAAAAGTCTCAAAACTACCCCTTTGGTGGCCTCTGCAAGTTTCATTACTTCTCTCCAGACTCTACAGCTACTCCTCTGTGGTGGGGTCTGTCTTTGCTGCCGCCCTTTCCGAACTGCTGAAAAGGTGCAATTCTGCAAAGCCTGGATGCCCTCCTAAGGGGGAGAGCCCTGTGTGCAGGGGGAGCAGGAGTTACCTGTAGAGTTGTCGTCTCCGAGGCAGGTCCTCCGTGCTCAGGAAGTAGCTGCAAAGATCACCAAGGTGCACAGGGTTAGTTTGCTCCAAGG
This sequence comes from Homo sapiens, assembly GCF_000001405.40. NCBI lineage: Eukaryota > Metazoa > Chordata > Mammalia > Primates > Hominidae > Homo > Homo sapiens. The sequence goes on along the minus strand of NC_000007.14, from coordinate 154,804,873 downwards.
CACGTCTGCACTTCACATTCCTGGCACTACCTCTATGGACACTCCTCAGGGACTGCCGCCCATGGCCTGCAGGGAGTAGCTCCCCTGTTCAGGTCCAGCTACACCTGTGACCAGAGCAGGGGGTGGCCAGACACCTAAGGGCTGAGGGACACCAGTGCAGATTCCACTGGCTCCGGGTGCCCCCTGCACTGGCCTCTGCTTCGTGGCCAGAGGGTACTGTGGTTGGGGGTGACACACACCTGAATGTGGATGTGGAAATCTTTTACAAGATCACTCACCTTCTGAAGGGCAAGGAGCTGAGCACATTTAAGACAAGTTCAGACATATAGCCTGGCCCAATAAATAGTTGTTGACTCATTTTCACCTAAGACCTCCCAATGCAGAAACCTTGGCTTTTACCCCAGGAGCAGGGAGGTGAAATTGTATGGTGGTAAAGTCCTCCGAACTGGGCTCCCCTCATCTGAGCCAAATCTACCCGCTACCAACTGAATAACCTGGAGCAAATTACTTATTTTTGTTTTCATTTACTTATTTTTAAAATGGGGAAAGCAGTAAACTCACCTCATGGAACTGTTGTATTCAATGAGATAATGTCTGTAAAGCACTTGGCTTAGAGCCTGGACTAGTAAAAACTCAATCAACATCAGTACTACCCCTACTACTGCCGCTAGCGTGCTTCCCTTCATGGGCTGGCTGCAAGCCTAATTGCGTCCTCAGGACGCCGCAGCTCTGGAAGTCGGACTGTTGGGACGGGAATCTACTATACATTTTCATGAAGAAACTAGGAGTCAGTGATGCTGCCTGAGGAGGAAAGAGGAGGCCTCCTGTGCTCCTGTACTCCATAAGTGTAATTGACAAAAAATAACAAATGTGCCCCATTGGCCAGTAAGATGGGGCAGGCCCCTGGTTCTCACTCACATCTTATTCCCCTTCTCATCGTAGGCTAGGATCTTGGTCACGTCCCAGTCCCCGGAGGTGATGGACTGGATGTTGTCGTTGCTGCTGTTGGGCTGAAACACACAGACATGGCATCAGGAGCAGACACCGGTGTCCCGGCCCCAGCATGGCTCTTCATCCTCCAACTGTTTTGGACACCAGGTGACAGGGGCTGCCATTCTCTCTGTGGGAAGGGCTCTCTGCCCCTTCTGCCTGCTCCTCTCCTGGGAGGCAACATCCTCCTTGAGGCTTCCCAACCAACCCCAGGCCCGCAGCCTCCCCGACCCCCGAATGTCAGTGGTGGGAACAGTGCCCTGTCCTCTTTGGTGACGCGAATCACTTGGACCTGGCCTCCAACCATGATGGAAGCATCTCAGGAGGAGAATCAATGCTTTATAGGCCTTTTTCATTTGTAAATCTAATTAATGGAGCCATTACTGAAGGGGGACCAGTGAGGGAGGAAAGAGACAAATGCCGGGAGGTGGAGGGAAAAAGAGAGAAGAATAAACGGAGGGAGAAAGGGCGCTCCCTGCTGCCACTGACAAGGACAGTTTGGACCTGTATTGCCACACTACAAGTTTTGCACGCATTGTCTTTCCCTATGTTCCCCTTGAGCTAAGAAGAATGGTAACAGACAATGGTAACGACCAATGGTAACAGAAGAGAGAGACAGGGCCATCTAGGCGGGAGCGATGTTTCAGTGGGGATTTGAAATGGGCAGCTGTTCTGGAAGGCAGATGCCCTGGGAGGTGGGCGCAGAGCAGGTGGAGATTAAACTAGGTGGAGGGCCCAAGGCACACACTCTGTGGGCTGCAGACTCGAACATGGGGGTTGGGGGGCAGCAGGGCCTGGGGGCGCAGACAGCGTGTAGGAGAGGCTGGGGAGTTTGAAGCAGGTTTTGAAAGGGAAGGCCCTGGGGGCCCCCCGAGGGGTTCCTGGGAACCTGCAGGAGGTGGTGCCTCATGGGCAGTGCAGGAGACCTGCTTCCTGCTGGAATGTTTGATAGGGCTCCGGGCAAATGATGGCAACTTGGATAAATACAAGACTGGGAGCCAAATGAAAACACTGAAGCATTTATAAATCTTTTTTTTTTTTTTTTTTGAGACAGTGTCTCACTCTGTCACCCAGGCTGGAGTGCAGTGGCACGATCTCAGCTTACTGCAGCCTCCGCCTCCCGGGTTCAAGCAATTCTCCTACTTCAGTCTCCCAAGTAGCTGGGACTACAGGCAGGTGCCACCATGCCCAGCTAATTTTTGTTTCGCCATGTTGGCCACTGGTCTTGAACTCCTGATCTCAGGTAATCCACCTGCCTTGGCCTCCCAAAGTGCTGGGATTACAGGCGTGAGCCACCGCACCTGGCCAGCATTTTAAAATCTTGATATAAGTGATGTAAAATAATAAACAAAAGAATTTGGATGGTAGAATGAAGACCGCAGGAAAAAGCAAAGGCAACAGCTTGCAGACATTCTATCAATCGTGTCATGAAGTGCACTGAGAAAAAATTGCACCTGAACCTCCAAGAGACGCCATTTCCATCCCAGGAGTCCCGCAGCCCCCACCCCGATTCCATCCCAGGGGTCCCGCAGCCCCCACCCTGATTCCATCAGAGCTGCTCTTAGTGCGGATGTTCTTGGATTTTCTTTTGAAATTGCCTTTGAGGCCTCATCATAAATATGAGCCTTCTATGTCATAGCCATAGAATATTTGTGATTAACATTTTCTCTAATCAAATTTCATTCATTTACCCTGATCCCAAATAACTTTAGACTGCCTCCAAAACTGAGGAGATCCAAGATCATGCTTCCCTTCTTCCTCAGGGCAGAGTCCCCCAAAGTCAACACCATGGCAGCCCCGTCCTGCAGGCGTGAGGCTCCCTGAGGTGACCTCTTCAGGAGATGGTGACCCCGAGATGTCTACTTTTGATCCTAGATTCACGTATATTAATCTCTGAGATTCCCTACTCAGGGATGCTCCATTCCGAACTCGCCAGACCCCAGAACCAGTGAGTGATGGCTGGTAGCGGTCACATAATAAAATAATACCTGCATCCAACTCCGGGTGGAGGTAGGGCAGCATGGGAGGCTGGACCCCTGAGGGATGTTGAGTGCATGGAGCCATGCCTCAGCGGGGAGTATGTTAAGGAGACCCTCAGCAGAGGGAGAAGGAAAGGGCCCCCGGCACAGACAGTCCTCCAACATCCTTGGCCTTACACTGAACAGGGGACCCCAGGGTCTCTGCTGACCTTGGCAGAAGCGTCATTCACATTCTCGCACGTGACCAGATAGAGCAAGGTTCCACCAGGCCTGATGGGAACCTCTGCACTCACCAGCGCCATGCCCTGCCCTGCCTTCGGGAACCACCTTCAGATTCCTTGGGGTCCTCGAAAACGCAAGTGTGCCCAGCCCTAGAGGCTGTCACCCCACGGCCTCTAGCAGGCCAGTTTCTAGTTCAGCTCCGGAAACTAGCAGGACTTACCTGGGACGAGGACACCGTGATGTGATAGAATTTCCCTCGTCCTCCCTGGGGGATGGCTCTGATGAAGAAAAACTTTCGGCCATCCTTGGAGAACACAGGTTCTTCATTCTGTGGACAAAGGCCACGGATGAAACCACAACTAAAACATCATTTATTCTGAAGAGGTTGAACCAGGATAAAATACACCCCGAGATACATTTTCTATGTGATTTCTAAGGAGAGGAACAGTTGAAATAATAAGTGCTTGATGAGGCCGTCACTTTCCTCGGGAATCATGAGTCAACTGTTACGTTTTCTAAAAGAAGAAGATGGAGGAATTAAGAGGCTACAGCCCCGGCAGTGGCAAATAAAAAGGCATCCCTCAGTCTACACAGCACCGAGACAAAGCCCAGCCCCATGTGCACGCCAAGCTCACCAGTGAGAACAGGAACTCTGCTCTCAAAACTCAAAAGGAGGTGCTTCCTCCTTGAATTATTGCCCATTGAAACCAGAGTGTATTGTGAGATTTCTCCAGTGGCATTTATTATATATCAGAAAAAAACATAATTCTCAACAATCCCAAACCAGATTTTGCCTAAAAGCAAAATCTATTCTTTCAATCCTGTCTTTTCTTCTTATTGAATACAATTGATCTCACACTGAATAGCCCATCAAGAAGGCAAGAAAAAAAGAAAATAAACACAAGGACAAATGCCACGGGTTCTAAAACACAGGTGGGAGGGGACAGCAGTCCCAGGGACACGCTCCACCTCGGGCCACACTGGATGACAACACTTGCTTGGATCTACTGTCTCTTTTCCCTGGAAACAGAATCAGCATGCCCAGTTTTCCCTGGGGGAAGGGTTCCAGGCTGGATTTAGGGCAGGTGTCGCCACCATCTCTGCCTGGTCCCCGGACAGTGAACAGCCAGCGGCCTCAGCCTTCCACCAGCCCACAGGGTGGCTGTTGCTTTGATGGGCGAAAAAGGATTTTGCTACCGCGGTACCTTGGCCTCTCTGAAGCCCAAGTTTGAAAGTTTCCATCCGTGAACACCAATTAGTTGGTTGCGAGATGTATTTTCTGACTCAAGGAGCTTCACACGAATGCGGGGATGAGAACTAATGGTAAATAAACCCCAGCTGGCACAAGCAAAACTCATTTCCCTACAGTGAGTGAACCCATGCAGATATGATATGCCCAGAGAAATAAACTAACATGTGATTAAAATGACATTTAATCTTCATGAATATTTGCAATAAAATGGAACCTTTAATCTGCAAACATTTATTTTCCTATTTAGAGTTGGAAGCATGGTATTTAAAAGCAGAGGAAATGGAAAAACCAGCGGTTAATTTGGCTTTTAAAATGCACTTCTATTTGCCAACTGTGCGGCGGGTAGCGCTATATTCCTTCAGTTTTCTGGGGGAAATGTTTGCACGTTTGGCAGACAAAGATACTCTAAATAAATGTAATAAATAATTAATTCTGGCCAGAAGCATTGTTTTTATAATAAGAAGGCCTCCACCGTTGTGATGTCATCTCTACCTTGTCAGGGAAACATTCCTCGGAACACAGGTGAAGCCTCTGAGTCTCTCTGAGACCCGGTTTCTCATGTGGTAAATGTATTTTTAGTGACAAAGTGCAATGATTGTTGACCAGGGGACCTGGATTTTATCCTGGTTCTGTCTCTCATTTGATTTTGGGGGAAGCGTTTCTAGTCTCTCTGGATAACAGAATTTATCACACACAATGCCTGGTTTCCTCAACTCCACTCAGCAGATCTGTGAAGAAGGAGCCCTTTTGACTCATGAGAGCTTCTTTGTGAGTTATTTGTAGCATTTTTGCCAGTGTTTTTTTCCCATGGTTCAGATATAATAATTTTGTCCAACCCCCCTTCCAGCCCAAATTTTGAAATCACAAAACCAAAATTCCGATAAAAGAATAAAGACAGTCAGAAATGGATCCATGGAACCGATCCTTCAACCAAAACAATAGGCTCTGGGGTTCTATGGCAAATGCAGATGGTTCTGGCAGAGGATCCTCATGGGTCTGCATCAGGACTGACTCTGCAGGGTCAGCGCAGCAGTGACAGGGTGTGTATGTGGCAGGGGGGATTGCCTGCTTCTCTGGAATATTCCTAGAGGAGAGGGAACTTGGTGGGTCTCCACACATGCATTTTCCTCTTCTGTTTGGCTCATGGGGAATCTCTGCGGGTGACCGTACTGAGGATTCCAGGAAGGAGTTGGGAAGAGAAGAGAGGAGGATGAACGGCTCAGATGAACAGCTCAGATGACACAAAATTAGCAGGCTCGCTACAACTCACCTCTGTTCTTGCACCGGGTCCTTGGAAGATCGGTGGACCTAAGCAGGCCGGGTCTCCCTGAGGTCTGCAGGACCTTCCAGATGCCAGTTTCTCCTGGGCCAGCTGGGGCAAGCTTCTGTGACCCATTGGAGATGGATGGGTAGAGGGCATGTGGCCTCCATGTGTCTCCCTCACTCATGCCTGCAGCCCTCCCAGGAAAACCCCCTTAGGCTCTGTCTGAAGCAGCAGCCAATGGCTTCGCTGGCAGCAGGTGGCAGGTTCAGTCTTAAAAAGTTACTAAGTTGTTCTCCAGGATATCACAGTAACTCGAGGGATGCAGAAACACTACAGATTGTTTTTGAAAAATAGGGTCCATGAATTCCTTTACGAAAAAAACAATGTCATAAGAAACTGTTTGAAATTAAATCTTCCTGCAGACCATGGAGCTGCAATCTTCACAGGTGCAGACTCACAACCTGTAGGGTCTTCAGAGACATCCTGGCCTCCCAACTGCTGCCATGGGCGGGATGCCCCAACCCAGTGTCACAATCACAACTGCAGCTGATGGGCTGACCTGACCCAGGGACGCTCCATCCCAGGAAAACACACCTGTCACAGAACCTTATGTTTCCAACTCATGGCAGCATTGCATACGTTTAAGCAGCTATTTTAAAAATTTAGCTGTGTGCTTAGTAAATGCTTTAAACTTTACATTTGAAAACAGTAAGAATTATTTTAATTCATGCCACCTTTTAAGTGTTGACTGGATTCTGCTTGGAAGGATCTGGTTTCTGGAATCCCATTCAGGCTGTCTTACCCCACACTTTAGTAGCTGTTCTCATATGGGCGATGAGACACACAATCGCTAATACAGGAAAGTCCTGCTGACGACCTCGGCTCTGTAGCTACTCTGTAGAGCTAATGAAGTGAGCGCTGGAGGACAGAACCACGGCCCCCCATGGGCCTCCAGGGACCATGCACTCTGCCGTCCATCCAGAGGGCAGAACTGCAGGTGGCCAGCTGGGAAGCCAGCTCCCCCTGTGAGAATGCCTCTTGAGGGGGACAGGGAAGCAGAGTGTGCATGTCCACCTTGCTTTCCCATAGCCTCCCTGCCCCCAACAAAGAATCACGTCCCTCACCTCCTCCTGTTCAAACACAAAGTGGGCCTGGCATAGGGCCTCCTGCTCCATGTCCACCACGCTTTTTCTGGCTCCCACTCCCACCAACACCCGAATACTTCAGCAATGCTTCTGAATGTCTGAGGATCACCCTCGTAGCCTGCACAATGGATGTAACGTGAACATCTCATCTCCCTGTCTAGGATGTACCATCTTTAAGAGCTCATGCTCTAGCTTATTAATTTTTTAAAAAATCGTTGAGGTAAAATTCCCATAACACAAAAGAAAACGTACTAATAAAAGTGAACAATTGAGTGGCATTTAGTCCATTCACAATGACGTGCAGCCACCTCTATCTAGTTCCAAAACATTTCCACCACCCCAAAATAAACCCCTGTTCATTAAGCTGTTCCTCTCCATACTCCCCCGGCCTTGGGACACCACTGATCAGCTTTCTGTGTCTATGAGTTTATTTATTCTGGATATTTTATATAGATGGAATTGTACAATAAGGTAGCCTTTTGTATCTGTTATTAGATGTGCTTTTCACAACAGCCAAAAGGTAGACAGAACCCAAATGTCCATCAACAGACAAACAAACTGGAATATACTGGAATACTATTTCAGTTCTTCTTACGGCTGAATAATATTCCAGTATATGTATTATATTGTATATATATGTATATATACATATAACACACACACATACATATGTATAATATTCCAGGATATATACTACATACATATTCTGGAATATTATTCAGCCATAAGAAGGAATAAAATTCTGACACACACCACAATGTGTGCTCAGTGATAGTAGCCGACTCATTTTTTGAAATCCACAGCCTAGCATGGTGCCTGGTAAGATCCATAAATATTGGTTGAACACATGATATATAGATAACGGAGTTTACAAAATGTTCCTTTTATTGTAATCTCTCTGACAATTTGTCTAATGTGAGATGAACATCACAATACTATTTTTGATATGTATGCTTATATGCTTATATGTTTGGTCCAGGTGGCATTCAAGAACTTTCCAGCATGCTAATGTTTGAGGGTTCCCTAAGTCTTCCCTCTTCCCGATATCTTCTTGGCTTGGACTTGGCACCCAAATTGGGACATGTAAAATGAAAGTGGCCATGTGGAACCATTCCTCTTGTGAATAAGATTGACACAGAGCAGAAACAGGATACATTTCGGAGCAGCCCGTCTGTTGATGAGGCTCTGACTTCTGAGATAATTATATTCCTGACTCCACAGGCAGAAGCAGCAGCCCAGCATCTATAGTGCTGGAATGTTCTTGGAGAGCCATGGCGATAGTTTTGTCCAGCTTCAGTTATTTTCCATAAATAGGATCCACCATATCGATGAAGAAGCATACCTGTGTCTCTACCATAATTCATGAGACTGAAGTCTGGCTTGACTTTTTCCAGAGTCTTTAAGACAATTTTCATCCCCTTAGGAAGGATAAGGAGACAGGAAGCTTCCAAAGCTTTTTCACCTGTTCTTCTTAGTGTCAGAGTGTGGAATGAGACAAAAAGGCTTGAAGAAAGAAAATACTGATACTTTTTGTGCAAGTTTAATTTAGAAAAAATTGTCTCAGAATGATTTACCTGGGCTTCTCCTGATCTCTTTTGGTCTCAAGTTCCTAGAGTCTGTTTTAATGTGTGTTCCTTTATCTGAGTTAGGGATGAAGACTCTCCAGGGATGGTTTGCAGTTATGTCCCTGAGGACGGGTCTTACGGAATCACAGAGGAGGTGACTCCAAATGAGACACCAACAAAACCACCCCTGGCAACAAACAGGGATATCCACCACTTTTCCACCCTTTTACTATAGTAGATTATGTTAAGCCACCTTTGATGGACTGTTCATTTTCAATTCAGCAAGGTGCTGGCATCTAACTGCAAGCTGAGGTCTCACCAAACATTCCACGCTCTGAAGAGCCGTGATTTTCACACGACCCTCCCTGGAACTTGGATTCTCCTGGAGCTCTCTGGGCAACCCTGGAGAACGGGAGGCACCGTGAGTGGAGCCGGCACGCCGTCTGTTTCTGCCTGGGGAGCCCTGTGTGATTTACTCTGAGAAGCCATTCTGCTGTTGTCGAAGCTCTGAGGGCCAGCCCTGGGGTGGATCAGGTGGAGGTGACAGTGGGGACCCGGACATGCAGTAGTTACCTGTCTGTGGAGCCAGGCCTCACTTTCATCCTCGTGTTTCTGAAATGAAATGAGAGCATTAGACAAGAGGGTTTTTCTTTTCTTTTCTTTTTTTTTTTTGCATGTATTGTGTCTGTGACCGACAGTGCAGGAAACAATTTGGCTTCACCTACATGGCCGCTGCACAAGCATTGCACAGCTGCCACGGCAGCTCTGGGAGGAGGCAATCCCGAGCTCTCCTCTTTGTCTCGTGCGTGGCTCGGAGCCAAACACAAGCGTCCTCGAATTAGAAAATGCCACTATCCCTAGCAACAAGGACAAACCCGTGGTGGAAAAGAACCCTCTGGGGGAAGATGGCACGTGTACCAGGGGGCGGTCATCACTGCCCGGGCATGTGTCCATCTAATAGTGAACCTCAGCCTACACTGAGTCAGAACATTGGACATTGTGTCCAGATCCCATTCTGGAATACTGAGTAACACTCCTGGTGGACCAGAAACCCTTTCAAAGGGGCTAAAGCATAGAGGAAAAGTGGGTCTCACAGTGGTCTATGGAAAGGTGCAAACAAAAGAAAAACAAAACTCCAGACACCAAACTCAAGCTGTGCAGCACACATGTGTCACCTGGAGGCGCTGTGGGCCTGGTGCTGGTGCAGACTGGACCTCCGGGCCCCTGGAGCAGGCCTCTGTCATGGGTTATAGCAGGAAGCAGTGTTTGCCACTGACACTCAAGGCTCAGGGGCATGGAGAAGTTGGAGATTACAAGCCATTTTTAGCTGCCTGCTTTGTGTCCTCACGTTCCTTCCTTCCCCTCAAGCAAGCTCATCAGAATAGCCTGGAATCCGCCCCAGGTTAGATAAAAGGTCAGGCAAGACTGACCACCTTAGAAACAATCACTGTGCTTAGGATCTCAGGCACAGCTGTCGTGTTAGGAGCCTCTCAAGTAAATATGCCTGCAAGCCTTGGCCCCCCTCAGCCAGGAGACAGAAACTTAAGATCAAAAAGGAGTTTCTGAAAGGCCTGCCTGAATGTATTAATCGATATTATTTGATGTCTACAAAACCCGCCACAAGGTGACCTGCTTCTGGGGGCCCATCCCATGGGGCGAGGGTGAGGCCGTGGGCCGCCTGCCTGCTCCACCCGGGCAACCTCTCTTACACTTCATTTTTCCTTTGCTCACTCTTTGAGCATTTTAATTTTCTTTCCCCTACGTTTACCTTCTCTCACTACACACTGAGTCGGCCTGAGACTCCTAGAAACATGGCTGGCCTCACCAGGACGTGGGGAGGGACGCACGCCTGGAGCCCGCTGGGGGAGGCTGTCGGCGGGGTCTGGGGAAAGGCAGGGCCCCTCCTCTCTGAGCATCAGCTGCAACGAGGAGGACGCTCACTTAGGTCACAGCGGTGAGCGCGGATAAAGGGAAGCAACACTCAGTGAACTGCGGACGGCGTCCAGGTGCCAGGCACGGGGCGCCTCTGGCAATTCACGGATGGGTTCGGTCGGGTCTGCGGCAGCGCCTGCACCAGCCACGAGGTGGCAGCCACGCCGGAGCCGGGACTCTGCGCCGCGGGCTCCCCGCAGCAGCTGGGCGGCCGGTCCCCAAGTCCCAGGCCCGAGGGCTGAGACGACTCTGGCGCCACCTCGGGCGCGTCTGACCATCGGTTCTTCACCCGTCTCCCCTCCACCCCCACAGCCCCGCGTACCTTCGTGCAGACCCCCGTGGTGGCGTCGCAGAGGGTGAGGATGGACACGTTCTGCGCCCGGTTCAGCCAGGTCACGGCGACCTTGGTGCTGGTGGCCCACTTCACCATGGTGATGTAGTACTCCCTGGAAACGCCAAACACAGCATGAGCAGCTTGGCAGGACCCCCGCACGACAGAAGCCAGGGGACCGCCGACCCCAGCCCTGGACACGACACGGGAGCCGGGGGCCGGAGCCAGTGGTGACACAGCCAGCCTGCGAGCTTCTGAAATCTGGCTTATAAAGAATCTGCACTGGCGCGGGACTCTGAGGGGCCGCCCAGTCATTACCTCTTGCTAAATAAACCCAAAGACACTGGGAGTTGCATGTCACTGCGTGTGGCTGCCCTGGGGGTGAGGGGTGTGGGGGCTGCTCCGTGGGTTTTGAGGTCTCGTCTCTCCAGCTGATGCCTTGACTTTCACACCGCAGTACCAGGCAAACGCACAACTAACCACCTGACCGGGCAGCGAGGGGTCCGGGGAGGCGGGACAGAGAAAGAACCGGAAAAGGGCTGGCGGGAGGCCCCAGAGAGCGACACAGGGTGAGAAGCATCCCAGCCTGGGCTGTTGAAGGCTCCATTCTCTAATTCCTCCTCCTTAAAGATAAAATACCCAGGGACACTCTCTAGCTAATTAGGGAAATTGGTTCATGGCTCTGGGCTTCAGGCGAACTTGGTTTGATATCTTAAGGGTCATGCGCCTGATTCTGCCCAAACCTGAAACTACCACAGGCTCTGTGCGGCTCTCTACTTAGCCCGAGGGGTACCGGGGCTTCTGGGAATTCATCCAGTCACCCAGAGCCCTCCAAAAACCAGATTAAAAAAATACAATTTTACATTTAAGAGGAAGAAGAAAGTGTTGAGAAAATTAATGCCCCAAAAAGACCATCCCCAGGTGAATCCCAGAATGTTCTAGAAGCCAGCTAATGCGCGTTCAATCATTCACCCCTTCTCTATCTATAATGAGATCTACTGTTCAGAATGATTACTTTGTGGTCTTACAAGATCTTTTATCACTAAAGACAGCAGTACATTCACTAGACAATTCCTGGCGAGCCAGAGAGCGACCTCACTACACTTAATAATTATTTTAACAGAAACGACTATAGCCAGATGCCTTGGCTGGAGCCTCAGTTAACCAGGAGATTCCAGTGCCACATCTCCCCCATTTCCCACAATTAAAACTTGTTAATCAAGGTTCTTAATAACTTGACCTAAATCAGGACCATGTGGCAAACAGAAGGAACAGCGGCAAGCAGGTGAGGGCCTAAGACAGGCGGCTGCTGGCGCATGGCCAGGAGGGGAGGTCTGCAGCTGCCCACTGTGGTCATGGGGAGTTCCTGAGGACTGGGGTGGTGAGGAGGTACATAACCCGTGAACACAGGAGGGGCGCTCAGCTGTAATCCAGCTCTCGTGCCTTTCAACCTGCTCCATTTCTGTGATGTCTGAAACATGGTTGCTTTTCTTCCCACCATCTGCTCCCCATACTGGCCCGTCCTAGAGCCTGGCCTGCCCCAGAACCTGGCTTGCATGTCCACAGGGACCATGCCCTCCCCCCTGCTCTCCATCCTGGCCCTGGCACTGACAGGTGGCACATCCTGCCAGCAACATTCTACAAAGGTCCTGCTTTGCTGTTTCATGGCCCAAAGGCAGGGACAGGCATTTATAATGATGGGATTTGGTCATTATTTACAATCATAAGAAAAAAATATATGTCACTTTTGTCCTTAAATATAATTCAACGTCTCTGCCTAGCCCTTGCTTTACATAGAACACTTTTATTTTTTAATGATGTTGTAACTGGTCTTTGAGTCCACACTGGAGGACGCTGAAGCGTGTGCAGGGAAACTGCCATTTATAAAACCATCAGATCTCATGAGAACTTATTCCCTACCATGGGACGTGTGTGAGAGCCACATGGGGCCTGTGGTTGCAAGATTCCATGTCCACAATGGGGGCAGTGGCGAAGCCACAGGGTACCCTGCACTTACTCTCTCAGCAAACACATTTCGTCTGCATGCAATCAAGAAAGAAAATGTAAGGTCTCCCGGAATGACTATTTTTTCCCTCTATGTCCTTCATGCTAATTAGGAAGAATGCTGCTTTTGTTCTCAATTGTTGGAAACATTCATTCATCCTATGCTTCTTTCTGCTTTTTATAGTGTTCTTTTGTACAAATAATCTTCATCTAGGCCAAATATGACTACACACTATTCTTAGTTTTTCTATTTCTTAATTTGGAAGTGAAATGTTATAAATGAAAATGAGATGGATGCAAACTTTCTCTTGATGCCTCCAGAACAAATCGTGCTGGAAATGTCACTAGGCTGAGTGCCACTGGATGGAACCAGGGGGCTGGGGTGTGCAGCATCAACAGCAGTGACATGGCCCGCGGAGTCACAGTACTGTTCCTGCTTAAAGCTCTTGGCCACAAAACGTGGACACACAGGGACAAGCCTGCTTCATGGCTTTAGAAGGAGGCAAGGATGTGTTACTCTGGTGTGGTTTGTTATTTTCTAGAAGTAGCCACCACACTGTTTCTTTACTCAGAGCCTGATATGGTTTGGCCATGTCCCCCCGGCAAATCTCACCTTGAATTGTAATAATCCCCACATGTCAAGGGCGGGGCCAGGTGTAGACAATTGAATCATGCGGGTGGTTTCCCCCATGCTGTTCCCATGGTAGGGAATAAGTTCTCACGAGATCTGATGGTTTTATAAATGGCAGTCTCCCTGCACACGCTCTCTTGCCTGCCACCAGGTAAGACACCCCTTTGCCCTTCTTTCGTCTTCCACCATGATTGTGAGGCCTCCCCAGCCATGTAGAACTGAGTCTATGAAACCTCTCTCTTTCTAAATTACCCAGTCTCAGGTAGGTCTTTATTTTATTTATTTATTTTTATTTTTATTTTTTTGAGACAGAGTCTCACTCTATTCCCCAGGCTGGAGTGCAGTGGCACAATATCTTGGCTCACTGCAACCTGTACCTCCCAGGTTCAAGCGATTCTCATGCCTCAGCCTCCCAAGTAGTTGGGATTACAGATGTCTGCCACCATGCCTGGCTAATTTTTGTGTTTTTAGTAGAGATGGGGTTTCACCATGTTGGCCAGGCTGGTCTCAAGTTCCTGACCTCAAGTAATCTGCCAGCCTCGGCCTCCCAAAGTGCTGGGACTACAGGCATGGACCACCGTGCCCAGCCTCAAGTATGTGTTTATTAGCAGTGTGAGAACTGACTAATACAGAGCCCCAAGTAAAATGACCAGTTACATAAAGTGAGTGCTAGATCATCTCTTTTTTCCCTCCCTCCCTCCCCTCCCCTCCCTCCCTCCTTCCTTTCCTCTCCCTCCCTCCCTCCCTCCTTTCCTCCCTTCTCTTAGTTTGTAATATGAGGCTGTTGCACTGAGGAAAAATATAATTGTACTAAAAATTAGGACAGTTAAATGTGGACCCACTCTGCCTCGTGGCTCATCCCTGGGTTGAGGGGCAGAATGTGGCTCACCTCAGAGGCCTGAGAAAGCCTTGGTTCTACAATTAATTCTATACGGTGCTTCAACCCTCAGTTTCTTCATTTGTGTAATATGAATTTTTAAAGCCTGGTGGCACCCTTAGAGATGTTATGGTGATGAAATACAGTGTGAAATATTTTTAAAAACCCAAAACAATAAACACTATTAATGGAATTTATAAAGATTATATAATAAGATTTCTTTTTACATACATGCATCCATAAGGGCTCCACCTCTATGTAAGGAAGCCGTGATTCTCACATTTTGGGCAGTTCTTTGCCTCTTCTAATCCTGTTGCCATTTATCATAAAGCTTTTGGGCCCCTTGTGCCGACTTGCCCTGAGAGCTTGATGTTGCCTCATGACCCGCATAGCAACATCTCATCTCTAGTCAACATTTCCTAAGTCCATGAGTTGCATCAGTGACTATACCTGGTGCCAAATACACTTGATTTTTTATGTTTTTTAGACGGAGTCTCGCTCTGTTGCCCAGGCTGGAGTGCAGTGGTGTGATCTCAGCTCACTGCAACCTCCGCCTCCTGGGTTCAAGTGATTCTCATGCCTCCGCCTACCAAATAGCTGGGATTACAGGTGCCTGCTACCATGCCCGGCTAATTTTTGTATTTTTAGTAGAGACGGGGTTTCACCATGTTACCCAGGCTGGTCTTGAACTCCTGGCCTCAAGTGATCCACCTGCCTTGGCCTCCCAAAGTGCTGGGATGACAAGCATGAACCACTGTGCCTGGCCCCAAATACATTTTAGTTATTTTCTAAAAATCAAGTCGGTGTACGAGGGTGAAGCATCACCACCAACAGGGCAATCTTGAAGGCGTTCTAGCAGCTTTCTGGGGACAAGGTAGGCACCTTGCGAGGCAGCGACGCTTTGGACAAAGGGACATTCTTTTGCTCTATAAGGTTTGTAGTCACACTTTTGCTGCTGGAAGGGAAAATAAAACATTTACTTGCTCACAAACAGCACACCATACACCACATCGAGTGTGGACTCTCCAGACAGAGGTCTCCAGCAAGCAGTGGTGCCTGGCCGGCAGAGGGAGACCTTTACTAACTTTGTGTTATCATGTCTAAAGAGACACACAGAAATGATGAAAAGTCACAATGCCATTAGAAATGAATGTTGAAAATCTCTAACTGCAACACAGATGGCACTGGTGAAACCAGACAAGGTCTTGCCCAGTTTCTTCCCTGTAGGGAACAGGGCAGCCCCAGCCATGAGAACGCAGAAGGAAAAGGTTTTTCTCTTCCCCACTGTACTATTCTTCCCTCAGAAATGCTGGGCTCACACCAGCCACAGATTTGGAAAGTCAAACCTTTGCTAAATGGGTGTTAAGGAAGATTGTAATTTTCCATGTGTACTAATTTACATAGAATGTCAAAGAAAAATTCTTAAGAAGGTAGAAAAAAAAATGTCAACTCAGCCCAGACGATCCATGCCAGATGCACATGGGTTAGACTGTCTTCCAGATTTACACCGGAGAAGAGCTCAGTAGCACCTAAAAAGTCAGAACACAGAGTCAAAGGTGACTCTCACCCTTTGTCTGTGGCCAGGTATCAGGTGTGGGAGGCATTCTCCTTCCTGAGGTGCGGAACTGTGAGGGTCAAATGGTGCAGAATAAAGGAAAGGGAAGTCACACTAAAAATAAAGAGAACAGAATTCTAAAAGTCCAAGATAAGATCAAAAAGGGAGATGAGGGGGCTGCAAGGAAACTAAAACTAAAATTAGAAAAATTTGGGTCAGGAAAATTGAGGAAAATGTGGGAGGTTCTCCCACAAGGCAGAGGAAGGTGACATGGAGGTGTAAAGAAGAAGATGAGCCTTCCTACCGGCTGGGAAGAGCAGTGCTTCTACAGAGAAACCAGAGTGGCTACAGACACGATAACCAAAGACAAAGAGGACGAAACTTCTGTGTAGGAAAAAAGACCCGAATGTGAAGACTAAAAGGGATTTCCCACATTCCAGGGAAAATAATGAAACATCTAAATATGTTGTGCTAGAACCTTTGAGTTATGGGAAAACCGAAATTCCACAATAATCTAGTAATAAGGAAATAAGTTTTGACAAAGGATCAAAATTTAGGCTGATCTGAAGCTTCTCCTCCTTTCTGTCTATTGCTAATACTTAATGTTTAATATTTCAATGTGTTTTTTTAACAACCAATATATTTTTGTATTAAAGTGTATCTTCTACTTTTTTTTTTTTTTTGAGGCAGAGTCTCACTCTGTCACCCAGGCTAGAGTGCAGTGGCACGATCTCAGCTCACTGCAACCTCCACTTCCTGGGTTCAAGCGATTGTCCTGCCTCAGTCTCCCGAATAGCTGAGATTACAGGTGTGCGCCACCACGCCCGGCTTATTTTTGTATTTTTAGTAGAGAGGGGGTTTCGCCTTGTTGGCCAAGTTGGCCTCAAACTCCTGACTTCAACTGATCCGCCAGCCTCAGCCTCCCAAAGTGCTGGGATTACAGGGGTGAGCCACTGTGCCCGGCCTTATCTTTTACTT
The DNA here is from genome assembly GCF_000001405.40 of Homo sapiens. Lineage (NCBI taxonomy): Eukaryota > Metazoa > Chordata > Mammalia > Primates > Hominidae > Homo > Homo sapiens. The sequence goes on along the minus strand of NC_000007.14, from coordinate 154,788,148 downwards.
GAATATATTCTACACTGACTTATGAAGGCAACTCAAAATTAATGGCTCAAAATTAAAAACTCAACATGTAAAAAAAAGTAATCTCTAAAATCAGTTCATCCATAGCTAGTTCTAAACTACTATCAATTTGATGATAAATTCAAATTAAGTGATAAAAATAATATAAAGAAATACTGGGCAAATAGTTTGTAGGATCATAAGCATTTAGTAAATTGCAAAAAGAAGGCTAAAAACAAAACATAGCAGCATTACACATGATGAAATGGAAGGATATTATTTAGAAAAAAGGAATAGAAACACCTATGTTTCTGGAATAAGAGAAAAGACATGGTAAAGTTTTCAAAATGGTGATCAGTTTGGAAAGAACTGAATTTATTATATTTAACCTTCATAATGGCAGAGACCATACCCACCTTATTCATTTGTACATTTTTTAGCACCTTACATAGGGCTTCACACATGGTAAATACTTAATATTGGTTAAAGAAATGAATTTAATTTTAATAGCAAACCAATGAATTTCTTTTCAGTAGAGAGTCAAATAAAATAATTCTGAAGTTCGCATATAAGAAGAAATAGATAGGTGGTTTTAAAAAGGAAGCATAGGGACAGGGGATTTATTTTTTAAAGTTGCTAATAATAAGCGTATTTCTGGAACCACCTGACATCTGACTGAGGCAACCATCAGTAGTGGACAGGCACCTTTAATGCACACTGGTTTGTATGATAATTTTACATTTAATAAAGATGTCATTCCAAATCAGTAGGGAAAGGAAGACTTCCACAATCGATGGTGTTGGGAAAATGGCTTAATCATTTTTTTAAAAAAACCCAAATAAATGAAGAACAAATATACATTTCCAGAAAAGAAATCTCAAAGGATAATTTATCAAATTTCTCACAGTAGTTACCTACGGGTAGTGTGATGTGCAATGACAAGGGATTATTATTTTCCATACTGCATAGGTTACTTTTTAAACAAGAAGATGGTTATTAAGAAAACACTGGAAGTCTCCAACTTAAGTTAGTAGATTTATCACATTAGTTTGTTTTCCCTCCAGAAACCTAATTGCAATGATAATAAAGAAATAAAATATATGTACAATAATAAAGACAACAGGGGAGGGCTGAGAGATTTCATGTTTCTGGAAGACAGAAAGTAGATAGAAGGGTCATGAGGGATGAGTCAGGCTGGAGGGCACAGCAACCTGGACACTTGCAGAGCTGAAACCTCAGAGAGAATCATGGGGACTCAGAGCTCCAGGTAAAGCATCGTATGAGACTCAGAAATGCAGTTCAAACAGGAGGAACGATTGAAAGTATATGGATGAAACGGTGATAAGTGAAAAGAAAACACACACATAGATATATTATTTCAAAATTCAAAAAGCTTTTGGAAAGAAAAAAGGTGATTTGCAGAGGAACAATTATCAGAAGTCTATTCTCACACTGCTGTAAAGAACTGCCTGAGACTGGGTAATTTATAAAGGAAAGAAATTTAATTGACTCACAGTTCTGCAGGGCTGCAGAGGCCTCAGGAAACTTACAATCATGGTGGAAGGGAAAGCAAACCCATCCTTCTTCATATGGTGGCAAGGAGAAGTGCCCAGCAAAGGGGAAAAAGCCCCTTATAAAACCATCAGATCAAATGAGCACTCATTCACTATCAAGAGAACAGCATGGGAGTAACTGCCCCCATGATTCAATTACCTCCCACAAAGTCCCTCCCACGACACTTGGGGATTATGGAAACTACAATTCAAGATGAGATTTGGGTGGGGACATAGCCAAACCATATCACAGACCAACATGAGGTTTATCTTTAGCATCTCAAAATGCTGGAAACAATGGAGCTATACCCTCTAGCTTTGACGAATAAAGAGTTAATAAAAACACTACAATTCTACATACAGCTAAAATTTCAAATGTGTGAAAAAAGAGACATTTTTAGCTATTCAAGAATTCAGAAAATTTACTTCCTGCACTCCTTTCTTAGTAAATCATTAAGAGAATGCACTCCAGACAAAAGAGGGAGTAAATCACGTGATCTATGAGATCTAGGAAACAGTTGCCCCAACATGAGGGAGCACTGTGGGGAGGTCCCAGGATGGCCTTAGTGTAGAGGTTGGAAAAAGTAGTCCAGACAATACCAGGGCTATGGAGGGCACTCAGAGAGACAGACTTGGGGAAAAGGGCAATGCAACAGAATAGCTGAGAGGATTTGAAAAAAGGAGAGAGAGGATGTAATAAAATTAAATATTTCAGGTAAAAAACAAAAACAATTTAAAACTCCAGGAAAACAAAAAGTGAAACAAAAAGAATTGCAATCACAGGGCACTCCTTAGCTCTATCATGAAAGATAATCACTTAGTTATGAGAAAGTAAATGCTATTTATTGATTTTAATCTTTTAGAATCAACCAATGGAAAAGTAAGGAAGGTTTAGTTATGATTACAGGACAGAGTGTAAATGCCATCAACCTCAATGATGTAAAAGTAAAAACAAAGATGCAGAAGTTGCTGTGTGGTAGGGACAGGAAAGGGACTTGTAGGAAAGGGCGGGGGACTAATCTCAGTTTACAAATTGGGAAGTTAAGAGCTCCTCTCTGTAGTTAATGTAACATGAACAAACTTGTAATAGTATTTAAATGTAAAAAGGTAACTGACATAGAGAATAAAATCCACATATAAATGGAGGGGGTAGAATAGGTAGGAAGGTAAGTGTTCCGAATTCTTGTCTATCATAAAAAGACAATAAATAAGACTAAAATTCATTTAAAAACAGTGAAATGTGCATTTTGCTTAGTGATTTACCATATAGGATGGTATATATCAGGAGAAAGTGTAAAAAGAGTGAAAAGTCATCTCCATCTGGGGGTGAGATGGGTTAGAAGGAGAGGGAAGAGACTGTTGTTTTTCACTATAGACTCTTCCATATTATTTTATTTTTAAGCACTAATATGCAATACTTTGATAAAAAAGAAAAGCAAAGTTAAAACTAAATAAAACTTAACAACAACAATAAATAAACCCACGGTGTCATGGAGAAATATTTCAGTGCCTCTGAATGAGGCTGAACCTATTGGCTAGCTCTCACTGGTACACGGTGGAGATGTCCTTCCCCACACACCTGATCACAGCCGCTCTAGATGCTTCCAACCAGACCAAGTTCATAAGAATAAGATATTTTTTTTCAAGCTCCTCAAGAAATAAGTTTAATTCAAAGAAAAGAAGGCAGGAAAGGGCACAGAAGCAGTAGGATATTTAATTAATAATGCCCACCCATTCATCTGATAAGGGGATGGGAATGATTAAGTCTTCATGAAGGTGGCAAGGTCAGATTAGACGGGTCTGTGGACTGAGGTAGGGAGCTGGTGATAGGACACACAGAATCTGCTGCAGACCTGAGAGCTTGCTCTTTTTGTTCAGGGAGCCTAGATGGAGCTCTCCAGAGTCACCCCTGCCTGATTGTGACGGGCATGGTGGTGGCTGACCTCACAAACTCGGAACAGGTAAGGGTCTCACGTATATTCTCAACAGTGACCAATACTTGAGCTGGCTTTCTCACCAAGCAAAAACCAGACTGCCCTGTAACTAGAATCTACATCAGCTCACTGAGTGTACATTTTTTTCCTGTCCTTTTAGAAAAAAAATGAAGGAACAAGTACGTTGCTGTGATTTAACAGTGAAGTGTTTCTTTCTCAGAAAACTGTGCTTGAGTGTTAAAGGCTCTGGTGTGCTGAGCTCTCTGCGGGCTTTGCTTGGATAAGCTTCTGTGACTTCTGAATTTTACAGAAGGGTGGGGGCTTGGTAAGGTTTTCCTCAGGCAAGTGTCCGCACAGCTGGGGCCGAGGTCTGGCTCACTCTTGTCCTAGGTCTCTCTCCTTATGAGGGCCTCTTGTCCCAGGAGAATGGCGTGTTCACAGTGCAAGTTGTAGCTCAATTCCCTCCCCAGAGGCTGCTGTCGAAGCTTGGATGTGCACTGTTCACGCCATGCAGGAGGTTCCATGTTGGGCATGAGGCTCACAGGCAATGAAACACACAGGACCCCTTGCAGCAACCTTCTCCAAGCAGGAAAGTCCCAGTGGCTCAAGCTGGAGCCGAAAACTCTCCTTTCCTTGTGCAGTTCCCCAGGTGTCTTTGCCCCTATAGAAAATGATGAAAATAGGGCAGAGAAGAGCTGTCTCCAAGAAAGCTCCTCTTGGAGGCTTGAAGAGATAGCCTCCAAGAAAGCCATGTTTGTCAGCCTGTCCTGTGCCCTTTTCCAGCCCTTCTGGTTCCTGCCTCCTCCCTCACAAGGTCCAGGCCTTACCATTCTTCCTCACAGTCCTGGGTTGGCCAGGCGGGGAGCTCCTTGAGACAAAGAGCAAGGAGAAGGAAGTGCTTCTACTCATGTGTGTTCTGTCCCAAGGCGTGGGACCTGCAGATGCCTGTCAAATTCCCATGCCCCGAGTAAGACTGTCTCTCGAGGGGACAAAGGGAAGCATTGATCAGAGGGAGACTCTACAGGAACGTTATAATGCCAGAACACTCAACGTCAACAGAAGGCACAGTCATGAGAACAGGTTGGACTGATGGGAGGCGTCCATGCCTCACAAAGGGAAGTGGAGGGAGAGCAGAATCCTGTGCTGCGGGAATGGCTGCCCACTGCTCAGCGAGCCGCAATAATGCCACACGCCACTGACCCGCGCTGCTCCCTGTAAACCTGTTGGTGTCTGCATGGGTGACACATCTCGTGTCATACAGGGACATCATTGGCACCACCATGACTGTACTCAGAAGGCACTGCTGCCTAGAAGGAAGCACGGGCAGAGACGAGAGAAGACCCTGCCCGTCCTGTGTGAGCTGTCCTGATTTCGCAGCAATCACAGGCAGTGTTGTCACCCTCGCCCAGGGAGGTCAGGCCACCCAGAGAGAGCAGGACAGCTATGGGGATGCGAGGCCTTTGTGGCAAAGTCAGGCAAAGTCCATGCAATTAGGGGAGAAAGCAGGTGGTGGAAACAGCCTCTACCCCCATCTCTAAGGAGGCAAGTCAGGTTCTGACAGTGTGGTTCCTGTACCAGCAGCCCCTGGGAAGGTGTTAGGAACCGCATGTCCCAGCACTTTGGGAGGCCGAGGTGGGTGGATCACCTGAGGTCGGGAGTTCGAGACCAGCCTGGCCAGCATGGTGGAACCCCGTCTCTACTAAATATACAAAAATTAGCCAGGCCTAGTGGCAGTTGCCTATAATCCCAGCTATTCAGGGGGCTGAGGCAGGAGAATTGCTTGAACCCGGGAGGCGGAGGTTGCAGTGAGCCGAGATCATGCCACTGCACTCCAACCTGGGCGACAGAGCGAGGCTCTGTCTCAAAAAATAATAATAATAAAAAAGAAAAAGAAATGCAAACTCCCAAGCCTCACCCTAGACCCTCTGAATCTGAAACTCTGGGGGTGGGGACAAGCACTTCCTGGCTTAACAAGGCCCTAGGTGATTCCAGTGCCAGCTCGAGTGGAGAACTACTGATTGGAGACGAGCGATCCTCTGTCTGGCAGTGGGCGACCACATGAGAATAACTCCAAGCGCTATTTAACTATAGATCTCCATTTCCAAATCTGCCCTTACTAAATATTCTTTGAATGGGTAAATGTATTGGTAGGCAGGTAAAGTGCTTCAGAATAAAGAGAAATTTGGTAGCAGTTAAAGGAGAGGAGAAAATAGGATTTGAAGTGGAATCATTTTTTAACATAAGGCTGGAGCTGAGTGCTAAAAGACGCAATAATCTATCTGCCAAGATGAAGAGAGATATTGAAGCATTTTGATAATCACAGAAAATAGATGGTCATATTTTAATAATCAAAATTCCATTTTAAAAAGAGCATGATACCAAAATATGAACAGGAAGCGAAGATAGCTGGAAGAAATGCTACCAAATTTCTCTTTATTCTAAAGCACTATATCTGCCTACCAATGCACTGATGCATCCAAGCGCATCTAGTCAGGGCTTGGCATGTGGGAGACACGGTTCTAGGTGCGGACGGTGCAGAGATGGGCAAGCCACTAACTTCAGCACAGGGTGGGGACTGCCATGGATTACGTGGGGGAGCACATGCAATGGCACAGCCTGGCTGAGGAAACGTTATTACATTCCATGAGTCCTAGGCCAAAGGTGCCTTCAAATCAGAATATAGTGACTCTTCCTGGTGAGAAGCATATCAATTTTTTATTAGTCCATTTGTTTGCCATAAAATATTAATAGAGCATTGTCTCCGTCACAAGGATTAATGTGCTGTGATACTTCTTTGTGTTGCAAATCCTGGCAAATGTTCTGACAGTTGTGTGGCAGTAAAGGGCGAGGGGAACAAAGCTGGTTTATCTCATGAAATAAAGGGCCCACAGTTAACTCTGGTATTTTTTTAGCAATGTTTATCCCATGGATTGAGCAGGGGTACAAAAATGTTATGAGAGAGGACATTTTAAAAGATGATGTGCTTTAATAGAGGGCACCGCTGAGCAAACTGAAACGACCCTAAATACCAAGCGCTGCTCTACTAAAGTGTACAGTTCCACATTTGAGTATGCTCTCGGGCAGCCATGCAGTTGCATAAAAACATCTGCCGGCAGAGTGCCTTCTACAACACAGAAAAGTGACGACTTAAGACAAATTACTATTTGGTGTCTGTTTCCATAATTTCACTTTCCATGTAGGAATAGACCATGCTGCCTGTCCCTTCCATCTCAAGGGCTGGCTATAATGCAGGGCCAGCTGTCAGGATGAGGGAGAACGAAGTGAGAGGGGGTCACAGAGAACGCGCCTTAGGGACTGCGGCATCCTTTTTCAACAATTTAATGCTGTGAACATGAAGACACCCAGTGAATAGGAGTGGTGGGGGTAAAGCCATGTTGTCCTTTTCCCAGCCATTCATTTTCACACACTCAGCACCCATCTATCTATTTGTCCATCAGTCTGTCCATCCATCCATCCATCCATCTACTGTTCATTCCTCTCACCCATCCATATATCCATCAACCATTTTTCCATCCATTCATCTATCCACCCATTCATCCATCATCCCTCTATCCATTAATTCATCCAACTGTCCATCATCCATCCATCCACCCATCCATATATTCATCATCCATCTATCCGTCCATCCACCCATCATCCATCCATTCACTCATCCATCAACCATCCATCTATTCATCCACCCATCCATTCATTATCCATCTATCCACCTATTCATCTATCTATCCCCTTACCCATCCATCATGCATTTATCTATTCATAATCCATCCCTCCACCCACCCAACCATCACCCATCCATCTATTCATCACCCACCTACCCACCCATGGACTCAACCTGTTTCCTCAATATTTGCTCATGCCTCAATGCATGTTAACACATTTAAAAACATGATGCTAGGTAAATTTTGCCAAGTCTCATTTTCCTGCAGATGCCATGAAATCCATGTACTGAATTTGCTACTTGTGGTCCACGGGAAGAAACTGCGGATGTCACTTACACCCTTGGAGTTTACCAGCACTGGCTCACCAGCCCAGTGACTCTGCCTTGGCAAACCTTGTCCAGTGTTTCAGTGTTTTACTGACAATTTCAGATGTCAAGACTGTTTTGCTAGCTGGAAGATATGGCTAAGGTGTTTTATTGATGAGGATGGCGACGCAGAATCCCATTTTATTTTTCTGATGTCTCCTGCTCATTATAAGCCTGCCAACCAACCAATCATTCCCTGCATTTACAGCATCTTCAGAACAATCCAGCTGCCCTTTCAAACACAGGCCATGACAATGTAAAATGTACTTTCTTCACCAGAAACTTATTATTCTGACAGCTGTGACTCAGATTTCCAGCCTCCTACAGCACTGAACATTTTTATTAATGATCCCATGATCAACAGGAACTTTGTGAATTTCCTTTTCAGCACATCAGTAAAGATCCGGCATTTCTCTAGTCTGGAGCTTCTCCATTACCCTAGTCACTGGGAATGGCTTCTCACCCTAATGAATAACAAAGACCCTGCCCTGGTCTGATTCTGAAAGCACAAGGCTGTAAACAAAGCTGTCTGCTGGAGCCAATCTCCTTGAACTGGTGCCCCCTAAGATGAATCCATTTGAGTATTTAGGTAGCCAGATGATTTCTTTAACACACAAGGTGAAAACAGAGATAGGACTACAGGTGAGGGGAACAGAGCACATTTGTGAAATTGTAATTTACATCCAGACCACGTCCAAAAAAAATTGGAACACAAATTCAGATAAAATAATATATCTTCCCAGACAAAAGAGAGGTTAGGACTATGTTTAGGTAAGATGGCAGACTCAGGGATGGGGTGGAACTGGGGGTTGGGCATAGCTATAATTTGTAAAATGCTGCTGCTGAGAAGGGCTTCTCTGCCTTGGCCACACTTAGGAATCACCTGAAGATGTCTGAACAACCCCAACATCCAGATGGACCACAGCCTGAGGGAGGAAAGCAGGAAGAACAGAGATTTTGCCAGCAAACCCTCCAAATGAGCTTTGTGCCACCTGAAAGTTCAAGCACAAAGGGAAATACAGTAGGCGTGACAGCTCTTAAACAATGCTGAGCAATAGCTCTGGTGACGGAAGACTCGTGCTCAAGTCCTGGTTCTACTACTAATTAAAAGTGCAACCATAGGCAAGTCAGGTCATTGTAAATGTGACAGGTTATTGACATTGTAAATGTGAGGCAGGAGAGCTTGTTTATGATAGGGAAGGAGGCAGAGGAGACCTAAGAATGGAGAGCAACAGGGACCAAGTGAGAGCTGACAGTGGTGGTGGTGGAAGTAGAAGTGATGATGGTGGTGGTGGTGGAGGCGATGGTGGGGGTGGTGGTGATAGTAGTGGGGGTGGTGGTGGAGGTGGTGATAGGGGTGGTGGCAGCAGAGGTTGTGGAGATGATGGAGGTGGTGGAGGTGACAGTGGACCTGGTGGTGGTAGAAGTTGTGGGGGTGATGGATGTGGTAGAGGTAGTGGAGATGATGGTGGGGGTGGTGGTGATAGCGGTGATAGTGGTGGTGATGGTGGGGGTGGTGGTGGTGGTAGAGGTTGTGGAGGTGATGGAGGTGATGGTGGTGATGGTGGGGGTAGTTGTGGTGGTGGTGGTGGAGGTGATGGTGGGGTGCTGGTGGTGGAGGTTGTGGAGGTGATGGAGGTGATGGTGGTAGCGGAGGTGATGGTAGAGCTGGTGGTGGAAGTTGTAGAGGTTGTGTAGGTGACAGAGGTGGTGGTGGTGATGGTGGTGAAGGTTGTAGTGTTGGAAGTTGTAAAGGTTGTGGAGGTGGTGGTGGTGGAGGTTGTACAGGTGGTGAAGGTTGGAAGTTGTAGAGGTTGTGGAGGTGACAGAGGTGGTGGTGGTGATGGTGGTGGAGCTGGTGGTGAAGGTGGTGTTGGAAGTTGTAGAGGTTGTGGAGGTGACAGAGGTGGTGGTGGTGATGGTGGTGGAGCTGGTGGTGAAGGTGGTGTTGGAAGTTGTAGAGGTTGTGGTGGTGGTGGTGTGGTGGTGGTGGAGGTTGTATAGGTGGTGAAGGTTGGGGAAGAGGTGGTACTGATGATGGTGGTGGTTTTTTTTGGGGGGGGGTGCTCAAGCCATTAGGTATGAGAACTCTATTGTTCTGTGCTGTTTTCATGGCCCTGATGACCCTCAGCTTTCCCAAAACTCGTGCACATACCATGTTTTGTATAAATTGGAAAGAGAGAAGGCTGAGTTTCGCATCAGGGTCAGCATGGAGGTGTCATGGGCAGTGCATATTGGGGAGAAGCCTGGAGGCAGAGAAGGCCATGAGGTTGTAAGCTGCCCAGGAGCTGGGGGCATCTGGCATCACTGTGTGCAGTTAGAAACCGTGGGTTGGTCAAATACACATGGGTGTGCTAGGTCTCCACATGGTGCTCACAGGAAAATAGGAGAAACAGACATCTATGTCTGGAGCTCTATCTGTTTCTATCCTGTAGCTTATCTGGCTCTCTATCACAATGCCATTGATGTAAAGTAAGCGCGCACATACCCAAGCAACAATACAGGCTTTACAAAAACACAGAGGAACAAAGGTCCTCTAAGCATTCGACATAAGTGCCTATGAGGTGGCGAGGGCATGGGAGTAGGGACTAAAGTTGAAAAAGAGCAAATCAATAAAATGAGAGAGGCCTGCATGGACCGACCATGCTTCTGTGCCAGGAGCTGCACAGCATCTAAATCCTTGGTGCTTGGGATCAAAACAAATAAATGGAAGCAAAAGAAAATGAAAGTGAGAGGCCTCTGAGCCTTTCGTGAGCCGTGGAAGCGGGTGGTGGAGGAGTGAGCCCCCACAGCTGCGCACAGGTGCATCAGGGACATGGTTGGTTTTGTGTCTTGGGTTCTGGGAGCCCTTTACCGCCTCTGCTTGCCAGGGAATCAGGAGAAGAGCAGCTGCGCTGCATCCAAACAGGATCTTTGGAGGCAAATAACAGCACATATCAGCACAGGGCAACATGTCTTCAGAATGATCGTGCTGGCTATCTGCCGCATCTTAACTCAACACGCAGCTCAACTGCTCGGGAAAGGCCGGAGGAAACCAGCAGAAAACAAGCGCATTTGTTTTATCAGTGCAGCTGGGTTTCTGTGTGAAAGCATAGAAACCACAGCACAGCGATTTGCATTTATTTTTTTCCACCCACAGGATAGACAGTGTTTATTCTTTCCTGGTCAGGTTCAGCTTAACAAGGCCTGGGTCCCTGCATTAGCCCAAGGAAGGCTGAGCTCTACTCTGGGCCCACCGCTCTTAGTTCTCTTTAATAGAACCGTTTCCCAAGAGGGCCTCCAATTTTGCCCCGGGATCCTTCTGACATCTGCAAAACCATCCTGAACACTTCCCACTCACCCCACAAGGGGCACCTCTGCTCCTAGGTGTGGCTCCTTCCACACTTCCATGCAGACTCTGGCTACAAGCTGTCCAGGCCTCTTGGAATGTGAGCTCTCATTAGGAGAGGCCACACGTCTTAATCACCCAAGGGCCTCACACAGCACATGCCACATGGATGATGAGTAAGTGCTTGCCAATGCAAAGATTTGAAAGAGCAGACTTAACTCTCCCTGCATCTGAGAACCATCGGAGAAGTCAATCTAGTTAACAAGCAAACAAACAGGAAAAAATAATTGAAAATGAGTGGCATAAAGGTTAGATAGCAGATACATGAACTGCTTTCTCCCTTCCTCTTGGTTCGTGAGCTAGCCTGCTGAAATAAACTGCAGGCTTCCAGAAACCTCTGCATGTCTCCCTTCCTAGGTGCTCAGGGGCATGGCTTAGGGTTCATTCCTTTTGTGTCCCTCCACAGACGAGGTGTCTTAGTTTCAGTTAGTTCCTTTAGCATCTTGTGCTTGAGAGGACAAGATGTCATCCATGGCTAAATAGCAAGTAAGTTTTGGTTCTTAGAAAGGTACCAGCACAACTGAAGATATCTCAAGCTTCAAGAATCCCATGCAAATAAGATTTTACCGGCTAAATTTGAAGTCAATACATCCATCCAGCCAAGGTTCCAGAGCCCTGCTGCAGAACTGGAGCCAGGGCCCGCCCCACAGGAACTAACGTCCCTGCCTCAACAACTTCCTGTTCTAGGTGGCAGGCGGGAAAATGAAAATGAAACAATTTAAAAAAGTATCTAAAAATTCCACTGGGATGAATTGAAGGAAGAAAATGGAAGCGGGGTGGGGCTGCCATGTGAAATGTGGTTATCAGGGAAGTCACTGTGGGAACCATATATTTGATCAGGACCTAAGTGGGGAGGAGCTCTCTGGGCAGAGGGGAGCCTCTGTGCAGATCCTCGTATGGGAGTGACCCAGCCGATGTGAGGGGGGATAGAAAGGGTGCATGGCCTATCTATCTATCTGTCTATCAATCATCTATCTATCTATCTATGTATCTGTTTATCTATCTATCTATCTATCTATCTATCTATCTATCATCTATCATGGGGGCTTCTGAGGCCACTGTAGGAAGTCTGGCCTTTACTTGGAGAGAAATAGAAGCCACTAGATGTCTGGGAGCAGCGGGTACGTGGCCTGATGTCATTTAAAGGGTTACTCTGGCTGCTGTGTGGGGTCAGCAGTGGGTGGGGCAGGAGGGGGCAGTGCTGGTGGGCCAGGCCAGGGAGGAGTGGGGAACGGCGGGGGGTTGCAGGCTGATGCCAGGCACCTGCCAAGGAGGGTCCCCAGCACAGAGGGACGTAAAGGAGGCCGGGGATCCTGGAAGGTGGAGTTGCCCTGGACCATGATGGGGAGACTGCAGGGAGCAGGTGTAGACAAGGAGAGTGGGAGGTTGGCTTTGACCGGGTTCGGCCTGAGATGCTGTGTAGACAGTGTCAGCAAATGGATCTGAAGGTGGTAAAGAGGCAGGTGGGATCACTGGGCCCTTCTCCAGGGACATGCTGGGCTTGATTTCCAATTGCAGGGGCGGTCTCAACCCTGCTGGGGTAGGCGTCTCTCCCGGATGGCTGAGTAACCCGGCAGACTCACCCTAGGATGTCCTTGTTCAATTGCCTCTATACAACTAGCTTCTCGATGGTTCTATGGCCTCTTTTTAAGAGCTCACTGGTTCCCTTATTAATTAATGAGTTTAATAAAGTCTTGGACACATGTTGATTGATTTTGTCTGAGAATCACAATTTGACCATTTAAAAATTATATGGTGACCACTCCCAGTAGAAATGCTGGTTGGGTGGTTGGCTTTTTGAACCTAGAGTCCTGACCCAGGCCAGGTTGAGGTACACAGGGGAGAGTTGTCCACATACAAGGGGTATGTATAGCCACAAGATGGAACGATTGGAGGAACCAGCCCTATGATCCTTGCCTTATCTCATCTAACTTTCACAACTGTCCACGAGAGTAAACATGTTTCTTATTAAAATTATCTCCATTTTACAGATGAGGAAACTGAAGCAGGGAGGCTGAGTAACTTGACAGAGTCCACAGAGCCAGAACTCGAACCCAGGCAGTTGGCTAGAGAACCTTCACTTGAAACCAGTAGTCCTCAATCTGGGGACACTGGGCAATGCTGGAGACATTTGTGATGGTCACAACTGGAGGGGGAAAAGGCAGATATGACAGCATCTAATGTGTAAGGCCAGGGATGCTGCCTAGTGCTCTACGGCACACAGGACTGCCCCCTACAGCACTGAATTGCTGAGCCCCAAATGTCAGTAGCATGGACATGCAGAAACTCTGACCTCAGCCGTGACACTGCCACCCTCCAGACCAGGTGGCCTCCTCTTCCACACGTTTCCACAGCCCTTCTCACACCTGCAGGGATTTACTTGCTAGTAATGACTTCTTCAGGATCCAGGTTCCCCTCCACACTGTGAACTCCATGGTTCATTTGCCACCAAATTCCCAGTGCTCAGGCAAATGGCTGGCAAATACTAAACATCTGCTCTACATTGAGCCTGGGATTTCTGATATATCTGTGTGGACTTTTAAAAACTCTCAAAGATGTGTGATAGAGAAGCAGTATGAGAAAGTGTGACATTTACATGCTACAAATTTACATTGCATATAAAATGCATTATTGCATTGAGCTTAGGAAATGAGAGCAACCAGAAAACCTGAAGCCCAGCATCCAGGCTTCAAGTCCTGGCTGACGCTAATTTTTCATTGTCCTTGAAGCTAATCAAGCCTGTGGAAACAGCATCACCAAATTGACTAAACGAGATTTTCAATTAACTCAAACAGATGGCTGAAATTTTCCAGGTGACTTTCCATATTAATTCAGTGAGTTTGCTGGACCAGGCCCCAGGAGGCTTGGCAGGGATGGGGGCTGAAAGGAAAACAATAAAATATATGGAACTTTAGGAGAAAAGCCAAAGCAATCATCTGAACTTTTTTTTTTAAATCTCAGCAAAAATATCACCAGCCAAATCAATTCAACTCTCCAAACCAGCGCACACCTTGGGCTGATACCCCAGTGACCAGTTGTCCCTGGGACCAGCTGCTGGGGGCCAGGTTCATTAAACCTCTAGAGCCACAGGCCCTCCTATGTTGGGGAGAAGACCCATGCAGGGCTGAGAGGGGCAGGCAGTGCCTCACGCTTCCTAGAGCACTGGGCTTCTGGGCTTCATCCATCCACTTGGGGATCTTACAACATTATAAGTTTCACTGAAGAAAGATGAGGGGAAGGAATCGCAGTAGAATTCTGCAGAGGCCTCGGGCTTCTGTGCAGGAGCTCAGGGTGTGGGGCAAAGGTGGCACTGGAGCCACTGCAGGAGACCAGCACATCATTCAGAGAGGTCCAGAGTCACCAGGTGCTGGAGCATCCATCCCCGAGCTAGACCTGAGGCCTCGATTCCTGCCCTTTCCAGAAGCTGCCAGAAGCTACTAGTAATATGGAGCTTTGAATGGAATAATAAAGGCCCAGGCTGGAGGTATAGCAAAATATGGGTTGGGTCTTTGCTGAGCCTCAGAATGAGTTATTCTTAGTTTAAATAGTGCCATTCATGAAATTTCAGAATCTATACTTGGGTGGGTCCTGGCACCCCTAAAATCCCCTCCTCTTTTTGAGTCTCTCATCAATATCCTTAACAGAGAGAAGGCTGATGATGTTATAGCTGGACTCTGGAAGTATAATCATTCCCCACGCTGCTTGAATTTGGGGAAAATACTAAACTGATATTCAGATCACTACATTCGATCCTAAATCAGTTGTTTTGATTTAGAAAAAAGCGACCACAATCAGATGCTAATAATAATAACTCAATAACATTGTTAATACCTTCCACAGGGTTGCGACCTTACCAACTGGGAGATGTGGCTTTATTAGAATAGAATTTGCCACTGGCAAATTGCTCCATGCTCTAAAAAATGCTCTAAATACAGAGCACCATTTATGGAAGGTCAGACTCCATGGATTGTCTTGGGAAGACCGCATCATTTCCTCTGGTGTCCCCCTGAGGCAGGCCTGGGGCCCAGCCATGCCCCTCCCAGAGGAGCCCAGCTCTCAGGAGGATAACCTGCATCTGACCTAAGGTAAAAAATAATAGTACTTGGTGAATGGTATTCTTTTCCTAGAAAATGGAATCATAAAGCAGTGAGGAAATCTTTAGGAAAGGTACCTTTTTCTTGGATGTTTAAACTTGTTGTAAGATAAATCTGATCCAGAAGAGACCATGCACATTGAACATTCATCTTAGTTTTTTTTTTTTTTTGGTAACATAATAGAAGGAAGCAAACCTCATCCGTGGATCATCAGGCGGCATCATCTCCAGATCATGGGTGGGTCCATTTAAGCCAATAACGTGTAGGGAAATGCTGGGGTTCTCACTTCCAGCCTGGGGATTAAAAAGGGGCAGAGACATGAACAAGCAGCCTTATACAAGAGTGAACTTCAGCTCTGCAAAGCCTTTCCTGGGAGATTCCGAGGTGGGACTCCAGGACACTGGAGCTCCATATTAAGGAGCAGAATTAATGTGGAGAACAAATGGTTCATGTGTAGGGTTTCAAAAGGACAAAGGGCTAAGTGGGCTGATTCTTGCTTTTCTAGAATCCCATCCGCTTCCCATTCCACCCAACTCCCCGGTTTGGCAATGTCAAGTGAGTACTGAGCCCCTTGCTTAAAAGAGAAGACGAGAAGAGGAGTGGGGGAGAAAAGATGGATTGGATGCCAGGAAGGGGAGAGTTGGAGGTGAGCAAATGATGGACATTGAGGAGCGGTGGCCATGCTCAGCATGGGGAGAGATTAAGTCCTTCAAAAAGGAACTGGGGCACTATTCTGCTTCCCTGTTCCCCACTCTCTGGGGGACAAGTATGGGTCTGGGGAGAGATGTGGGGCTTCCTCTTTAGGGGGACTTCGGGGTGTTGTCTGATGTTCTCACTTCCACCCTGCAGAAGATGTTCAGGTTTACAGAGGCTATCAGGCCCACGACAGGGCATGTCAGGCAGGCTTGCCTATTCATGCCTCTGATTTAGGAGTGGGTGGGAATGGGGCAAGGAGCATCTGAATTCTGTCAGCCAGAATGTTGGTTTTCTATTAAAATATGAAACCCCAAATCTTGAGTAATCTGGGATTTCATAATCCCAGCTTCAGAGCACCTTCTGAGAGTTCACTGTAAAATCAAGGGCACCCTACTGGATTCCAGGTTATCACTCCTAGACTGGGGAAACTCCCACAAAAAGATAACCATGGGAACCATTCATCTCTGGGTTGGATGAAGGTCAGACAGCCACCAGCTCTTCTGGCGGGTGGGGTGGCTGTGAACAGCTGGTAAGAAATGTAGAAGGGTTAGAAGGAACTAGCATCAGTCCCATACACTTTTCTCTATTTAATTATGCTTCCAACTAAAATGCTGGACCCTTCCACATGCTACAGACTAAGACCAATCAAGGTTAGCTGAAAAAGGAGTGAAATAATTCTGTCGAAGGCAAATCCATGCCATGTTAACATCCAGATGCTCTCAGAATTGGAAAAGGCAGAAAGGAAGGCTGTGGCCATAAGGGTCTCATTCTTCTTCCTTCTGGGGCTCTCTTAGATGTTGGCCATGCTGATCAAAGGCTGTTGAAAGGAGCCTGTATTACCAGGTGTATGGATGGAACAAGTTCCTCAATTCATACGGTGCAGCCCTAACCCCCAGTGTGATGCTATTTGGAAGTAAGACCTTTGGGAGGTGATTGAGGTTAGACAAGGTCATGAGGGTGGCACCCTTGTGATGAGATCCATGTCCACAAAAGGAGAGGAAGAGACACCAGAGCCCTCTCTTGCCCCTTCATGTGAAGACATGGCGAGAAGGCGGCTGTCTGCAAGCCAGGAAGAGAGCCCTCACCAGGAACCAAATCAGCCGGAACCCTAATCTTGGACTTCCAGCTGCCAAAACTGTGAGAAAGAAATTCCTGCTGTTTAAGCTGCCTAGGTCTGTGTTATTTCATTGTGGCAGCTGGAACTGACTAAGACACCAGGTGTTTCCTTTCTCTAGGCTGTGACTCTGGGAACCTCACTGGCCTCATATATCTGCCTTATAAGTTATCACTCCTCTTGCTGCAAACTGTAAGCCAGCTGGTCTGTGGGGATGATTATGGCAGAGCAGGCACATACCATCAGCTTTCAGAGCTCTCTGGTGGGCTAGGATGCTGAGGTTTAAATGCCCCCTGGCAGAGGCAGCTCATGGCAGGAAGTGAGCCTCCAGTCACCAGGCAGGGTGCAGGCAGGAAACTGCTCACCTCCACCAAGCCCAGGGGTCTTGGAGAAGCCTAGTGAAGCCAGAAGCCAGCATGGCAGACTCTATGTGTCCATGGGAGCTGTGTCCATACTCGGGCACTGGCTTCTCTCCAGCTGAGTGGCTGTGGAGGTTTTAGTATCAGGCCCTCCACTCACACTGGGATGCTTTGATTTGGTAATAAAGTGAGATTTGGATATCCCTGTTCCCCCCAATATTCCCTCCCAGCCACTGGACACTTGCTGTTCTACTGGCTCATTGGGTCAGAACATGACTGTCTTGGCCCCTCTAGGCTGCTGTAACAAAACACCATAAACTGACTGGCTCACAAACAATAGCAATGTATCTCTCACAGCTCTGGGGACTGGAAGTCCAAGATCAAGGTGCTGGCTGATTCAGTATCTGGCGAGGGCCCAATTTCTGGTTCACAGAGGACGCTTTCTTGCTGTATGGTCACATGGTGGAATCAGAGAGGGGTCTCTCTGGGGTCTCTTTTATAAGGTGATATGGTTTGACTGTGTCCCCACCCAAATCTCATCTTGAATTCCCAAGATGAGGGAGGGACCTGGTGGGAGGTAATTGAATCATGGGAGCAGGTCTTTCCCATGCTGTTCTCCTGATAGTGAATAAGTCTCACAAGATCTGATGGTTTTAAAAAGGTGAGTTTCCCGGCACAAACTCTCTCCTCTTGTCTGCCGCCATGTAAGACGTGCCTTTCACCTTCTGACATGATCGTGAGGCCTCCCCAGCCACGTGGAACTGTAAGTCCAATAAATCTTTCTTTTCTCAATTGCTGAGTCTTGGGTATGTCTTAATCAGCAGCATGAAAATAGACAAATACATAAGGGCACTAATCCCAATCATGAAGGCTCTGCCCTCCATGTCTTGTCACCTCCCAGTGATCTCCCTCCTAATACCATCACCTTGGGGGTTAGGATTTTAATGTATGAATTTGGCAAGGACACAAACATTTAGCCCGTAGCAGTGACCATGAACAAAACAGCCTTGCCCAGACCCAGGGGACCAGGGGCAGATGGAAGTCTTTCTGCCTTCCCAGAGGCCAAACTCAAAGTAGAAATAAGATGCGTGAGAGAGGGCAGGTGCACCTTCATCACTGGGGAGTGGTGAGGGGAGGTACCCTGTGTGTTTTGGTTCAGTGAAGCTGAGTCAGGTGATGAACATTAGTTCGGTTACCTAAAAGAAGTAAACCTGCCAATGACTCAGCTCAACAGAGGCGGGAATGTAATGCAATGTAATGAGACATGATTAGTCTTTCTTGTGTTAACTGCTTTGCTCATACACATGTCTGATGATCACGTCTGCACACTGAGTGAGCAGGGTTGGGGTGTTCATGAATAATATAAAGAATTTGCTGTGCGGTGTCCCTTTGCCTACCTTGGGATAGTGGTAGGGCTTCACGGTGGGGTAGATGGAGCCGGTGTAAGTTGGGAGCTCCATGATGGGGACACGGGAATCATTGATGGCGGCGTAGGCGAGTCTCGTGCCATCCGGAGACCACCAGTGTGCGATGTGTGTCTTCAAAATCTCCTCTAAGGGAAAACAGAGTAGAGAAATGTGAATAGTAACAAGTGAGTGGAAATTGGAGCTGCACCAGCAGGAACATGAGGTGGCCAGGAAAGAAACGAGTCCCTGCAGAGCCCCTTATCTGCTACAACCTTTGAGGAACCTTCACTGTGTTCTGCACATGCTTCCATTCCATGGGGGCTCAAGAAATGTCTGATGCTGATGACTAAGTCCAGCACAGGAAAACCCCATTAACCAAAGCTCAATCAAACAGATGCTAATCGTCTGGAAACACTTTTTTTTTCTTTGCACACATTTGAGCACTATGAGCCCAACACGTCCTTTTGAGTTGAACTATGATTGTACTATTGTTGATTATTACTTAATATGATTTGAAAAACAGCACTGGAGAAAGTAAATTCACATGGAAGCGTGTCCCATGCAGACGGAACCAAATGAGAAAGTGAACTCTGGCAGAGGCTGAGTCGCCCAAAAGCAGACCAGGGATTTACGCACACACAGAGCTCCCTCCTCAGATAATGAGTCCAAAGGCCCAGCATGCTCCTTGCAGCACACAAAGGGTGCAAGCTCACTCTGTGTGGCTTCTTACAAGAAGGGTACAAGCTCACTATGCATGGCAGAAAACCAAAATGGATCCATCTTCAGAAGGACTGAAATGAAAGACTGATTCTTTTGGGCTTCAACCAGAAACACCCATTATTCCTTCCTAGCCCATCAGTGTCCTGGTTAGTGTTTTAACGACAGATGAGTTTTGTAGGGTGTGATATCTATTCTAGAGGGGAAATTTCTACAGCGTTTTTTTCAACACGTTGGGAGAATACACTTCCCAAGGGTAACCAGTCAGAGAACCCATTTCATTGTGAACAGCTCTTAGGTCAAGGGGTTCTGTCTTGTACTGGGTCTATATATAGTGTAAACTAATTCCCTCTAGATTTGCTTCTAAAATAATGATTAATATAATTCATGAGTCCCATTCAACTCGCTATTATTAGGTGCGTACCATAAATCTGCTCTATGTACCTGTAGTGTAGAAAGGTGATTAAGAAGCCTGAAAACACATTGCAAAAACAAAACGAGGGCATCAAATGCAACAGAACAATGTAAATTGGAAGGAAGCCAAGGGCTGACTGCCCACAGGAGGGCACAGTCCCAGACAGGGAAGAAGCAGCCCACATCAACAGCCTCCCAGGTTCTGCGGGAGGCACCAGGAGGAGACCAGCTGGCCGGGAGGAGGGTTCATGAAGGGGGGCTTAGCGCCAGGTCAGTGTCATCCATGGTGGCATTTCACAGCCAAGCCCAGAGGCCTGCAGCAGGCACGCTGCCCATGATCCTCCTGGGGTGGGAGCAGGAGCCAGGCTCTAAGGGCAGTGGGGCTGAGGGTGTGATGTGCCTGCATGCCCTGCCCCTCCCTGCCCAGATGTCTGTGGCATCTGGCATGGCACTGATGGGGATGCTGCAGCTCATTGAGCCTCGCTCCCCTGTCACGTGAGTCTTCCTCATCTTGCCTTGGTCAGACTCCCCAGCAGACAGCCCCCCACCGAAGGCAATGCCGAGTCTGCTGCAGACTCCTGAACATCTCAGTAGAGTCTCCTGAAATACAAACCCTGTGGCGGGTTTGACCTCCTGTACTCTGGTGCATCCCGGAGTATGGAGAGCAGTGCTCAGGGAAAAATGAATTCAGGAGCCCTGGTGCACTGGACTTGAGCCCCAGTCCTGCTGTGTGTTCTTGAGTCCCGATCTGCAAAGCTAGGGGCACAACAGCCGCCTCTAGCATCCCCTTCCCCTCTGCGTCTGTCTCACAGCCTCAGAAGCTTTGGCAGTGCCAATAGAAGCTCAGAGGCCTGTGGAGGTCAGTGAGGAGAAGACAAAGGAAGGAAGCCAGACCTCCAGGGTCTGTAATTTTCCAGTCGCTTTGGCAGCCAGGAGGTGGACGTTCAGGTGCGAGTTTGGGATGAGGTGACTCAGAAGTGACTTTATGCAGAGTCACCAGATCTGCCCAGGCTGCTCGCTTGGAATGGTGAGTAATTGACTCCAGCAGATGGTCTGCTGGAAAAAATAGGCACCATTTGCAATGCAATTTGTGGGTGATTGTGCTCAATCACGTCTGCGCTGCAGGGCCACAAGAAAGGGGCCAATGGGGCTGGAGTAGAGTCCCTGGGAGTGAGCAGAATTCACAGGGCAGAGCGAGAAGGTGCAGAGCCCACAGAAATCAGCAGAGGAGCCCTGCAGTGGTTTCCACGGGACATTAATTCACAGCCGACTCGGGAAAATCCAAAACAGAAAAACGGCTGGCTGCAACAAGAGCTTTAAAAATGAAGCAGCTTTGGACAGAAACAAACAAACAACAATAACAACAAAACCCCCGAAGAGACAACTCATTTCTTTCTTTCCTTTGAACCCAAAGCAATCTTTTCTGAGACCAGAGGGATGATAAATCATCGGCCACGTGCAACATCAGGCCACTTTCATTCCTACCCCGTAGGTTCCACAAGAGGCCACTAGGCAAGGGGGGGCAAGGGTCACCCCTCATTTCCACCCAGGGTTGTTTGTATCTCATTTCTAGACTCGCTCTCTGACCTAAAGGAAATGCTGCTGCTTGGTTCTGACCAGCACAGTCCAAAGTGGGTCATGCTTGTTGGGACAAGAGACTGAAAAAAATGTGGGTGAAGGCTGGCCACAAGGCTGGGCTGAGAATACTCTATTTCCATCGATCTTATCAGCAAATGCCAGAGTGTTTCCATGAAGCTCAATTCACTCTTCAGAGAACTGGGAGGTAGAACAAAACCATCACTACAGGTTACCAAATGTAACGGTTAGAAGGAAACTTAGAGACACGCCTTTAATCTCAGCACTTTGGGAGGCTGAGGTGGGTGGATCACTTGAGGTCAGGAGTTCGAGACCATTCTGGTCAACACGGTGAAACCCTGTCTGTACTAAAAATACAAAAATTAGCTGGGCGCACACCTGTAATCCCAGCTACTCGGGAGGCTGAGGCAGGAGAATCATTACTTGAACCTGGGAGGTTGCGGTGAGCCGAGATCTTGCCACCGTACTCCAGCCTGGGTGACAGAGTGAGACTAGGTCTCAAAAAAATAAAATAAAATAAAAGAAGGGAACTTAGCGACCATTGGGTCATCGGGTTCAGGGATGACAGGTATCTGGTGTGTGTGATGGCAGAGGGTAGTTCCTCTGAATGTCATTCCACATCGAGACAGTGGCACATGCGAAGAACCTGTGCCACGCCAAAATGCCAGCCGTACAAAACTAGGGCAGCTTTAGTTTATTTTCCCTAGGTGTCCTTGAACACATCGCTCCTTGCCATTTTTATTTTCCTGTACGTTAGTTGCTCATTAATGTGATAATGAAGTATAAGAAACTAAGGGGTAAAAAAGTGCTGGGCAGAAGAAACCTTGACATTTTAGCATTAATTCCAAATGTCCCTATTCTGCAAACATTTTTCTGCAGGATTCCAGCTTAATGAGGCAGTTGGCTTAAATGCCATGCACCAAATGCAGTTTAGAAGCAGAGTTTTGCAGAAGAAAACCTATTTCATCAACGAAATTAATTGCATGGACGCCTGCCTTGGAACAAAATGAATCACTTGGCTTTCTGAGCAAGTATAATTAACTTGGGAAAACTAGAGAATACATCTTTTCTTCACCTTCCCTGTCCTGCTGGGGGGCTATTTTAGCATCAGAAAAGAAAGATACATCCGGGGACAGTCGGTGTTCAATGGCTGCTTCTCTCTTGAAGATGGCAAAAGTTGTATCCAGAGCTTCAGCCCCAGGTAGGATCTGGGCTGGGTATTTTTCATTTTTTGTCACTATACCTTGAAGAAGCCAGTGCCATTATCTGGAGTGTTATTCATTCCTGCCAAGCAGCATTAAGGTCATATCCAGTAGGAGAAAAATCCCTTTGTGCTCAAGGTAATAAAGGCCAATGCAACAATGAAGAGGAATCTTCACATTTTCCAGGTTGTTTGACAGATGAAGAGGTGACCACCACTATTATTTCCTATTTGCCTAGTGAGGTTTAGGTAGGTTTGCAGGGGACTCCATTGGACTGTTGTGCGCATGTGTGTGCTGCTTATACAGATGCTGAGGCTGCACTTCAGGCAGGAGAACTGGTATTTGGTGGGGGCAGTGAGGAGGATACAGGCTCCTTTTCTGCAAAACCTCTTCAGGTGAGTTTGGTGCACATTCTGGTTAACAATGACTAGCTAGAAGAGAGGAAATCCTGGCATTTGCAACATAGTAGATAAACCTGGAGGACTTGTGCTAAGTGAAATAAACCAGAAACAGAAAGACGAATGCCGAATGATCTCATTCATATGTGTGCTGTGGTTTGGAAGTGGTTTGTTTGTCCCCACTAAAGCTCATGTTGAAATCTAATTCCCAATGTGGAGGTGTTGGGAGGTGGGGACTAGTGGGAGGTGTCTGGGTTATGGGGGTGGATCTCTCATGAATGGTTTGGTGCTGCTTTCTTAGGAGTGAGTTCTCTCTCTGGAGAGAATGTGATGCACCTACAAGCTTATATTAAGTGCCCCTTTACAACTGAGGAATTGGAGGTTCAGGGAAATTAACCTTATTGAACAAAGACTGAGTACTCAGTACACACAATTCCCTAGGGTATAGTAAAGTAGAGACAAAGCTTGGAAGTTTGTAATACAGTAAACAGAAGGAGAACTGCAACTTGCAACTCGGGGAAAGTGGGCAAGGTAGAAACCAGAAAGAACTATGGGGTCTGGGAATACAGAGAGGCCTCTTTCTTATTGGAGGAAATTAGAGAAGCCTCTTGTGGAAGGTGGAATGGCAGAACCTGCTCATTGTCCTCCAACACCCACACTCCCTTCTCTTTTTAGTAAAAGAACCAATGGCTTGTAGGTGGGCACACGGCCTCCCAGGATAAAGACCTTTCCCAGACTCCCCAGATGTGAGGTTGGGTGTGTGCTGAGTTCCTGCTGCTGGGTTGAGAAAAGGTGATGAGTGACACCTGTCTTCCGCCTTTAAGGAGAAAGGGTATGACCACCGCCTCTCTTTCCCACTTCTTGCTGGCTGGAGTGGAGATCTCATTGGCCACGCAGGTTACAGTAACACTTTCATGGACCTAACAGGTCAAGAATAAGGTGAATTCTTGAGGTCCTTAGTATAACATCAGATGAAGCTCCTCTAGCAAATCCACCGAGCGAGAGTGGTCAATTCCATTCACAAGATGAAGACAGAGCTGCCCAACAGGTGCCATTTTAGCTTCTACAAAGGACCCAAGCCCGGGAAAGGACAGCTCTCCCCTCTGTATCCCAGCAATGCTTTAACAAGGAAGAGAGACTCTGCTTCCAAATGACATCCAAGGCCTAAGATGCAGTGCCCAGGGCATAGAGGTGAAGAGCGCCCACAGAGCTCAGGTGTGGTGCAGATGGAGGTGGGGCATCCAAATCCACAGGTCTGTGCAAGGTGAGTGCACAGCAGAAAGGGCACAGGGGTGTGGGTAGAGAGGGCACCAAGAGGAGTTCTAGAAAGTACAAAAAGGGAGGCCGGGAGTGAGGCAGACTTAAAGTCTCCTTGGCAGTTGTATCTAGGGGGCTCCCCACACCCTCCTGCCGCACCTGCCAATGAAGTCCAGCTAAAGAGAAATCCAAAGCCAGCTTAGGGAGCACAGACGTGAGGCTGAAGGGAAATAGGAGGCTTTAGGGTTCTCTGGGGAAATTGAACTTGCTGCTGTTTCTCTAAGAGTTCTTCTCACATGCGCTCCTGCAGAATAGGCTCTTTAGGACCTCACTGGCCTTGTTTTTCTGGGTGAGGAAAGGCCAAGGTGGGAGGCTAGGATGCATTTTTATTAGGAGCACGCAGGCTGCTGATGGAGGCTGTGGAATCCACAGCTAAACCCTCGCATCTATATCTCATCATATGGACAAGCGAACTGTGCCTAGCTCAGGGGTAGGAAGAGGGTGAGGAGACATATTTATTTCATCTCTCTCTCTTCCCTCGGCAGCAAGCCATTTTTCTTTTCTTTCTTTCCTTTCTTTTCTCCCTTTCCCTTTCTTTCTTTCTCTCTCTCTCTCTCTCTCTCCTTCCTTCCTTCCTTCCTTTTTTTGAGATGGAGTCTCGATCTATCATCCAGGCTGGAGTGCAGTGGCACAATCTCGGCTCACTGCAACCTCTGCCTCCCAGGTTCAAGTGATTCTCCTGCCTCAGCCTTCTGAGTAGCTAGGATTACAGGCACCCGCCACCACACCCAGCTAATTTCTGTATTTTTAGTAGAGACGGGGTTTCACCATGTTGGCCAGGCTGGTCTCAAACTCCTGACCTCGGGTGATCCACCCGCCTGGGCCTCCCAAAGTGCTGGGATTACAGGCGTGAGCCACCGCACCCAGCTGGCAGCAGAGCCATTTCTAAATGGCCAGAAGTCAAAGGCAGCCACGATGTGGAACTAGCACGACTAAGATTTCTCCTTCTCTTGCTGTTAAAGCAGTCCCCTGCCACTTCCACACTTTGGTGATTTTCTTAGTACTTGCTGTTTCATTGCACCATCGGAGGCAGGTTGGACACATTGGGAGCCTCCTGTTGCCTGGATTTTCTTTTAGGAACTCGGTATCCCAGAATTCAAAACTTGTGTTTTCTTTAAGACAGAATGTAAAGTTATAAACTCCCTCCAAAAGCAGAACATAAAATGTTCCTGAGTTTTTATCTGCAGGAGAGATGGCGGAGCCCTTGCTTGAAGCAGGAGGATCACAGGAAGCCTTCTCTTTTCTACAGGTTCTAAGCTTCCGGGTCTACTGAGCCCTGCCGGTTACTATTTTGTGGTCTTTCCCAAGGCCAGTGTTGTGCAGAGGCTCAGTGGAAGCAAGGCCATCGGGTCCAATGCCATGCTCAGTCTGCGAATTCAACTACTGCGGAAGGCCGTGGGGCACACAGCTGCCTGGAGTAGGCATGGAACATCAGAAGCCTCTTCCCAAGATGCCTCCATGGATACTTCTTGCCATTATTTGTGGTTAGGGGTTATTCATGCCCTTTCTCTATGAAGTCACTGATGTCTCAGTATAATTTACTTCACAGAGACTGACGCCTTGGTGAGTGTGGCACACTGTATTTTCCAAAACTAGCCTCAGTGCTACTTCCAGGGCGTGAGACTCCCCAAAGAAGAGGTGATTCTTTGCTCCTTGAACCAGGGCAGTGTTTTGAATGAAGAGAATGTGGCAGAAAGTGATGGCTTGTGAGACTAGGTCATAAAGGGTGTGTTATAGTTCAGATGTGTGTCCCTGTCTGAATCTCATGTTGAATTGTCATTCTGATACTAGAGTCGGGGCCAGGTGGGAGCCACTGAATCATGGGGTTGGATTTCTCACAAATGGTTTAGCACCATCTACTCCGTGCTGTCCTCATGATAGTGAGCGGCTTCTCATGAGATCTGACTGTTTGGGACATGGATGAAGCTGGAAACCATCATTCTGAGCAAACTATCGCAAGGACAGAAAACCAAACACTGCATGTTCTCACTCATAGGTGGGAATTGAACAATGAGGACACTTGGACACAGGGTGGGGAACATCACACACCAGGGCCTGTCATGGGGTGGGGGAAGGGGATGACAGCATTAGGAGATATACCTAATGTAAATGACGAGTTAATGGGTGCAGCACACCAACATGGCACATGTATACCTATGTAACAAACCCTAGAACTTAAAGTATAATAAAAAATAAAAATAAAATAAAACCTTGAAAAAAAAAAGTGTGGTGCCTCCCTCACCCCTACTCACTCCCTCTCACTCCTGCTCCCACCACGTGATGCACCTGCTCCCCATTGGCCTTCTGCCGTGACTGGAAGCTTCCTGAGGCCTCTCCAGAAGCAGATGCCTCTATGCTTCCTGCACAGTCTGCAGAACTGGGAGCCAATTAAACCTCTTTTCTTTCTAAATTACCCAGTCTCGGGGATTTCTTTATCGCAATGCAAGAACGGCCTCACACAGGGTGGTATGGCTTTCCCCTGGCTCTCTCTTGCTTGGGTCACTCACTCTGAACACCACCTTCTATGTGGTGAGCAAGCCCTGGTCAGATGGAGAGGCCACATTTGGTGTCCTGGCTGACACAGAGCAGGCCTCATCTAGCAGCCAGCGTCAGCCATGGACGCGTGAGTGAGCAAGACCTGCCCCTAGACTGTTCAGTCCCTTCTGGTCACCCCAGTTGGTGCAGAGCAGAGGAGGAAAGAGCTATGCCCAGTTTATAGACTTGCAGTTTTATGCCATTGTATTTTAGATCGCTGAGCTCAAATTTAGTTTCAAAAAAGTTTTGAGCTGGGTGCGGTGGCTCACACCTATAATCTCAGCACTTCGGGAGGCCAAGGTGGGTGGATCACTTAAGGTCAAGAGTTTGAGACCAGCCTGGTCAACATGGTGAAACCCTGTCTCTACTAAAAATACAAAAATTAGCCGGGCATGGTGGCAGGCGCCTGTAGTCCCAGCTATCCGGGAGGCTGAGGCAGGAGAATCGCTTGAACCAGGGAAGCGGAGGTTGCAGTGAGTCGAGATTGCACCATTGCACTCAAGCCTGGGCGACACAGCAAGACTGTCTCAAAAAAAAAAAAACAAAAGTTTTGAAAGAGGAAGGCTGAGCCAGTATGCCAGGCTCCTTTACCCTTCTTTTTGTTTTGTCTTCTCTCTTTCCTCTTCATTTGTGTTGTGGGCACCTGAGGGAGCTTCCAGAACTTCTGGGCCTGATGTCTTCTGCTCACCTGCCTCACGCTCAAACAGGTCCCAGTGTGGCAAGGATGTTCTCGTTTCTCACTCATTTGTTAATCGACTGGGTCATCCACCCACTCAGTTGCTCAAGAGACAAGAAATAAGCAAGCATCCTAATAATGAAACAATGCCTCAAAGAGTTAAAGAAACGAATGGCTAACAGAAGTTCTTGAGCTCGCAGAATGGCAGACAAGAATAGAAACAACCTGCTGAAACACTGACGCTCCCTCCGCCCCGAGATAAGAGAACTGGCTGAAGTCTGTCAGAACCAAGTTGGTCAACTGGGGTCTGTGCAGAATGAGCTTGCTGATGTCATGGACTGAATTTCCTCCACCCCACCCCCCTGAATTTGCACACACAGCCCATGAGTAATCGTGAAGAAATAATTGTGTGTGCTGAAGGACTTTCCAAACCTCCCCGTTCCTTCCACCAATCACCTGCTAATCCCAGAATCCGCCTGCTGAATCCTTTTCCTTTAAAAATAAAATTACTGCCTTGAAGCCAGCACAGGGAGGCAGAGTTGAGCTGGATGCCTGTCTCCTTGGGAATAGACTTTTTTTTGTTTTGAGACAGAATCTCGCTCTGTCACCTAGGCTGGAGTGCAATGGCATGATTTCTGCTCACTGCAACCTCTGCCTGCTGGGTTCAAGTGATTCTTCTGCCTCGGCCTCCCGAGTAGCTGGGACTACAGGTGTGCACCACCATGCCCAGCTAATTTTTTATATTTTTAGTAGAGATGGGGTTTCACCATATTGGCCTGGATGGTCTTGAACTCCTGACCTCGTGATCCGCCCTCCTTGGCCTCCCAAGGCCATGAGCCACCACGCCCAGCTGGGAATAGACTTTTAATATAAAGCTTTTCTTTTCTGAAAATCCTGGTGTCACCGTATTGGCATCTAGTGCACAGGCAGCGAGCCCCTTCTGCAACCCCATGGATTGGAGACACGCTATCTGGCTGGACACAGAGAGGGGCCTTACAGGGAATTGGAGGAACAGAATGGATGTCTTCTGGCCTGCGCACTGTGGAACAATGCTGGAGGTTTGAATTCAAGCTTATTTTTGAAGTAGGGGGTCCCATCTTGGGCCTCCCCTGGAATTCAGACAAGAGCTAAAGGCTGTGCTAAGAGCCGGATTTGCATAAGGCTCAGGGAGAGGGAAGCGGAAGGAAAGACCGCACAGTGGCCTCTGCCTGGCCTCGAGAGTCCAGCCCGTGGGTGGTCCCCTTCCGTCCTATTGCCGCTGCCCCTTGTGCTTTAGGCACAAGAGACAGGCTGCTCCTGGGAGAACGTCCCCGTGCTCTTGAGTTGTGTGATTGAGAAGCCTCACTGCTCACCCTCCTTCTCCCTTCCCTACTGTTAATTGCCTGCTGATGTGAAGGAGGCATTTAAAGTACAAGTGGCTCCTCTTCGGGGAGGATAATCAAGTGACAAGCAAACATGTGAAGACTGGGGAAGCAGTGAGCCGGAGTGCACACTTCTGGAGAGTCTGCGGGAAATTGCTGTGGAATGGGAGCATCCCTGCGGGGTGGTGGCGAGGGGTGAATTCGCACCAGGGGGCTGGAGAAGCTGGGTCTCAGAGCTTCTCCCCTTCATGGGCCTTTGCTTCCATTCACAATCTTCTGTCCTTTTTCTAAAGAGGATCCCCCAAATTTCATAGACTCTAGGCCCCTCAAAATTGGGATCTGCCCTAGTAAAGAGAAGAGCAACTTTGAGAGGAAAATCCATAGACAAACGCCTGGGTCCCACCTGCTGCTTATAGAGGCTGCGTGCTCTCACGGGAAGGACGCAAACAGGCGGTGGGACCCAGGCTCCAGCTCTGGTCCCACCTCTCTGGGCTGCCTTTCTTCTACTGTAAAATGAGGGGTTGGCTTAGGTCACTTGTTTTTCAAACTCTGTGAATATAAGCATCCCTTCTTACAAACAAAACAAAACAAACAAACAAACAAACAAAAACCTGCAGTTATCAGTTTAATTCAGTTCTAAACATTCAATGTCTTTTTTAAAATAATCTGTATTTTGGCCAGGTGCAGTGGCTCACACCTGTAATCTCAGCACTTTGGGAGGCTGAGGAGAGCAGATCACTTAAGGTCAGGAGTTTGAGACCAGCCTGGTCAACATGGTGAAACCCCGTCTCTACTAAAAATACAAAAATTAGCTGGACGTGGCGGTGCATGCCTGTAATCCCAGCTACTCAGGAGGCTGAGGCAGGAGAATCGCTTGAACCTGGGAGGTGAAGATTTCAGTGAGTCGAGATTGAGCCACTGCACTCCAGCCTGGGCAACAGAGCGAGACTCTGTCTCAAAAAAAAAAAAAAAATCTGTATTTCCTTCATCAC
The DNA here is from genome assembly GCF_000001405.40 of Homo sapiens. NCBI lineage: Eukaryota > Metazoa > Chordata > Mammalia > Primates > Hominidae > Homo > Homo sapiens. The sequence goes on along the minus strand of NC_000007.14, from coordinate 154,758,354 downwards.
AGTCTGAAAAGATTTCAATGTAATGGGACATACAAGGCATGTGGTCCTACACAGAACCAGGTGTGGCCATGAACTTGCGGGCCTTCTGAGGCAGCTCCACGGCCTGTTTCCCGGCCCTGACTGACACACCGACTCAGCCTTGTTAGAGAGATTCTAGAATGTCTGCCACCTGACAGAACTCCATGCTGTTTCCTAAGCTCTTCAAAGTAACTGCCAACTACAGTTCCCAGGACAGGGCACAGGCAAGAACATGTCTGCAAGAGGCAGTGTTTGCCCACCTGAAGGGGGAGTGGATTCAGTGAAGACGGAAGGTGCGTGTGCCCAAAAGGCAGAGCTGCCAGGAGGCCGTGCGTGGCGGGAGAGGGCGGCGGGGAGAGGGCGGGGGGGAGAGCGCGGCACTTGGTTGGGGCCACTCAGGCACCCCCTCCTTGGGCTGGCCTCCGACCTCCCTGAGCCACTTCCTGGTCTGCACCCCTTCTTCCTCACAGAGCTGAGGTGACCAGCAGATGACACTTGGGCCCTCTGCCAACCTGTGAAGGCCTGAACACCCCTGTGGTAACAGGGATTATCCTGAACTCTTGTTGAACGTGCCCCTCCCGTGTGCCGGAGATTTTCCATCCTAGTGCCTGCGCTCACCACGACTATGCCAGTGCTGTGAGGCAGACTCTCCAGAGGATAGATAAGAGGCCAGGACACTGTCTTCAGCCATGAGGATCTCCCCAGCTAGGGAGGAAACATCTTACCGTGGATCAGGAAGCAGAAATCTGAGCAAAAATGGCTGTCATCCCACGCCCTCAGTGCAGACAGGCACCGTACGAAGGCCCTCTTATTGCAAAATGACTTGTGTAAAAATCATTCAAGACCAAGAGAAATCAATGACTATTGATCCCATCTTGGTTCTGCATTGTCTCCAAGTGAGGCAGGAGGGCTGCAGTGGGGGAGGAGAGGGAACTTTTCAGTGCACTGAACACCCACTGGGCAGTGGGCATCAGCTGGTGCATTTGCAGACACTTGCAGGGCCTCGCAGGGAGGGACCTGCACACCCATTGGAAAGGAGAAGAGGCTGGCCAGTTCCTCAGAGGATGTGAGGGATGGAGAAGGGGCTGCCCAGTTCCTCAGGGGATGTGAGGGATGGAGAAGGGGCTGCCCAGTTCCTCAGGGAACGTGAGGGATGGAGAAGGGGCTGGCAAGTTCCTCAGGGTACGTGAGGGATGGAGAAGGGGCTGGCCTGTTCCTCAGGAGACCTGAGGGATGGAGAAAGGGCTGGCCAGTTCTTCAGGGGCCGTGAGGGATGGAAAGAGGCTGGCCTGTTCCTCAGGGGCCGTGAAAGATGAAGAAGGGGCTGGCCTGTTCCTCAGGGGCCGTGAGGGATGGAGAAGGGGCTGGCTTGTTCCTCAGCAGATATAAAGGATGGAGAAGGGGCTGGCCTGTTCTTCAGGGGATGTGACGGGTGGAAAGGGGCTGGCCTGTTCCTCGGGGGCCGTGAGGGATGGAGAAGGGAACGACAGCTTTGATTGTGGCGGGCCTAATGCGCCTTCATTTTTCTCTCGTTGTTCTAGGAATATCTCGCGAGCTGAATCAAGTATCACAACAAGCTATCATCAGGTGGAGGCCAGGAAGGAGAATATGGACAAGGACCATCCTAGCAGGCTTCCTGGATGGGGAGGGGAGAGGAGATTGAGGATTAGGAAGTGGTGGGAACACAGCACCTTAAGGAGGTGGGATGGGTGGCAGGCAGCAGCATGGCCTCAGGAGCTAGACTTTCGAGGCTGAAATCCGGCCCTGCCCCCTACCAGCTGTGACCATGGGCAAGTGACCCAGCCCCTGGGTGCCTCAGTTTCCTCCTCTGTAAACAGGGATAGAAGCAGGCTGCCCTCATTGGGTTGTCGATGTGAGAGCTCTATTAACTATTATCCGTAAAATCGTCTACTATTGCCTGTAGTCTGCAGGTGTCATAAAACATTGATTATGACCATGGGGCTGCATGCCAGCCTCGGGGGCCTGGAGACGTATAGGCAGGGGCCCAACTGAGGGAGCAGAGGAAGCCGCAAGGGAAGATGAGCCCAGCACGAGATGATCCGAAAGCCAAGTGTGGGGCGCTGCCGAGCCTTCTGACCTGGGGCCTGGTGAGCCCAGGCCTCTGGACATCTCAGGGCTTCTACTGACAGAGTTACCTCACTATCATGGGAAACCTCTTCATTCATCACCCTCATTGTTCTGGGAAGTTGGAGAAGAGAAAAAGAGCAAACGGCTCACTCTTCCCTAGGGGGTTGGAGCAGATGACCGCTGTCCTGCCAGCAGCCACAGGCCTTGGGGCCAAGAAGGCTCATTGTTTTTTTCACTGCACGTTTTCTAAGCCCTCTGCAAAAAGCATATTTCCTCTGCAACACAACAACCCAACAGTCCCACTCAAGTCCTCGCCACTCTTCCTTTTCATAATAAAAAGACGTGGTGAGGACAGTATCATTACGAAGGGGGACCCAAGACACACGATGAAGACAGAGGCCACCTTGTCCTAACATTCCCGACCTGGGACGCGCCCCACTCCGACCTCTTCCAACCCAAGGGCTCGGCAACATCCTGACCTTTTCCTTCTTCCTATCAAGATTTACAGGGAAAATGTGTGTGTGGCTTTTATTTTTATTTTTGGAAGTAAGTTTTCTTATTGAATTCCAGTAAGACTTGGCAGCTTCCGGGTAAGTCCTCTTAGAAGGGTGGTGATGGTGATGGCCACACCCAGCAGTCGGTGAGCACCCAGCACACGCCAAGCCGGCTCTAACTGCGTAGATGGGTTAACTCATTTAATCCTCAACGCAATCACTCCAGGTAGACACTATTATTATCTTTATTTTTTCCCTTAAGGGAACTAAGGGAAAAAAAGTTTAAATAATGTGCCGAAGCTCACACAGCTAGTAAGTGAGAGATAACCCATGGGAAATACTGACAGAGACATTTCTGCACCTGCCTGTCTCCAGTCTCCTCACCTGTCTCCCATGACAACCCCAGTGTGCACCTGTGGGCTCTGAGCCTGTGCATGCTGGGCTGCTGGGGATGTCCGGGTCTCAAAACATCCTATCAAGTGACACTGTCTATAAGGCCCAGGGTCGGACAGGCAGGCAGCCTGTCATTCGTGTCCTGGTACTGACCAAAACATTGTTTTAAATTCAGCTCCTGACATGTGTTCAGTTTCTTTTTTTTTTTTTTTTAATTTATTTTACTTTAAGTTCTGGGATACATGTGCAGAACGTGCAGGTTTGTTACATAGGTATACATGTGCCGTGGTGGTTTGCTGCATCTATCAACCCGTCATCTAGGTTTTAAGCCCTGCATGCATTAGGTATTTGTCCTAATGCTCTCCCTCTTCTTTCCGCCCACCCACAGACAGGCCCTAGTGTATGATGTTCCCCTCCCTGGGTCCATGTGTTCTCATTGTTCAACTCCCACTTACGAGTGAGAATATGCAGTGTTTGGTTTTCTGTTCCTGTGTTTGTTTGCTGAGGATGATGGTTTCCAGCTTCATCCATGTCCCTGCAAAGGACATGAACTCATTCTTTTTTATGGCTGCATAGTATTCCATGGTGTATATGTGCCACATTTCCTGTATCCAGTCTATCATTGATGAGCATTTGGGTTGGTTCCGAGTCTTTGCTATTGTAAATAGTGCTGCAATAAACATACGTGTGCATGTGTCTTCACATGTTCAATTTCAAAAGGAATGTTCACAATTATACTGAGACTGACTTTGTTATTACTCATCTATACAGTGACTGGTTGAGTGTTTTAGGTAATATGGATTGTGAACCCTATCATCATTTTTAATTTCCTTAGTTTACATTTTTCTTCCTAGTATTTTGCCAAAACTGATCATTCTGTTAATATTCACCAGAAAGTTAAAAATAATTGAGATTGTGAAATTAGAATCCTAATTAGACAGTGACTTAACTACCAGCTGAGATTTACCAGAGTTTGGATTTTCCAAGGGTTTTAAAAAATGCTGACCTTATTTTGTCCTCATCTGAAAGTTAGAATTTTTTCGCCACAAAACAAAGTTATAGCCTTAAAATTACATGTAATATTTTTTACATAGTCTGGCTTTAGTTTTAAATTAAATGATGGAAAGAATTTTTCCTTTTATGATGCGCTGCAGAAAGCCTCATTATAATACACAGTTTCAACGAAAATCCTGAGCAATTGTCACCTTAATCGGACTGAGATATTCTGCACAAATATTTCCTAATCTCAACAAAAACACATTGAAAAATAATGGATATCAAAAACAATGTGGATCAGACAGGAAATTAGGTCTCCAGTTTTTTTTTTAAGGGGAAGGTTAATTAATTGTAAATTATAAGCAGTTTCTCTGCCCAACTATATCCGATGATTAATTATTCCTGGTTCTATTGTTCAAAGAACAAGAGCCGGCCTTTCAACTTGTGCAGGTGTGTCCTGACCCCAGGAAGCAGCTCAGGGCCTCTGTGTAGAGGAGAGGGATTCCTGTCCCCACAGGGGCATGGGCATCCTCCACAGTCACAGATGTCCGCATGCCGCTTCTTGGATGCGGATGGAGGGACAGCCTAGACGGAAGGCGGCTGGGCAAAACCCTGGGCTCAGGGCTGAGCCACTCCTGACCGCTCCTGTCCCTGCCCTTTTCCATCCTCAAAATTTCCCGGGTTACGGAACTAGCCTGAAGCAGAAGTCGCTGTGGGGACTGCATGATACTAAAGAGAATGAGGGTGTCGATTCCACACTGGCACGTGAGCTTCATCCTGCCCCACACCCAGATGGCCCCAGCTGGACAGCCTTCTCTCAAACACAGGCTGTGACCATGAATGGGAGAGGAGGAATGAGAGGTGGCGCTCGGGGAAATCCATGCCACTCCTTTCTTTCAAAAATCCACAGGTGGTCGCTGTCTCCTGTGGAGGATGATGGCTCCCCAGACCCAGTGCAGGTGCCCCTGCAAATCGGCATGTATCTGTGGGCCTCGTCACACACCCTGTGTCACCCTGGGTGTGTGGATGTGGTCACTGCTTTCGAGTAAATAATAGATTCGGAAGGGTCACCGGGCACCCTTTGTACCCCAGCGTATAATAGCACGTTGATCAATGAGTGACACCAGCTCCATGCACCACCCGTTTATTCCCTCATAGCTTTTGCAACCTGACAATTTAGCACCAAAGAAACTGTTTAGGAGACAATGTCAACTTTGTAGCCTGGGCAGGACCGCAGGAGGCAAGCGTGAAGGTCTCGGAAGAGAAGGGAATTAGACTGTGTCCAGTGGCCACACTTCCTGGAGGCCTCCCAGGTCCTTCAGGCATGATTAATCCCTCTGCGGCCAGAGCTATGTCCCCCAAGAAACACAACCCCAGCAGGAGGACAAACAGCCCCGCACAGGGCATGGCACACAGCAGGTGCTCAATAAATGGCTCAAGGGGAACAGAATCTAAGGTGGAAATCCCGTTCACTAGAGCCACACCCGTCCACCATGTCTTTCCCTTGGTCTTAACATGGCACTGGGTAGAACCCAACATTTACCCCTGGGCCAACAGCTGCAGCTCACCCCCAGAACCTTCTGGCTCTCTCTGACCAGTCTGTGCCATCCACATCCTAGAACAGAGCGGCCGCCACTGTAGGTCAGGGCTTTCCTCTTGGGCACGTCAGAGCTACAGCCTCCTGCGGTGGATAGTGTTCCTTAGATGTTAATGTCCCTAACCCAAGCCTTGAGGGAGAGACCCTGGATCCCAGAAGGGTGAGGCCTCCTTAGTACCTACAGGAAGACCAGGAGGCCAGCAGCCTCTCCAAGCTTCCTGGTTCCTGTACACTTACGTTCTTCCAGTGTGCAGATTCTAGATAGCTGCAGTATACAAAATGCAGAAGAGACTCCTGCTGTCAGGGAAGCAAGAGCCCAGGAGAGCCAGGGCAACATCTTTTTAAAACCAACTCTATCTTGAAACTAGCAAGGCCCGCTCCTTGCCAGTCACAGCCCATGGTCCTAAGATGTTTACAGCTAAGGAAGCAACTTGGTGATGCCTGCAAGGACAAAAACTCCTCCAACAACAGAAAGCCTTGATGTCCAGTACTGGTAACATTATCACTTTGGAGATAATTATAGTTATGCTTTGATGTACTTACACACTGAAATGTTAAGGATCCTTTTCTTTAAAACAATAGAATAATATACATTTTGTCATGCTGTCGGCTCCCCCACCCAAGCAGACACAGCTTAGTTCAGTCTTTACATAGACAAGGCCCCTATATGAGAAAAACAAAGATGGCGCATTCCTCCCTTTGCTTTCCAAGGACGCCCTGCTCTGTAACTGAGCAACTTTCAATAAACTCTGTCTTCTCATTGTACTCTGAGACTCACCTTGAACTCCTTCCTGCACAAGACCCAAGAACCCTCTCTTGGCATCTGGATCAGGATCCCTTTTTAGGGTGACACTGCTACCAGGACTTGCCCTGTCTCCAGCTCCTCCTTCCCCTCCCCCAGCATCATGCACATCCCAGAGGGACCCCCCACCGGCCATGCAGCCCTCCCACGTTGCTTCTTCCCTCTCAGAGGACGATGATGCTGTGGAAGTCCTATCCGTCCCTGCCTCGGGGGCGCTGCTCTAGGGAAGCACATGGGCCCGCGTCGATGTTCTGGACATGTGTCTGTCCTATCTGCCTGGTTAGTGGTGCAGCACTTAGGAGATGACGGAGATGACATGACCCTTTGAGTTTCATTTTCTTTTTTTTTTTTTTTTTTGAGACAGAGTCTCACTCTGTCACCCAGGCTGGAGTGCAGTGGCACGATCTCAGCTCATTGCAACCTCCACCTCCTGGGTTCAAGCGATTCTTCCACCTCAGCCTCTAGAGTAGTGGGGACAACAGACACCCACCACCACGCCCGACTAATTTTTTTTTTTTTTTGTATTTTTAGGAGAGACAGGGTTTTGCCATGTTGGCCAGGCTGGTCTCGAACTCCTGACCTCAGGTGATCGGCCCGCCTTGGTCTCCCAAAGTGCTGGGATTACAGGCATGAGCCATCGTGCCGGCCAGTTTTCCTTATCGATAGATATCGGCCTGTTTTCCTAACACATCTTTGGGCTTAGTAGGTGAAGCCACTCACCACCTGATCCCAGGCTGATAGGGAGACCACCAGGATAGACACCCACATCTCCTTTAAAGCTGCTGACAGCAGACATCATAAGAAGCTCCCCATCTCCAACCCAGCCCCCTAGTAAACAGGTTTCCTCCCAGCACATCCATCTGCCTAACACCTCCATGATTTTGGTGCTATGGTTCCTCACATTTTATACATGAGAGAGCAGAGGCACTGTGAGTACTTGCCCAACATTTTATAGTGATAAAGGGTGGATCCGGGATTCTGACCCAGATAGTTTTGCTCTGAAATCTACGTGCTCTCTTGCCTTGGAGATGTCACCACCCAGAGCCCCATCCCCTCAGCGCCTGTGCAGCCCTCACCTGAGCCGTCCTTCTCCTTACACCTGCAGCCTCCCACTGTGCCTCTTGAACCTGGGCCATCCTCGGCCCACTGCCTCGATTCCCAACTGCTTCTCCTGCCCTCTCGCTTTAACTCAAATCAGGCTCTCCTCTGGGACCACGCTTGCTCCAGCAGCGGCTTCTCTCCTTCCCACACGGCACGCTTGTCTCTCCGTGTTCCAAATGAAGGCATTCTATATCTGTTACTGGAGACTGGCTGGTGTGGGTAGGAAGCGTGGCGGAAGGGAAGAGGCAGAGAGGAGGAAGCCGACCCCCGCCACCCTTCAGCTCTGCCCGGTGCGGGACGCCCTCCCACTCTCCGTGAGCATCGCCCAGGGAGCGCCCCCGCCGTGGGAGGAGAAAAGAGTGTTTTGCCTTCCCACGCACTCAGTGCCTGGCTAAGTTTCTTTCCTGCCTTCCCTGTTTTCCGCACTACCCGCCGCTGGGAACCTCCACACTGTGGGATGTGGTTGCTACGGAGAAGCGGCCTGCTCCGGCACAGGCGGCCCTCACGGTGCACACGCTCTGAGCCTGGGCTCTTGCAGGACACAGGGTGGCTGTGTAGACATCATGTCTACACTTCAATAGGCTGCGACTCCCGCTTCTTGTCTTCTGGAGAGCGAGGGTGTTCATCTACGGATAGGTTCTGCCTGCTGCAGGCCTTTCAGATTGGATGGAGCCTTTCTCTGTAAAGACCCATGTCAGCGGCCATCCGTGTTTTTGACCATGACCCAGCATCACGGACACACACAGGCCAGGAGCAAGGGTGTGGGAAGCAGCTCTCCTTTGCACCTTCTCTATTGCACTCTGGTATTTTCCGTCCTATGCTTCCTCACACTCTCACAGTAAAGCCTCCATCCCTCTCTTTCCCGTCCTATGCTCTCTCACCCTCTCTCAGTAAAGCCTCCATCCCTCTCTTTCCCGTCCTATGCTCTCTCACCCTCGCTCAGTAAAGCCTCCATCCCTCTCTTTCCCATCCTATGCTCTCTCACCCTCTCTCAGTAATGCCCCATCCCTCTCTTTCCCGTCCTATGCTTCCTCACACTCTCACAGTAAAGCCTCCATCCCTCTCTTTCCCGTCCTATGCTCTCTCACCCTCTCTCAGTAAAGCCTCCATCCCTCTCTTTCCCGTCCTATGCTCTCTCACCCTCGCTCAGTAAAGCCTCCATCCCTCTCTTTCCCATCCTATGCTCTCTCATCCTCTCTCAGTAATGCCCCATCCCTCTCTTTCCCGTCCTATGCTTCCTCACACTCTCACAGTAAAGCCTCCATCCCTCTCTCTCCCGTCCTATGCTCCCTGACCATCTCTCAGTAAAGCCTCCATCCCTCTCTCTCCCGTCCTATGCTCTCTCACCCTCTCTCAGTAAAGCCTCCATCCCTCTCTCTCCCGTCCTATGCTCTCTCACCCTCTCTCAGTAAAGCCGCCATCCCTCTCCCTCCTGTCCTATGCTCCCTCACCCTCTCTCAGTAAAGCCTCCATCCCTCTCTCTCTCGTCCTATGCTCTCACCCTCTCTCAGTAAAGCCTCCATCCCTCTCTCTCCCATCCTATGCTCCCTCACACTCTCTCAGTAAAGCCGCCATCCCTCTCCCTCCTGTCCTATGCTCCCTCACCCTCTCTCAGTAAAGCCTCCATCCCTCTCCCTCCTGTCCTATGCTCCCTCACCCTCTCTCAGTAAAGCCGCCATCCCTCTCCCTCCTGTCCTATGCTCCCTCACCCTCTCTCAGTAAAGCCGCCATCCTTCTCTTTCCGGTCCTATGCTCTCTCACCCTCTCTCAGTAAAGCCTCCATCCCTCTCTTTCCCATCCTATGCTCCCTCACCCTCTCTCAGTAAAGCCTCCATCCCTCTCTCTCCTGTCCCGTCCTATCCTCCCTCACCCTCTCTCAGTAAAGCCCCCATCCCTTTCCATGCCATCCTGCTTTATTCACTTGATTTTCCGAATGGGTCGCGCTCTTAAGTTTGACTTGAGCCACCTGGAAATACCCAAATGCAGCAAGCCTGCGGTACTGGGCCTCCACCCTCCCTAGAATGAGCTGTTGATGGGAACTGGGCTTGCAGGACAAGGCCTCGGTGGGAGTCATGGTTATAGGCACGTCCGTTCCAACCAGCGCATCCACTGCTGGACACCGTGAGCAAAAGGCATCGAAGCCCTGCTCACACCCTCCACTGTGAAGGGGAAAGAGTGAGGCCTGGCCCTGCTTACCGCCATGCGCGAGAAACTCCAGAGGCAGGCTGTGCAGGGAGGTGCTCAGGAAGCGTCCAGCACCACACACCAGGTCTCCCTCCCCGCCCCGCAGGGCTCGCAGGGGTTTTTCATTAAGTTATTATCTCATTATTACTAAGCCATTCTCTTGGCGTTGTCTAGTGCCGCGGGTGTTGGCAAACAGTGCTCTGGGTTCCACTTCGCTCTGGCTCTAGCTCACCAGGAGCACAGTGTGGGTGGCGGCAGGAGAGAACGGAGGATGGGAGGGGAAGGGTAACGGCTGTGCCCAGACCCGGAGACCCCCGATCTGAGCTCTTTGTCCAGTCTGCTTCCCTTTGTGCAAATTCTCCAAGTTCCAAATGAAGACATTCTATAGCTGTTACTGCAGACTGACTGAGACAGGTGGGAACATGGCAGAAGGGAGGAGGTGGAGAGGAGCAAGCCGACTCCCAACACCCTGCAGCTCTGCCCTGTGCAGAGAGGATGCCCATCACCCTTTTCTGTGGCCCCTCTACATGGGCTGCTGTCCACCACGTGGGCGCCTTCTGCCTCTCTCCTTGCCGGAAGCGGGAGGAGTTCAGGTGTTGAGTTCCGAGTGTCTCCTCTTCATGTAAGACCCATTACGTAAGCAAACCAAACTGATGTTATTCAGACATTATTGTCAGCTGACAGCTTGTACCCCTTTATCTATTCATTCTCATTATTATTAGATCAACATATCTCAGTGACTATAAACCAATCTGCCTGGACCCACAGCACTCAATATAGCAACTATTACTACTAATAACGTGAGGACTACCTATCATTTGTGACGCACTTTGCTTTTTATTATACATTTTCCCATGCACCGTACAGAAAAAACTAGGGTGTCAGTGGAGAATTGGACACCGTCTCCGCATTGCTGAGGCTGGGGGAGCAGCTGTCTTCCTTACTCTGGGTGGGTGGTCATAGCAAGAAGTGGTAGAGGATCTTAGGCACTTATTCAGAGGCAGAAAAAGTGTTCTATTTTTTTTTTCTAACATATGGGTGTTTTCTAAGAGCAACAACACTAGGAGTCAGCTACACTTCGCGAGTGCCTAGTAAGTGACTAGCAATGCTAGACTAACACAGTATGGCGATTCGCACAATGACCCCACAAGGTCGATGCTGCTAGTTCCATCTTACAGAGGAGGAAACTGAGGTCTGACAGGTGAATCAATTTGCTTGAGTTCATACAACCAGTAAATGGTGGAGGTAGAATTGTGAAGCCAGGGGTGTTAGACTTCAGAGCTCTCTCAGTTTCCACACTACCCCATTTCACTGGGCAAATCATTTCGCTTCTCAGAGCCTCTGTACAATTGCAGGTTTGCAACCTTCTAAGAGCCTATGTTTTTTAGATCCAGCTTTGAAGTAAAGCAGTACAAGGCAGACAGCATTGGAATGCAAATGAAAATAAATTAAGTGGTACAGGGCCAATTAAAAACCAGCTCTTCAATGAAACACTGTGGTGAGATGAACTCTTCCCTTAAACGGAGCAGACTGGATAGGGAGATGCTACTGCTGAAGGGTGATTACTCAGAGTGAGCTCATGAGGTCTCCATGTTATTTTCTGAAAACCAGGATTTTCTTTCCCTTTCATGCTGCCTTCCTCCAATGTTTTTATTCCTGGATGATCCTGCATGATTGTAACTGATATTATCAGCTACGAATGGTCCCCTCAGCCCTGGGAATAAGCAGGAGGTAAAAGACATAATTCCAGTTATAGGGTGCTTATACTTGAGTTAGAGAAGAGCTTGAACGACTTATTTTCTATCCTCTTAGGGAGTTCATTTCCAAGATACAGACAGTATATTTTGGTCGTGTGTTGTAGGATCAGATGCTTCCTTGGTTCTCTCAATGAATCTTCTGTTTGTTTTTGTGAAATAGTTGGCAGGAAATCTCAGCTTCTTTTTATAGTGAAAAGCAGCAGTCACAGTGAATACTCTTTTGCCAAAATCTAAACAGCATAGGGAAGTTGAAAATTGAGTGAACCATTGCTGTGATCTCTTTTCTCCTAATGCTTTTTGGGTGATTGTGGTCCAAAGCAAAGATGCAGAAGTAACTCTGGCTGCCAGAATTGCTCTATGAACAAAATAATCCCAGATAGAAATTTCTAGAAGCTTAAGAAGCATTTGCTGGTACTTCTGGTGGGGATTTCCAAAACAGAATGGTACAATCAAGCTGGGGGTGAGGGGTGCAGACCTCACGATGGAAGGACTTTGTCAACAAGTCCCCACCTCATTAGGTGTCAAATAGACCAAGGAAGGCCGGCATCATATCAGTGCTGTGTCCTAACCTCAGCATGGAGCTCCCCTCTTCTTATATGGCAGGGCTTTCATATCTTGGTCAAAGGATCAGAGGAGGCCCTGGGGACTATGCGGGAAATCCTAAATCTTCTAAGTAGACAGTCTTTTTGTGCTTTTTCCAGGTTGTGTCTTTGGAACTCAGAGGCCCAATGACATGTCTCCCCACAAAGAGAAGACCCAGCTCAGCCATGTCCCCTTTCTGAAATCCTGGAATGTTGTCTGGCTTCTCTTGAAGACTCATGTATACCCTGAACTTAGTCTTTCTACAGTCTTCTTTTTTCTTCTTTCCTTGATAAATGAGGCAGGACCAACAATATTCATAACCAATCAACACCCTAGCTTTGATGCCAATGCTATATGCCCTGCTATGGCCTGGCTTCCTGTCCCCTCCAAACTTCGTGTTGAAATTTGATCCCCAATGTTGGAGGTGGGGTCTAGTGGGAGGTGTGTGGGTCATGGGAGGTGGGGTCTAGTGGGAGGTGTGTGGGTCATGGGGGTGGATTTTTCATGAAAAGGTTAATGGCCTCCCCCAAGGGTGAGTGAGTTCTCGCTTGATTTCACTCCTGTGAGGGCGGGCTGTTATAAAAGAGCCTGGCACCTCCTAAACACCCTGTTGCTTTCTCTCTCACTATGTGATCTCTGTACAACCAGCTCCACTTCATCTTCTGCCATGAGTAGAAGCAGCCTGAGGCCTCACCAGAAGCTAAGCAGGTGCTGGTGCATGTGTCTTGCACAGGCTATAGAACCCTGAGGCAAATAAACTCTTCTTTTTATAAATTGCCCAGTTTCAGGTATTCCTTTATGGCAACACAAAACAGACTAAGACACACCCTGTGTCCATTGAGCATTCTAGCCTCTAATGAGATGGGAAGGCCGGGTGTTACTAAGCCTGGTACATTTTTTTTCTATCTAGTTAATAAATATTTACTGAATGCTAGATACTCTGGCAATTCTATTGTAATCTTCCTAGTGACTGTGGATCTGCTTACATTATTTGTTATAAAGGAGAATTTTGAGGCTCAGAGATGTTGACAACTGGCTCTAGGTCACTGGGACGTGCGGAGCCTTGACTTGACTCCAGGTGTGATGTTGAGCCCACTCCACTATGGAGACCTCCAGGATGAGGAGACCAAGCCATTTTCTCAGGATCACAGGACAGGAGAGGGCAGATCCTGGTGAGTCTCCTGATTCCTGCTCCTTTGCTCCTTCCACTACACTGCTGGACCTGGCAGACCAGAGAACAAGACTGCAGTTAATTTTCCATGTTAAACCTCATGCAGTCTGGCAGCCCAGGCTATAGCCCAGCATTTGGGAAATCCATCTGCCTGAGTAATATCAGTATTGCAGATTGTCATCTTTTAATGAGGCAAGATACATATCAAAACAGAATGCAGGCAGCAAGGTCGCGTTTCGGATCATCCTAAATAACACAGCCCCCTGGATTCTGACTGTGAGTGAGTGCCTGGCTGTGCTCCCTGGGCTCCCTGGACCCCTACTGCTGTAGATATTTGAGAAAAATCAAAGCACCCTGAGAAATCTGGGTCCCGGGAAATTGCAAAAGACATAAATAACATGCCTGATAGATCTGTGCTCCGAAATACGTGGCCTCATTCTAAATACAGAAAATCTTATTTATTCCTGCTTGCATCTGTTGCCTTTTTCCTGCCACTAAATATTTTATCCAAGGTGCCGAGAGCAGAATTAAATGGGGGGTTAAAAAAGAAATCAGCGAACATCAAGCCAGAAGGCAAATGGAGCTTTTACCTTGCAAGGCTCGCAGCCTCCTTCACTAATCAGAGCTGTGTTATTTGCATATCACACACTGCGAATCCCCTCATTATCATCAGAGATCTGCAAATTCCCACAAATCAACACCGTGGGGGGCCCAGGGAGGAGGATCGGCTCCCCGAACATGCCTCGGCTGGCCGCCAGGTGGCAGTGTCCCTTCCCGTTCCTTTAGTGGGGAAGAGATGAAGTTTGGGTTTTGACTTTCTATTCCATTGCCTTGATCGCTCAGATTTTCATTCTAGCTTTACTGGCTGCTGACGTGTGGCTTCTCCAAGTGCTCTGAGAGATCAATTCCCCAGTCTTCCTTTCTTCTATACTGGGGGGCGGGTGTGGTGAGAGACAATAAATGCTTCTCTCTGTGGCTGGAGAAATTTAAGTAGGAAAGCTTGGAGAAGCTGCTTTTGAGGGGTGGGAGGCCCAGGCTTAGGCAGGTCCAGTTAACCCATTACACAGGACGCACCGGGAGGATCCAGGATGTGTGGACAACTGGCTGCAAATCCACCTCTGCACCAAGGCCGCTCAGCTGCACGCCATGGGACACAGGGCCGCTTGTCACCATCCCACATAAGGACGGGACAGCAGACCCTTGAACAATATAGGTTTGAACTGCGTGGGTCGACTTATGTGCAGATTTTTTCAACCAAATACATATGGAAAGTACAGTATTTGAGGGATGTGAAATCCCTGTATATGGAGGACTGACTTTTCATATACCTGGGTCCTCAGGGCTGACTGGGACTGGAGTATGTTTGAATTTTGGTAACTCAGGGGTCCTGGAACCAATCCCCTGCGTATATACCCCTTCATATACCTGGGTCCTCAGGGCTGACTGGGACTGGAGTATGTTTGAATTTTGGTAATGCAGGGGTCCTGGAACCAATCCCCTGCGTATATACCAAGGGGCACAGGACCTTTAAACTTCAGCAACAGCAAAAACGACAGCAAAAACAGCAGCAGCACTGATGGCTAATCACCTCTAGCCCTGGCAGACTTTTGTTAAAGCAGGCATTTGAGCAGCTTAACGAAAATTCAGCCTTCTTTCTTTCTCTCACTTCACCACACACTCCGCTCCGACTTTCTCTCTTTCCTAACACCCCAAATGACTAAGCATTATGTGCTTTGGAAAATCGCAGTGCACAAAACTCCATTCTTTTCTCCTGTCCTTGCACCATCTGAATCAGAGGCAGCACAGGCTCATTAGGCTGGAAAGGCAATCTCTCCGGCAGCCTGAAAGGGCCCTTTTACATAGTTTTCAATTCATCTTTCAGCTTTATTTTCCCTTAATGATGGTTTTTCCAGACTCAGTTAAATGCTACCTTGAAACAAAAGGAAGTACTCTATCTAAAGGCCCAGCAGGTGGAAAGAGAAGCCACATCCAAAATGCGCTGGAGATAAAAGAGCTGAGCCCGAGAGATGAGATCAATGGAAAAAACCTCACCTGATGGAAGACTTCAGCTTCAGCCTGTATTTCTGCAAATTCCCACCAAAATCATATAACTGTTTCTTTCCCTTTTATTTCTGGCTTTATCTTCTTTTAATGTGTATGACCATCAAAGGATGGTACGTTATGCTCCCTGAAGAGTCAAAGAACATCTTCCTTTGACTTAGCAGTAAAGGGGAATTTCTGGCTTGCTAAACATTTTGGGGGAGGAGGGACTGGCTCTTAAGGTCTGCCCTTTGCCCGTAAGTCCCAGAGGCTCTTGAGATCCCAAATACCCTTACAGGGCCTCCTAAACACCAAGGCAGCTGGGAGAGGCCACCGTTCCCTGACTGGAGGGACTGCCTGGCCCATGCCCGCCTTCTTTGTCCTGGCATAGAACATTCATCAGAGATGCCAGCGGAGGCCAGAAACTCCCAGTGGCACGATGAGACAGTGGGACAACCACAGATTTTTCTAATGATCAACTTTTTCCCTGAGCTATTTTGCGTCTCCTCCATATCAGGAAATGCTCACATTAGGTCACTTCTTACAGAATCTCAAATCCGAAATGTCGTAAAACAAAAACTGGAGAAAAGATTGGGAGCTATGATCTGGTCCTATCTCCAGAGAAGGAAATTTGGATTTTAGGAATGAACTCTTGAGTTAATGCATTAATGGTTGTTTGGTTTTCTAATTTTCATGTTTCTGCAGTTTTAAATCAGAAGATACCATTCTGCCAAAAGTGTCTAAATGTGTGAAAGATTTGTGCCATGTAATTAGGATGTGGTTCAATACCATCTTGCAGGATATACACTTTGTGAAGGCAGGTCCAGATCTTAAAGCATCTCTGTCTCCCTTGGAGGACCTGGTAGAGGGCTTCGGTGCAGAATAAATGCATGAATCCCACTCGAATAATGGAAGGAAGGAGCTGCTTCCTGCAGGTGGTCTTGGCCTCCATCGGACTGACTGTGTATCAGTTCCTCAAGGGAAGGGTCCCTGTCTTGGACCTCCTTCATCTCCTTCCCTCCCTGCCTCCCTTTCTTCCTCTTTTTCAGGTACCCCGTTGGGTGGGGCACTGCAATCCATAGTGACTCATCCAATCTGGGCGCCCAGAAGGGGCTCGAAATAGGATTCCCTAGTAAATGAGGACTGTGTGGGCCACTGTCAGGTGTTGGAATATCTTCTTGAAGAGATGAATTTTGCTACATGTAAATTTCTTCTATCTCTGCCATGTTTCTGGAGACACAGATGCAGGACACTGGGATGTGGGAGCCACATGGCGGTGGGTGAGGTTTCACCTTTCTGGATGGAGAGAAGGGAGGTAAGACTGTGAGCATGAGCATCTGAGTGGACCCATAAAAGAAGTGGATAATAATGAGGGTGGTGAGCAGAGAAAGAGCTGATCTGAAATCCTTCAGCTGGCCTGGCTGCCTTGTCCTTAGGGTTGGATAGCACCTAAGACCTCCACAAAGTGACACCTACAGGAAGTATCCTAGCTGGGCTCTTCCTTGGTTAACATTCATTAAAAATCCCAATACTTTATAGGCATGGTGTCCACACAGCTGGCCTTTTAAATAAAATAATCCAGGTGCCAGACATATTTATTCCTGCAAAAAGAAGAAGGTGCTGGCTGGCTCGCTTTCTTCCATGAAGAGCTGAAAGGTGCTCTCTTCTTTGGGTGTTTCTGAGGCTCAGGTGCCCATTTCCATCGACTGGATGGAGCTTGGCCTTGCGCTGAATGCACGGATGTGCTGGGGAGGGGCTAATCGTAGGCCTGAGTGGCCAGCATGCAGAGGCTTCACCCTTCCTGGGTTCTGCCAGGTTGCCTGGGCTCTGGGACTTGACTCAGGGTGCCCAGAATCATGAGCTTGTATGGCTGCAGATGATAGGTCTGCATGTCCAGTCTCCCACTCGGTGCAATGATCACTTCAGATAACCCAGACAGAAGAGCATGACCTTCCCAGGACAGCCTCTGCCATTGCTTGAAGGCTGGGGAAGAGCAACTGACCTGAAATCTGACTCCTCGCATCCTCTTCCACTCTGGTCCTAACGCACAGAACGAGTGACGAAGGGTATGTCCTCTCCACGCCTGCAAGTGCAGGGAGCTCTGACGTGGAGGTGAGCTATCTTTGCATTCCCTTACACCTTCCCAAAGATAACCCATAGTAAAGAGAAAAGTTATGCCAATAATGCAAATTTTATAGAAAGAAAAAAATGGGGAGTAAAGGAGACAGAAGACTGATTCCTTTAGGGCAGATAGGTTTCACGTGGGGATAAGGAGAAGGTTTATCAGAATCATCTAATAAAGGTTCTCCCAGTACGCAAATGTCCTGTGTGTGGGGGTGACGAAAGGGGAGAGGAAGGGGACAAAAAGGCCGAGATACCCACGTGCCCAGCCCCCACCATTGCAACTGAGGAGCATTGCTCCCGTATGTTTACTAAGTAAAACCGAGAATTGTTAACTATTTCCTTGTGAAGTTATCTGGCATGGACACAGACTTCATACCATCAACGCTGTGTGCTTATGGCACTGATAATTAAACATGAAAAGGGTTAGAGACGGAAAGGAGTTTAGCATTATCTGGTCCACCCTAGTGATGCTTCCAGAACAAGAAAAAGACACTGAGGCCCAAAAAGGTTAGAATACAGGTTTAGTGAGCAAAAGAGCTAAGTCTAGTTCCAGCTTCTGAGTATCAAATGAAACTCTTTTAAGTACATATTGTCTTGTTGCCTATCTTCCTTCTGGCATTTGCAGCTTGCATTTTAGTAAAACTCTCAATAATAGGGCAAATGGTCTAATGTCCTTAGGTGACTTAAGAAGACGGAAAAAAAAAAAAAAGAAATTAGAGTTCCCAAGGGTGTCAAATATCTCAACCTCAAATACATAAGTTTCATTAGGGCGCTATAAAAAAAGGTAAAAGTGTGTTTGTCCTAATCTCACAATGAAATGCATAATTTGAAAGATAGAAAAATATAGTCACTGAACATCCTAAGATATTTGTCACGATCTCTCAGGAGTAGGTCATTAATTGTAAGGACATTTCTCAAGACCAATGAGAATTCTTCCTGTACCTTTAGAGAACATTCTCCCTTTAGATTTATTACTGATTTTTCACAAGACCAGCTAGATCACCTCTTCATGTTGAATTAAAATACTCAATAGCCTTCCTAAAATATTAACAAAGCTTCTACTGGATTTTCAAATGTGGATTCAGCTTTGGTTCTGAGAACTAGAGGTTTGCGGTTAACCTGTTTCAGTGCCACACAGCCACGCTGAAGCCGCCCCCACTGTCCTCTGGGACACTGGGGTTTCTCCCATGCAGTTTGAGGGCTGTGCATTGGGAACTGCATTCATCACTTCACAGGCTCCAAGGAGATGCCAAGAAGGAAGGGAGCTTATTGCAAGGTGCCTTATTGCAAGGTGCATGTGACAATTACGAACCTTCGCATTGAAGAGATGATGACTAATGGTTCTGATGGCTCTCCTTGCGATTATCATTTAAGTGTGAAATGATAGAGTTTGCAACAATAAAACGTTACACACCCTAGCTTTTTCCTGGAATACGCTTCCCAAGTTGCCATATTGATGATTCCATGGGGGACATGGCATTTCTATTTGCAGCTCATTCAAGAACGTCATTTGTGATCCGGGCAGACAATGCCTCTCCCATACTCCCATTCCCCCACAGCAGTGTCCCAACCAGATGGACCCCTGGCGTCCCCTCAGCTGCCCTGGACGGCTGCCTGCTTTCTCAACCCAACTCTGATCTTCCTGTTGATTCTGAGAGATTCCCCAACATCCCTCTAGACAATTCCTCTTCTGCTTTGGGCACCAAACTTGAGGCCCACTGTTGGCAAGAAAGCTGCCCAGATGTGGGGTCTTCAGTCCTGCCTCCCAGACATGTCTGGCCTCCCCCTCTTCTGGACAATGGCTCAGTGCTACTTCCTGGAACCCTGGTGGGACCATATGAGGTGTTCTGGACAATGAGTCATGCGTAGAAGTGCCAGGGTCATTCCCAGGCCAAGCATTTATTCCCCAGCTTGTGTCCCTCCGGAACACTCCCCTTTCCACTAGTGTGGCTGCGATGCCTAAGAGGACAGCCCCAGCAGCCTGGGACCTTGAGTGACCGTGAGGGAAAGAGCCTCACCTCCTCCCCATCCCTGATCTAGAGTGGGCTTGAGTGATCTCCGACGAGAAATACACTTTGCTGTTTTAAATTAGAGGCAGTGTTCTGTTTGCTTTTGTTTGTTTTTTGCTACCCACAGCAGGACCTAGCCTGTCCCCACCAGCACATCTTCCTGCTAGCCTTGTTCTGATCAGGCTTACGTTTGAAGTTTATGGAAGGGAATGCTGGCTGCAAAGCCTAAGTTGTGGTCTCTGCTCTTAGCACTGAACTTCATAGAAAATTCTCAACCAAATTTCTAATATTTCCTCTTTCCAAAGCTCTATCCGCTAAGCAGGACCCCTAGCTGCTGTCTGAGGCTTCCTTTTAAATATTCCAAAAGCAGAATATTGTTCCTTCTTCATTGTGTACTACTGCCTCACTCCAACTTCCACCAGATAATTTTTCATCTAAGAAAGGTCGGAAGAATATTCCGGGATTGACTAGGATAATTCCCCCATCCTCACAGCTGAACGTTTTATTTATTTCTGAGTTTAAATTGCAACTCTTGGCTGGAGAACTCCCAGGGTACAGATGTAATCAGATACAACATTAATTAAATAGCAAACCGACTGGTCACCATGGCAATTAGGAGGGTGGTGGGAATCAGTACCAGAAACAAGGAGCCACGAAGAGGAAGATTTGGAGCAAGGAAGTCTCTGTCAAGTTTCTCTTGGGAGAAACCCACAGACCAGGAGAGCAGTCATCCCTTTTATCTCCTGTTTGCTGGGGGGGCCCTGGAGATGCTATACCTGGAGGTGAATAGGTCTGACCTTCCAGTCAAAAAATACCCCCGCCTTTTCCATGGTAAATTCTCTGTGCTGGGCACGCAGACATCTGAGACTTTACCATATCTGAGATCTCATCCAGCATAGCCAGCAGGATGGGAGAAGAAAGTTGACCTTCACCGGACATCTCACATGCACATGCTAATATACAATGAACCTGTTGGCAATTTCTTATGGTTCCACTGTAATATGCCTGCGCTTCCACAGAAGCGCTCTTGTTTAACTTTGCAATAATTCTTTGAGAAAGGTGCCTGAAGTTTTATCATCCAGACCAGGAAACTGAGGGTCAGACAAGGTTTGTGATTTGGTCACCAGGCAGCTGAATGGCTCACAGAGGGCTTAAATCAAGGTCTGTTGGGCTCTTAAATCTGTGCCATGAGACACACCTTTTACAGCACAGATGGTTCAAGCCTGGGGCATTGAGCAGACACATCTACAGGATGCTGCACCCAGAACTTGAGTATGGACCCAAGCCTAATTTCATAGGCAAGAAATTAATGCAACTCATATGCAGCAGGAAAGTGCTTAGCAGCTTCAGGCAGGCTCCCTACTGGTTGTTTGTCCACAGAAAGGCCACTTAATAGTTTCCACAGCTGTGCAATAGGATAAGGAAAGAGTTGGCCCTCTGTGTCTAAAAATTCCACATCTCTAGACCCTCCCACCAAATGCAGATCAAAAATATTAAAGAAAAAAATAACAGTGTGACCATAAAAAATATTACAAATAAAAAATACAGCATATCAACTATTTACATAGGCTTTGCATGGTGTTAGGTATTTATAAGTGATTTAGAGATGATTTAAAGTATCCCGGAGGATGAGCACGGGTAATAGGCAAATGCTAAGCCATTTCACACAAGGAACTTGAGCATCCTCAGACTCTGGTATCTGATTGAAGAAGGGTGGGTGCAGTGGGGTTCCTGGAACCAGTCTCCCGAGGATACCAAGGAACAATCCTAGAGCTTTCTTCATAGCGCTCTCGAAGTTTATTTGTGTAAGGCCTGGCATGGAAGAAAGACTCACTGAAACTTAGATACTGCTATTCCTACTCTATTCATTCAGTATGTGAACTATGACTTAGCATGAATTTAGATGGTCTAGAGTCTGATGAGCTATGATCCTGTGCCCCTGGGCTCACGGTAAGAAGACCATGTCCTTCCCAACGTCACTCCAGTTTTTTCCTTTATCCTTGGGGATAAAACGTGAAACTCATAATTAAAACGAGGTTAACAATTACTGTTGCTTTTTGTTAATCAGGTGTTTTTCTGTTGAGGGAATTTTGTGGAAATGGAAATTCTAATAAGAGTGATCATGGAGAAACAATATGATTTCCTTGTGGAGGTTCCTAGAATATGTGAGTTTCTCTCTGTGAATTAACTCATTCAAAAGTATTTTCTGAACATTTATTAAGTACTCAGAGAGTCACTGGTGTTATGGGAAACATACAATATAAAATACAGTTCTTGACTTCAAGTAACTAGACTTATTTGGAGAAGCAAAATTTGAAATAATTGGTTGTCATTACAAATGATCTTGATACAGACGACAAGAGCTGGAAGAATTCAGACATGATGTCAGTAGCCTCGTCTGTGAATGTGATGACTGGACAAATTGGGATTGGCTTACTATGGCTTTTGGGCCAAATCTGGCTTGCTGTCTCTTTTGTATGACCTGAGAGCTAAGAATTGGTTTTGTGTTTTTTAATAGCTGGTAAAAAAGAAGAATATTTAATGACATGTGAGAATTACAAGAAATTCAAATTTCGCTGTCCACAAATAAAGTTTATTGGAACACAGCCATGCTTATGGTGTATGGCTGCTGTTTTGCTATGACAACAGGCTTGAGCAGTGGCAATGAAGACCATATGTCCTGCAAAACCCTGACTCTATTACCCAGACTCTATTAGCCATTTACAGAAACAGTTTACTGACTGCTGGACTCAATGTCTGCTAACGTCCATTTCAGCTCCAACACTACCTCCTTCTGTGATTAGAGAATCAATAGCCATGTGTTTTTCTTTCAAGAAAACTCAGATGAACATAGGCAAGTGAGGGCATACACTTTGTGTTGTTACAGCAGAAAGATAGTGGTCTGCCCATGATCGCAGAAACAGAGAGATGGTGCTGGTTAGGATGTGCTGGTGTTTCCTGGTGACCTACCTGGATTTAAAGTTTGGCACTGAGGCAGCCATGATGCCATGATTGCTACGTTGAGAGCAGACGATGGCAGGGGAGGGTCTGGTGGGACTCAGGGTCAAGTGAGGAACAGGTGCAGTTGGACCCAGGGGGCTAAGAGGGCCTTGGCAGCCAGCCTGGCTTACCTGTGGCAATCACAGTCTATGTTATGCTCCTGACATTCTTATTTCCTGCCTTAGAACACTGTTTTCCTGTTGATCCTTGCAGAAATCTAGAAACCCAGAAATCTCTCACAGGTTCAGAGAAGCACAGAAGGAATGGAACTCTTAGGCCATCTCAGCCATTTTCTGGTCAGAGCCAACTGAACTTCTACCAAACAGCTTCTTGGCTTTTCCTCCTTGTCTCTCTACAAGGTAAAATTAACATGTTCTTCAAGTCAAGATCATTAATACTTTACAGAGTTGGAGACTAGGACTAGACAAGGAAAATACTCATTTTAGTTACATGAAATACCCAAAGCATTCAGACTCCTGCTCAGAATGATTGCTATTTGATTGAGCCAATGCTCCATTGCACAGTACCTCATAGGTCTGATAGCTTCGCCAGACACTGATTACATTTTAGATATTTTCATCATTACTTTTACTTTCATATCCTCCCTTAGAAGTCATAGATGAAGTGGAATATAATTTTTTTAAGTACTCAATTTCTGTAAGAGATCATGAGGCATAATTTTTACCAAGTCACAAGAACTTTGGGGCTCATAAAAGGAAAACAGCTGTCTCTCTGTCAGGCATCAGTGGCAACTAAGGGTGTGATTTCAGCTTGGAGAATCTAAACGTGGACAGAAGGCTCTTGAAGAGGTGTTCAACATGGTATCAATAGCATTTCTAGGATGACTGGGAACTCATAGTGCATTTTCTATGTGAACATACTACAGATAATATTTTATGAGTGAATAGAGCTTCAGAGTTTTCAACACTGATAGGTATCATTAATTACACATTAATGCTTCCGATTCCTGACATTGCAAATGAAATAGTTGAGCAGGTGCCTCTTATTTTACCGAGTTTGGGAAATTACAAGGTAAAGCAATAGTAGTTGTACCACCAATACGTAGACGTTACCAGTGGCAGGCACTATTCTAAGAGCTCTATGTGTATTAGCTTATTTCAATTTCCTCTGTGACCTTATGGAGCATATACTGCTGTTATCTTTGTTTTGCAGACAAGGCAGCAGAGACACAAAGAGGTCAAATATTCATCCAAGTTCATACAGCTTTTACGTGGTGAAGCTTTTGTTTAAACACAGGCATCATCACTACAAAGACTCTGCCCTGCTCTTCCACAAAGGAGCTTTGTCAAGCTAATCACAAGTTTCTGCCAATTTACTGAGAGTGATGTCCTTGTCTAACCAAACATTTCCCATCATGCAAATAAGAGATGTAATCAATAAGAGGTCCAAATAACTACAGATCTATGGTTTACATAGTAATGTACATATTTGAACATCATTCCAATTCCCATTGTACTGCCTGCTCCATAACTTATTTAAAAAACATCAGTATGGTCACTAAGATGTATGACGGGTGTAAAAATCCACTTTGATCTACTACCTGGGAGCAGTTTGCTAGCAGTTGAAGTGCCCTAGCCAGGTGCTTCAGAGGCAGTTAATATTTGCAGAACCCAATCAAGAATCTACACTCCAGGGGGCTTCTGTAAGCACCTCACATATCAGTCTCCAAATGTATGTCAGGGAGTTTTAAAAACAGCATAAAAGGTTGGGGCTCAGTGGCAGGTTCCTGCAGTCCCAGCTGCTCAGGAGGCGAAGCCAGGAGCACACAAGTTTGAGGCCAGCCTGGGCAACATAGTGAGAGCCTGTCTCTAAAGAAAAGTAGCATAAGTGTCATTAATGTCTAATGGTTCCAGCATATTGCTTTCTTAGATAAAAAGATGGTGTGCTAGATTTTCTTCATCTGCGTCGAACCGTCCAAGGCTGCCGCTATTCACTGAAGACTGTACCAGTTATCGATGGTCACAACTGGCTCTGGTCTGTTCACAACACGCAGGAAGCAGGTACTCAGCACACTGGGTATCAGCGTGACACAAGGCACACAAAGTGTACAACATATCTAACGTGTCATGAATGTAAATTAAAGCCAATATGCAAGTTTCACGTGAAGTGTTACTTAAGTTTGTTCTGCTTTCATGGGATTTAGAGAGTTTATGGGAATCTGGATGAACAAAGAGTTCCCTTTTCTTTTGGTGAATGTGCCCCCTGTGGAAAACAGACCCTGAAAACCATTCCACGATCCCCAGGAGGGCTTTCATTTTAATAATGTGTTTTCTTCCATGAAAGTGTGAAAATCCACTGTGATCTACTACACTGCACTACTACTCCTACACACTCTCCACCTCCTTGAATACTCAAGACAATAAAGCATGGAATTGCCCCACCCCCAAAATTCATTAACTCAAATTTATCTGCCTGGGGCCCACCTGACCTTTTGCTGGTACCTCTTAGAGCACTTCATTGGAACAGAAAACTATTAGGTCATGAGTGCTGACTCTTTAAAGATGCTTTGAGAAACTATAAAGAAGTGCAAAGCAGGCCTTGCCTCACGCTGGCCTTGCAGTCCCTAGACATGAGCAGGACACACAGATGGAGGGTAATGGTCACACCACCAGGGTTTGGTGCTCATCCAGCAGGACTGAGGGCCCTAGCTTAGGAAAGGCTCTGCTCCTTGTACAGTGGGCCTGACTACATCGCTAATGAGAGCATTCTGAGTTCCAACTCAAGAGGCACTAAACCCCTCTCCAGCAGCAGCAGTTCTGGAAGGAAGTCCTTTCTGGCCAGACTAGCCACATCCCCACTTCCTCCATGCTGGCCACCCAGTGAAGGTGGCAGTTAGTGTGGGACAGTGAAGACAGTCTCTCTTGGGGGCTCCCAGGTAGGTGGAACCAGGACGGTGGCTCCGTGGGGACTGTGGCAAGGGCTGTGACTGGGAGAAGGGGGCCTCAGGAGTCAGGGCAGGGCTGCAGAAAATGGGGAGGGTGCCATGGAGTCCAGGCGAGGGCGGTGGACTGGGCAGGGTGGAGCAGAAGTGAGTATTGTTGGCAGGAGACTTCCCAGCAGCTACTCCTTGTCAGGGGCTGCCTGACTGCATGGGTCCTAGAACCACGCAAGGGGAACTAGTGCCAGGGGCAGCTTCGAGAGTCTCATCTAACATGATTCCTGCTGACATGCACGGGGAAATGCTTCCGTGCCAAACTGGGTCTCCTGATCTGATCACATTTTTCAAGTACTTTTATGTTCTTGACTAGTTAAGGAAAATCCAGCCCTGGAATTTCATCCATGCCAAACCAGATATGAAATAAATACCCTTCGGGCCCTTTTCTCACTTTCCCTGCCATCCCAGGCTGATGACTCCAGGCTGAGCTCTATAAATATCTTCTCGAGTTCATCATCCCTCACTCTACCTCCACTGCCCTTTGAGGGGATAAGATCTTTTATATACATAAGGAAAGATGTTGTCCTCCAATGACCCTAACATGTTCCAGCTTTCCACAGGGCTGTGAGTCATTCCATGATAATGGCATATCACTGAATAATTATATGTATTTTGGATATGCATATGCATGTGACTGCTTTGGTAAAAGAAGTATGGATGACTCATTGTTTAGCTGAAATATTTAATAACTTAAAGTCATTATTAGCAAATTATTGGCCAAAAATTCTGTGCTGTCCCACTATAGCTCATGCATATGATGATAACGAAGATGACTGAGACCATCCTGGCTAACACGGTGAAACCCCACCTCTACTAAAAATACCAAAAAAAAAAAATTAGCCGGGCATGGTGGCAGGCGCCTGTTAGTCCCAGCTACTCAGGAGGCTGAGGCAGGAGAATGGTGTGACCCTGGGAGGCGGAGCTTGCAGTGAGCCGAGATTGCGCCACTACACTCCAGCCTGGGTGACAAAGCAAGACTCCATCTCAAAAAAAAAAACAAACAAAAGAAAAACAAAGAGTAATTTATAAACAAAGAGTGGCAGCTGGAAACACAATCAACCATGTAATGGCGGTAACAAAGAACTTTCATCAAAACTTGGAGAATTCCAACTCTTTGCCCATATGCCTACATACTAGGAACTTTGCAAAATTACTGAGCCCTGCATCAAAGTGCACATTCTTAACAGAACACTCACTCACAGGCCTCAAAATCTTCATCTTCAGTAACATCTTACGTTTAGTTTATGAATAAACAAACTTTAATAAACTTTAAAAAGTTGTAGGACTCTATTAAGCTGTCTTTAGTTTTTATTAAAATCAAAATTCGATGTAATTTTATGACATTTTCCCAGAAGAATAAAATGAAGATATGCATTTTGCTTATCAAAATCAGTTTGTGGCCACCATGAGCCACAGGACTCTCTTTAGAGAATCAGCAAGACAGATACACTGAGTTCACAGCCAGTGATGAGTTCACAGCCAGTGCTGAGTTCACAGCCAGTGTTGAGCTCACATTCTGGCATGTGGGCGACTGCTTCAGTAAACTGGAGCTTTTCCCACTTTGTGTGTTTAAAGCTTAGGTCAAGGGTTGGAGACTCCCAGAAGCCTCTATGGCTGCCCACCTCTTCTCTTCCTCAGTCTCCAATATTTTGCAATGTTTAGTATGTTTAAGATCCTTTCTGGGAAACAAAACAAATCAATAAGGCATTTTTCTGCCAACAAGCTATGGACTGCAGTGGCTGTTTCCCACGTACACAGCTTATCTTCTTAGAACTAACATCTCCAAGCAAATGAGCCCCTCTGCAAATGCTTTAGGGCATTTTCATTCTAATCTCCCCCCACCCCCTAACTTTTTTAAAGGAAGTGTTTGGAATTGAAACAGTTAAGTCACAGAGTAGGCAAAAGCGATCATCAAAGTTTACTTTCCCATTATTAAAAAAGGAAGCAAGAATCCTCAGGGCTCCTGTGCTCCCAGCCTCAGAAATCTAAGCATCAGCATATAAACCTTCCAGGGAACAACACTAAGTAGATTAAGCTGCCACATCAACTGTGATTGATTTAAAATATTTAGGGCTCTGTTATCACATCAACACAATTTCGTGTAAATGCCTTGAAGAAAAAAGTCCTTTCAATGGATTTGCTAAAGCAAAAGCTTAATGTGAATGGCAAAGCAATGAACTTTTTATTTTATTAAGAAGATACTAAAAAAGATATTTTAAATCTCCTGGTTATGGATTTTTGAGGGAGATTAGTCCCAGAGAATGCCTAGGCTCTTGCAGCCAAAATTCTAGGGGCCCTTTCTCTTAGGGACGGGGGACACACCTTGGGTTCATTATTATTTGCACTGATCTCTCTTGAATTTTCAGGTCAGACAATTTCTGCCCTGTGGCAGAATGACCACCTGGGTAACATTGCCTTGATATCTATGCCATTTTTTTCTTTTTTAAACATCTTTTTTCCTTTGTGATAAAAATACTACTAACAAATAATTACAATAATAGTAATAAATACATAATTATTGTTATTTTTATTGTGATAAGAAACAACAGCAGCAACTGTCCCTTGCTGACCATGTCATGTGCTGCACGTATTCCACTCCAAGTCTCACACAGTCCTCAGGAAGTGTAGTGTTTGGGGCATTCTTCCCATGTACACATGAGCATGTTGAGGTCGATGGAGTGGAAGACCCTTGTCATGTCCCGTGACTGGGCCAGGTCTCCTCCCTGGGTCCCTGCAGCTCCACAGCCTTACTTTGAACCACTCATGTTCTGATCTCCAGCCCCTGGGTTCCCTTCCCTATCCAGATATTGAGCTGATCTCACACCCAAGCAAAAGAGCTGTTAGTGGGATCTCAGATATCAGGGAGCAAACAGGACCCAGTTTTCCAGTTGCTCCTAGGTATAAGGCCTTTTTCTCACAAAAGGGCAGCACACAAGGGGCTTTAGAGTCCTCATTGTCAACAGTCTACTGAGTCCAGGGGGCAGGCAAGCCCCAGAGGCTCAGGGATTGCACCCCAGGCAGAGGTGCAGCCCCTCCGGAGCTTCCCTTTGTGCTGCTGCCTGTACCTCTTTGGTGGAGCTGGGGACATCTCCGGGCACACCATTTCTAGGGCTGTTTCTGCACAGAACAGGCATAACTACAGCAGACTGTGTCCCCTCTTTCATTCCAGTGGCTTTTTCAGGTGTAGCCAAGGACTCATGTGACAATAAAATCTCAGGGTTGATTCTCCTGGGGCTCAGAAGGAAACTGGACTCTTCAGCATGCTCTGAGCACCGGCAGCCACATTGGAATAAACATGGGGCTTCCATGGTGACCACACAGGGAAGGACAGCCTCATGTGGATGCTTGGGTTCCAGTATGTCTGTTAGAGAATGGGCTGCTTAGCCCCCAGGACCGTGGCAGTCTCTGGAAGACAGATTTAGGGAGAAAGCCCTTGGAAAGGGACTTGTAGGAATATTCTAGACTGATGGAAATGGTCTATGTCTTGACTGGGGCTATATAGTATATACATTTGCCAAACTCATCAAACTGTCCTTCTGATGTACATTTTATTATGTACAAATTATACCTCCATTTACAAAAATTAAAAATCAAGTCATAGAACTTTATGGCTTCAGAGAAATTATCCTAGGAGGTAACACTAAGCTTGCATATCCATCTGCTTTATAATTTATGATGCATAAAGCCACTAAAATGCAGAATGAGGCATGCACAGCACTAGGAGAAAGTGATACTGGCTTGAGAAAGCACCCAGAATCTCCCTGACCCTCCCTTGACCCAGCCTAGCAGGGTGAGTTATTGCTGTGACCACACGGTTTCAGGCCAGGAGGCTGAGAAGAGCTTGGGTTGTTCATCAGCCCCATGCTGGAAAGCATACGGTTACTGTAGCCACATGTGGAATTCAAAAAAGGTAATTACCCTGAGCTTGGACAACGCCTTTCCCCAATAAATATTCCTTACCTTGTGTAAACTTGGGCCAATTATTTAACCTAACCATGCCTCATCTATAAAATAGAACCTTGTTATGACAGTACTATGAACTGAATGTCTGTGTCCCCCCAAATTCATATATTGAAACCCAAATCCCTAAGGTGATGGGGTTAGGAGGTGGAGCCTTTGTAAGGTGATGAGGTTATGAGGGTGTTGCCCCTATGAATGGGATTCATGCCCTTATAAAGAGATAAAAAGATAAAAAGATTTGTGCCCTTATAAAGAGATAAAAAGACCAGAGCTCTCTCTACTCTGCCAGGTGAGGACATAAGAAGACAGCCATGTACAAGTGAGGAGGAGAGCCCTCACCAGACAGTGGGTCTGCCAGCACCCTGATCTTGGACTTCCCAGGCTTCAGAGCTGTGAGAAATACATATTCATTGTTTAAGCTACCTAGTCTGTGGAATCTTGTTATATCTTGTTACAGCAGCCTGAACAAACTAAGACAGAGGGTGGAATGAAGTAACAGAAAACAAAGTGCTTCCAGCAGTGCCTGACAGCTAATAGCAATCAATACCTGGTTGTTATTGTTACGATGAAGGGTCATGAGCATGGAGACAGGTTATCAAAGTTTAAGAAGAGAGCTTCCCCCTCTGACTTCTAGTTATTTAATAATGTATACAGCATGAGTCTTCTGGTGCCAAAGGCAAACCAGTGGTAGAAAATGTCCAGCAAGGTGGAGGCGCTCTCAGCAGCAAGTCACTCTGATGATTTATTTGGAAAGATGCAACTCATTCTTTCTTTTCCAACTGTCCCCTTCCCAAGGCAAAACGAGGCACTTATGTCTTGGAGTGGGGTAGAGACACATGCATTTGCAGTCCCTGAGCGTTCCCAGAAGTCACCTCCTGACATAATAAATCTCCCATTAACGAGCCTCCTGCCCTTCAGGGATGAATTGCAGAGCTCTGCAAAGCCCAAAGCCAGCACACCTGTCCCAGGTGAGTGCACAACACTGCAGGCCCCTGACAACAGCCTGATGCTGTTCTCTGATGCTGATCAGCCTGATCCCAAAAGCTCTAACAAAATCTTTTAAATTTTGCAGAACCTCAAGAAACTGGAGTTTAATTTACAGTTAAAGTCAAAGAAAAATGAAAAAGAACCCAACTCCAATGTAGCAGCAGCAGCAACCACAAATCTTCCTTTTTTCTCTCTGTGCACATCTTACCTTCATACAGCCAGTCACTGAGGCCATTGTAAATCACACCTTCCTTGCCAGTGGAGACCACACGGATGGCCTGTTTCCCGACATGTGCACAGTAGTAGATATTGTTTTCAAAAATAAATATCTAATTTGGAAAGAGAAAAAAGCATAATATTAAGCAAGGAAGTGGTTATAAATAGGCTGTTCTTAAAAAATCTGAAATCATCAACCGGGTTTTCATTTTCCTGTTGTATTTATTAGACAGAACAAAGGCAGTCTCAAAATTCTTGGAGGTCTACCCACCTCGAACAGAATATACCTGTAAGGATTAATCAGAGGCTGAAATTCCACATTCTTCACCCAATGTTATCACTTACCATGACTGGACAATTTGTGGTCTGATACTTCTAGCTACTTAAAATCTGATATGGTTTGGATTTGTGTCCCCGTCCAAATCTCATGTCAAATTGTAATCTCCAATGTTGGAGGCTGAGCCTGGTAGGAGGTGACTGGATCATGGGGCTAGATTTCTCCCTTGCTGTTCTCATGATAGTGAGGGAGTTCTCACAAGATTTGGCTGTTTAAAAGTGTGTAGCCCTCCCCCTGTGCTCTCTTCCTCCTCCTCCAGCCATGTAAGTTGTGCCTGCTTCCCTTCACCTTCCACCATGATTGAAAGTTTCCTGAGGCCTCCCCAACCATGCTTTCTATGTAGCCTGCAGAATCATGAGTCAATTAAACCTCTTTTTAAAATAAATTACCAAGTCTCAGGTAGTTCTTTAGAGCAATGTGGGAATGAAT
The DNA here is from genome assembly GCF_000001405.40 of Homo sapiens. Taxonomy (NCBI): domain Eukaryota; kingdom Metazoa; phylum Chordata; class Mammalia; order Primates; family Hominidae; genus Homo; species Homo sapiens. The sequence continues at coordinate 154,727,113 of NC_000007.14, read as the reverse complement.
ACAGAAAACTGGTACTGAGAAGGGGCCATTCTTACAAAGATACCTGAAAATGTGGAAGTGACTCTGGAACTTGGTAATAGGCAGAGGTTGGAACAGGTTGAAGGACTCAGAAGACAGAGAGATGAGGGAAAGTTTGAAACTTCCTAGAGAATTGTTGGATGGTTGTGACCAAAATGCTGATAGTGATATAGACAATGAAGTCCAGGCTGAGATGGTCTCAGATGGAGATAAGGAACTTATTGAGAATGGCAGCCAAGGTCACTTTTGTTATGCATGAGCAAATAGATGATTGGAAACTGGAATTTATATTTAAAAAGGGAAGCTGAGCATAAAAGTTTGGAAAATTTGCAGTCCGACTATGTGGTAGAAGAGAAAAACTCACTTTCTAGGGAGGAATTCAAGCCTGCTACAGAAATTTGCATAAGTAAAAGGAACCAAATATTAATCACCAAGACAATAAGGAAAACGCCTCCAAGGCATTTCAGAGAACTTTGAGGCAGCCCCTCCCATCACAGGCCTGGAGGCCTAGGAGGAAAGAATGGTTTCATGGGCCGGGCTCAGAGTCCCACTTCTCTGTGCAGCCTTGGTGCCCTGCATTGCGCCCACACCAGCTCCAGCCATGGCTAAAAGAGGCCAAGGTACAGCTCAGGCTGTTGCTTCAGAGGGTGCAAGCCCCAAGTCTTGGTGGCTTCCACTTGGTATTAAGCCTGTGGGTGTGCAGAGTGTGAGAGTTGAGGCTTGGGAGTATCCACCTAAATTTCAGGATGTATGAAATGCCTGGAAGTCCAGGCAGAAGTCTGTTGTGGGGTGAAGCCCTCATGGAGATCCTCTACTGGGGCAGTGCAGAGGGGAAATGTGGGGTTGGAGCCTTCACACAGAGACCCCACTGGGGCACTGCCTAGTGGAGCTGTGAGAAGAGGGCCACTGTCTTCCAGACCCTAGAATGGTAGATCCACTGACAGCTTGCAGCATGCATCTGGAAAAGCCCCAGGCACTCAATGCCACCCTGTGAAAGCAGCTGAGGAAGCTGAACCCTGCAGAGCTACAGGGCAGAGTGGCCCAAGATCATGGAGACCACTGCTGTATCAGCATGCACTGGATATGAGTCATGGAGTCAATGGAGATCATTTTGGAGCTTTAAGATCTAATGACTGCCCTGCTGGGTTTCAGACTTGCATGTGGCCTGTAGCCCTTTGTTTTGGCCAGTTTCTCCCATTTGGAATGGGAGTATTTACCCAATGCCTGTGTCCCCATTGTATTTTGGAAGGAACTATCTTGCTTTTGATTTTACAGGCTTATAGGCAGAAAAAACTTGCCTTGCCTCAGATAAGACTTTGGACTTGGACTTTTGGGTTAATGCTGGAATGAGTTAAGACTTTGGGAGATTGTTGGGAAGGCATGATTGTATTTTGAAATGGGAGCAGGACATGAGATCTGGGAGGGGACAGGAGTGGAATGATATGGTTTGGATTTGTGACCCCACCCAAATCTCATGTCAAATTGTAATCCCTAATATTGGAGGTGGGGCCTGGTGGGAGGTGAATGGATCATGGGGGTGGATTTTCCCCTTGCTCTTCTTGATAGTGAGTGAATTCTCATGAGATCTGGCTGTTTAAAAGTGTATAGCACTCCCCCTTCACTCTCTTTCTCTTGCTCCCCCATGTAAGATGTGCCTGCTTCCCCTCTACAATGATTAAAAGTTTTCTGAGGCCTCTCCAGCCATGCTTCCTGTACAGCCAGCAGAACAGTGTGTCAATTAAACCTCTTTTCTTTATAAATGATCCAGTCTTGGGTAGTTCTTTAGAGCAATGTAAGAATGGACTAATACAATATCAAATTGGATTATTTTTGCAATCCAATTTTTCCTAGCAATTAAGATTGACGGGCTGGGACACTGTAGTTCTGGGTTTTATTCATTCAACAACATTCATTAACAATTATGCAGTGGGCACCTACTCTGCAGTCATGGGGGATCACAGTGGTAAATAGGCGAGAACTCCAATGCGCCTTTATTCTAGTCACAATCTGTAAAAAGGCCAGACTCTAAGCAGGACAGTGGTCTGATAGGAAGATTGTGGAGTTCTGGAAACACAAAACAGAGCTGCCTAACTCAGGCAAAGGGCAGGCAAGGTCTTTCTCAGAAAGCTATTGAAAAAAATTTACTGTTCTGATAAAATATGCATTACATACAATTTGCCATTTTAACCATTTTAAGTGTCCAGTTCAGTGCATTAAGTATGCTCATATTTTTGTGCAACCATCACCACCATCCATCTGCAGAACCTTTCCCTCTTCCCAGACTGAAACTCTGTCCCCGTTAAATACTATTGTAACTCCCCATCCCTCCCCCAGCCCCTGGCACCCCTACTCTACTTCCTGTCTCTAGGGGTCTGACAACTCCAGGGACCTCATACAAGCGGAATCATACAGGAGGGGCAAGATGGGATACTCAGGAGGCCAGGAGCCAGCTCCTGGAGGGTCTGGAAGCCACATTAAGGTGTCCCAAAGGCAATGGGAAGCCCCTGACAGAGGTGTGAGTAGGAGGCAACATGTTTACACTCAAGTCTCCTGAAGATGAGTATGGAGGCAGATGGTGTGGCGAAGAGAAGGGAGCCAGGCCTCAAATGAGAGGAGCCTGTTGCTATCATCTGAGGAGCACTAACCATGGAGATGGAGAAGGATCAGCCATTGAGACTATGAGAAGAACCCATTGACCATGGGAAGTGACCTGAGGTCTGGGGTGAAGTTGTGGGATGAGGCAAAGTTGTTCTCAAACTGATCTCTTGGGCCACTGGGTGATAGAGAACCATCTGCAGAGTTGGGGTACACTGGAAGATATTATAATTCTGACCTTGGGCAAGTCGCCCCCTCTCTGGGGAGGAGGGGGAGATGGTCTATGTTGGTGGTCCTCAGATTTTGATACATATTACATGGCCTGGGGAGCTTTTGAAAAACCTAATGCACAATCCACCAGACCAACCCAAAGTCAGAATCTCTAGGAATGGAATCCAGGCATCAGCATTTTAAAGAAACATCCCAGGTGATTACAATATGCAGCCAAATTTGAGAACCTGTGACCCAGGAACCACCTCATGTCTCCTGAAGCTCCTAAGCTATAAATTGTCCTACACAATGCATTTTCTGGTGCATGGATCAATTCTGCCCTGGGTTTTCTGTCTCTAAACTCTCTGCCCACATCCTTATGGGTACCTCACAAACTGATGCAGCCCAGACTGCAAATACCCAGTGTCTACAGAAATCAGGCATGCGGACCAAGAGTGGGGATCAAACCAGCTGTTTTCTTTTAGGAAATTCTAGGAAAAATATTGCAGTGTCATTTAAGAGACTATGGAGGGAAGGTATTTTGCATAATACAGGAAATGGCATGAATATGGAATTTTTTTTACTGAAAATATGAAAAAGGCAGTTTCTCCAGATTGTTCCCACAGAGGGATGGATCTGAAAGCAGTGGCAAATATTTGTTTTCTGCTCAGCCCTCCTGGTTCTTCAAGGATTCACTTCAGCCAGAAATGAGGTGGAAAACTTCCAGAAACAAGTATACAACCTAATTTAATTTCAGCAGCTGTTCTTATGAGTTTGCCTAAGGGTAAGATGTATTACTAAGTTTTAGCTTTTTTTTTTTTTAAAAATAAATGTGTTGTAAGCCTACAATGGATTTTTGAATCAAATCAGACCATAGCCAATTATTATTTTCAGTTAGTAAAGTTTGCTATGATGGATATTAAATCCTCTTTTTTTGCTTTGGTTTTATTTCTAATGGAAGGAAAATGAAAGAACAAGCTATAAAGAAGAGTGTATTTTGCTTTGAAGATCTTTCACATTTTCCTTTTTTTGAGAGAAAGGAGTCTTGCTCTGTCACCCAGGCTGGAGTGCAGTGGCTCAGTCTCAGCTCACTGTAAACCTGTTTCCTGGGCTTAAGCAATCCTCCCACTGAGCCTCCCAAGTAGCTGGGACTACAGATGCCAGCCACCACTCCTGGCTAATTTTTGTATTTTTTGTAGATGGGGTTTTGCCATGATGCCCAGGCTGGTCTCAAACTCCTGAGCCCAAGTGATCCACCCACCTCAGCCTCCCAAAGTGCTGGGATTACAGGCATAAGCCACTGTGCCTCACATTCTCCTTTTGATATTCAGATTAAGATATCTGAAGAAAAGAAGATGGAAGGCATCAAGTTCTGCCTGTGGTTTTGCGATGCTAACCCCCAAGAGGCTGAGAAATCCTGGATGCTGAGATCAAATATTGGGTGAGTGACTGAATTTTTACTTTTTATCCACCATGTGCATGGCTGGCAGAGCACTCAGGCTCCTCTGAGTTCCTGAGATTCTTGTTCCTAAAGGGACTTGAAGCCTCCCTACGTGTGGCCTTCACTATCTGGATTAGTCCACGCACCATCCCCAAGGCCTCACCCCACCCACCTGGAGCCACTCACAACCGTGGGCCACCCTCACTCAACTCCCTGCCTCCTGCTGCCGCCCCTGATTTATCTCATACGTTGCACACCAGATTTGTCTTTACTGAAACACGATTTTTCTCATGTATTTTTTAAAAATCTGAAATAACTTTCTGCTTACTTCAGAATAAAGTTTAAATCTCTAGTCTGCGACCCAAATCCCTCCAGAATCAAGATGTAACTTTCAGTCCTGCAGAAGTCATTGAGGTCCCATGATTCAGGGTTAGGGATGTCATTGGCCCTAAGGAGTTCCCATTCACAGTGGGAATCTGGATCTAACCAGCTCAGTGTGCTCCAGACTACACGATGGTGTCTGCAACACGTGCTGGGAGCACAGAGGATGTGCTGCATGGCCTGGGCCAGCTGCTGGACTGTTATCTGCCTCAGTTTCTCCATTTGTCAGCAGAGATAATAATAAAACCTCATCTTTTGTTGTTGTTGTTTTTGGAAGGCAGGGTCTTTCTCTGTTGTGCAGGCTGGAGTGCAGTGGTGTGATCATAGCTCACTGCAGCCTCAACCTCCTGGGCTCAAGCAATCCTCCTGCCTCAGCCTCCCAGGTAGCTGGGACCACAGGCACACACCACCACGGCCAGGCATCTATCTATATATCTATCTATCTGTATCTTTTTTTTTTTTTTTTGGTAGAGATGGGGTCTCACTATGTTGCCTAGGCTGGTCTTGAACTCCTGGCCTCAAGTGATCCTCCTGCCTTGGCTTCACAAGTGTTGGGATTAGAGGTGTGAGCCACTGTGCATGGCCAATAGAATCTAATCTTAAATGGATGTGAAGAGCAAGTGAGTCAACCAACTCAAAGTACGTAAAACAGTGGCTGGCCTGAATGAAGTAAATGCTCAGTCACATCTGTTGCTGTTACTGTCTCCCTTATAAAAAATCCATTCTCTCTGAAGGGGTTAGAACAGGCTTCAGAGGAGGTGTCATGTGAGCTAGAATGTTAAGGATTAATGCTTTTAATTATGATCAGGTCTAGCTTATCTACTTCTTTTTATTTTTTCTTTTATTTTTTATGCTTTTGGTGTCACAGCTAAAAATCCATTGCCAAATCCAAGGTCATGAACATTTCCCTTACGCTTCTATGATTTTTACAGTTTTCACTTATATTTAGGTCTTTGATGTATTTCGGGTAAATTTTTGTATATGTTGGGCAGACACTTCGAAAGTGCTTTATGAGCATTAACTCGCTTAATCTTTAAAAATAACCCTATGGGGCAGGTACTATCATTCCTGCTTTGTAGATGAAGACACAGGAGCACAGAGCTGTTAAGCAACTTGCCCAGCAGCTGGTGGGTCAGGGGTGCGGCTGGGATTGAAACCAGGTTGTACGAGGCAGTTAAATGCCTTGCCCAAGGTCAGCAGTTAGCGGAAGGAGGAGCCAGGATTGGACCTTACGCAGCAGGTTCCAGAACTTGTGGTCTGATAATTACAGCGTGTTGCAACTTGACAGCAATGTGCTAAATAAATGAAAAGTGTGATTTTTAACCAAAAATGCACCAGACCATAAACAGCTTTAATCAGGATGCCACCTCTCACATTCTCTTCCTCACTCAGAAGGAACCTGATGTCAGAAGCTCACACTCATGAGACCCATACAGAAGAACCAGGTGGGGACGGAAGGATGCCTCCCTGTCATTGTCACAGCATGTCTCCAGCAGACATGGCAGCTGCGTCAGCAGCTGGCCCCATTCTGCCCTCTTCTCGAGGCTTATTGGGGAAAGACCTCTTGCTGGGAGTTTTGTCGTCAGCTGCCCGGTGACTGCAGGCCCACACTGGCAGGAGACCCTTCTCACTGAAAGACCCATCAGTCAAGGACCCTGTCAGCTGGCTCAGCACTTGCATTCCGTTCTGGTGAAGGGGCTGCCCACCCCTTTTTCAGGATGGCCTTTGCCCTGTGGGCACTCAGCCAGTACCTGCATCTGCAATGGATTCTGTGGCCTCAACCCAACTGTGGCACTGGGGCCCTGCAGTGGGAGATGCTGTTGAAACACCCAAGCCCACTGTCCACTGGAACCCCTGCCATGCTGCAGCCGGGGGGCCCTGCCATCCTGGAGTGGGGCATGTGCTCTCTGACATGCTGGAGCGGGGCATGTGCTCTCTGCCATCCTGGAGCAGGGCATGTACTCTCTGCCATCAAACCTTGGTTCCTTCTTCCAGAAAACTTTTACAAGGTAAATGCTCAGGTCTCCCAAACATACTGAGATGTACATAAGGCCCAGGAGAATGATAACATCTGCTTTGTGGTCCTCATGTGTGACTATCCAGCCCCCACTAGTAAGTGATGGGGACACTCGCAGGCTTTTCCAGGACAGGCAAGGCCACTGTCTCCACTTCCTCCATGCTGCCCTGCCCTGGCGCCCTGCCTGGAAGCTCTGCCTGCTGGTGCCTCCTCTCCTGGGCATAGCACAGGTGTGTTCCCTCCTCAGTCCATCGATTCACTCTTCTCCTCACCCAAATGCTCTGTTTTCGTTGGCATCTATCCAGATCCTGCCCTCTTGTAAGCCTCTGCTCAGCTCTCAACCTTCCAGCAGGAAGCCTCAACAATCTCTCTCCGTCACAGACCTTCTGTGTTTATGCTGTACTCCCTCCTCACCAACAGAACAGATCCTACAGGCCGAGAGGTTCTGGGAAGCAGATGCAGGAGCATGGGGGAGAGGATAAGGGAGGTTGGACGTGGGCGCAGGATGAGGCCTGCTCTCCAGTCTGGTCCCTGGCACCCCCTGAAACCCACAGACAGAGGCCTTCACGTTGATGCTGAAGCAATGTCCACTCAAGCACAAGTGAGCTCTTTTCAGAGCAATGACAATCGGCACAGCCTCAGAAGACTCCGTTTCCCATTTCTGCTGAACACTAGACCACCACAGCTGATGGGGGCAGTGACCTGCGGAGAAGAGCAGTGACTCCAGGCCAAGGGAGGCAGGGGAACTGCATGCCGGGTGCCTGGCCTCCACGGAGGGCCCTGTCCAATGCCTGCTGGAAGCCAACTGTGCAGACTCGACTCTTTACAAATATTCAGTAGCCTCTGCAGACCTCACCAGTAGAGTGAGGTCTGTGTCAGGGCAGTGGGCAAATTCCTCAGCAGAGTGAGTCACATGAATCATTCCCACTGTGTATCCATACTTGACACCCCAGATTTCTCCTGTGGGATCATCTGGTCTTCTCCACTGACTAGATTTCAAATTTTATGAGAGCAGGGTCCACATGTCATTTTCCCTTTGAGTTCCATCCTCCCTTCCTTCCACCCCCGTGGCCACATTACTTCTGTGTATCTTTAATTTCAAGCAAATGGAAGGATGGAAGATTTGCTGGCATCCCCAGCCCATACAGCCCACTTTGGAGCCCCCAGATCCCAGCAGAACATCATTGCTCTGGAGAGGCTGGGATGTAACCAAGACAAGCCCGGCATAGATAACATCCAAGTGTAGGAAGCCCATCAATCACCCAAACACGCCGCCACAGTAGCCTCTGTACTCGAGTTTGAAGAACAAGAGAGAAGGAGTCATAAGCGATGGGAGAAGGCTACCACTCTCTGATTCACAACCAAAAAGAAAACATATGGAAAGTAGAATATCTGGAATTTTTGAAAGAGCAATGGGGTAAAACCTAGAAAGTCCCAAGATGTTCAGACACAAGAAGAGTGGTGCTTCTGAGCAGTGGGGGGATGAATCATTTCCTAGATGTGACCCAAAGGCAGAGAGATAAAGATCTTAAAGAAGAGGAAGACTCACTTTGGGAGGCCGAGGCGGGTGGATCACCTGAGGTCAGAAGTTTGAGACCAGCCTGGCCAACACAGTGAAAACCTGTCTCTACTAAAAACACAAAATTTAGCCAGGCATGGTGGTGGGTGCCTGTAATCCCAGCTACTTGGGACACTGAGGCTGGAGAATCACTTGAATCTGGGAGGTGGAGGTTGCAGTGAGCTGAGCTCATGCCACTGCACTCCAGCCTGGGCAACAAGAGCAAAACTCAGTCTCAAAAAAAAAAAAAAAAAAAAAAGGAGGAGGAAGTCTAAAACCCAGGCAAGCCAGCTTTAAAGAGGACCTCACTGTGGGTTCCACAGTGACTAAAGTTGGGGGGGGTGTGGGAGTAGAATAGAGACAAAAACTCAGAGCAAAGGGCTGAACTTTTAAAATTTTCATTTAGAAGTTTTATTCAAAGTAATCTTGACGTGAAGAATGAAATTAGACCCCAATTTCTCACCTCTTAAAAAAATCAACTCAAAATGGTTTAAAGACTTAGCCATAAGACCCAAAGTTATAAAACAACAAGAAGAAAGCACAGTGGAAATACTTCGTGTCATTAGTCTGGGCAAGGATTTTATAGAAAAGAACTCAAAGGCACAGGCACAAACACAAAAATAGAAAAAGGCGATTACAGTAAACTAAAAAGCTTCACACAGCAAAAGAAACAATCGACAGAGTGAAGAGACAGCCTGCAGAATGGGAGGAAATATCTGCAAACGACGCATCTGACGAGGGGTTAGTATCCATAATACATAAGGAACTCAAACAACTCAATAGCAAAAACCAAATCATTTGATTAAAAAATGGGCAAAAGAACTGAATAGACATTTTCCAAAAGAAGACATACAGATGGCAAACAGGTCTAGGAGAAAATCTTCAACATCACTAATCATCAGAGAAATGCAAATGAAAACAACAATGACATACCATCTCACCCCCGTTAGAATGGCTGTTATCAGAAAGACAAAAATTAACAAATGCTGGTGAGGATATGGATAAGGGGGGGCCTTTTATACACTGTTGGTGGAAATGTAAATTACTATAACCATTAGGGAAACAAGTATGGAGGTTCCTTAAAAAATGAAAAATAGAGCTACTATATGATCCAGCAATCATATGGTTGTATACTGGGTAGACATCCAAAGCAAATGAAATCAGTAAGCTGAGATACGTGCACTTCCATGTTCACTGCAGCACTATTCACAACAGGCAAGACATGGAATCAACCCAAGTGTCCATCGATGGATGAATGAATGTAGAAAATGTGGTATGCATGTATACAAGGAAATAGTATTTAGCCAAAGAAAAGAATGAAATCCTGTCATTTGCAGCAGCATGGATGAACCTAGAGGACACTAGGTTAAGTGAAATAAGCCAGGTACAAAAAGCCAAATGTCACATAGTCTCACTCATATGTGGCATCTAAAACATTGCTCTCATAGAAGTAGAGAGTAGAACGGTGCTGGGAAGGTGCTGGGAAGGGTGCGTGTGTGTGTGTGTGTGTGTTTGTGTGCAAGTGGGTAATGGGGAGAGACTGGTCAATGTTACAATGAGGTAGAAGGAATAAGTCCGAGTATTCCATTACACAGTTGGGTAATAATGGTTAACAATAATATATTGTCTATTCAAAATATCTAGAAGAGAAGATTTTGTGTGTTCTTACCACAAATAAATGATAAATGTTCGAGCTGATGAATCTGCTAATTACTGTAATTTGATAATTACACATTGTATACATGTATTGAAACATCACACTTATCTGGGTGTGGTGGCTCACACCTGTAATCCCAGCACTTTGGGAGGCTGAGGTGGGCAGATCACGAGGTCAGGAGTTCAAGACCAGCCTGACCAACATGAAGAAACTCTGTCTCTACTAAAAATACAAAATTAGCTGTGCGTTGTGGTGCACGCCTGTAATCCCAGTTACTTGGGAGGCTGAGGCAGGAGAATCGCTTGAACCTGGGAGGCTGAGGTTGCAGTGAGCTGAGATCCCACAACTGCACTGCAGCCTGGGCAACAGAGCAAGACTGTGTCTCAAAAAACAGCAACAATAACAACAAACAAACAAACAAAAATCACACTGTACCACATTAAATAAGTACAATTATTATGTGTAATCTAAAAAGAAAATAAAATTTTAAAAATGGCATAATATATTGAGCTATCTTGAAAACCATTCAGGAGAAAAAAAAAATGCTCTCTTTTTGAGTAAATTCTATGTCTGGAACCAACTAACCCATGCATCTGTTTACCTGACATTTGTTGATCATTAAAGATACCACATTTGATCAGGCATGCACCTGCTGTCCCACATCCAGGAGCAGCATATAATATAAAGGGGCAGTAAACTATAGCTGGGGGTGAAGAAGGAACGCTTTAGAGGAGGGGCCTGGAGAATTCATTCGGTGTGCATGGGAGAGAGTTGAAGGGAGAACTCTTCAGATGTCAGCATCCATGTGTGGAAAGGCTCACAGATCTGATGCATTTAGGGGACTACAAGTAGGTGGTAAGAGCTGTAAAATAGTAAGTGGGTAGGGATGCAGGGTGGTAAAAGACACAGCAAGAGTGGGGGACAGGTCAGGCTATGGGAAGCCTTGTGTTCCAGGTGGGAGAAGCCTTGTGTTCCAGGGAAGTTGGGGCTTCATTTTCTTTGTGATGGGTAAACTTGGAAAGCAAAGTCATAGAAGAGCCAGAAAATCAGATTTTCATTTCAGAAATATCACCATGACGGCTGAGGGGAGATGGGAGGCAGAAGTCTGGAGGTGGGGAGGCCTAAGAAATAGTGAAAGCACAAACTACAAAAATGAGATCTAAAAGAAGATGGATTTGAAAAATATTAGGATTCAGAATCTACAGGGTGTGGGTGTGTGGCGGGAACAGAAGGAAATAAATATGATTTCTCATCCTCACACCTAGGTGACAGAATGTACGGGTTACTAAGAATTAAGATGGGAAATGAAGAAGGAAGAGAAGGTTTGGAGAAGGAAGTCAGAGTGGAGTTTGGGCAGGTTGACTGTGAGATGCCTCTGAGACTTCCAGGTAGTTGCTCCATAGGCAACTGGAAGTTAGTGTTTAAAGAGAGACAGGAGACAGAGATGGCAGGTTCATCACCTATGGATGACAGGCAAAACCATATTTTATACAACATAAAGTCCCTCAAAACAAAGTACTTCTTGAGCAAAGCGTACAGCTGAGGGTGACAGCCAGGGGAACATCAATTTTCATCAGGTGGGTGGATGAGGTTCCATTTGGTGTCAGCACTCACACTGAAGTTCCTCACATTTGACGGCTGCAGGGTACCATTTGGGCTACTGCAGTCGAAAATTGTCTCATAATTCAAGTACTTAAAATAGCCTATCACAATCCCACTTCATCTGCATCATATTAGCAAGTGTTCCAATGATAAGGTCGGAAAATTGTACAAGTGTGTGATTCCTTGTCTGAAAAGTATATTGAAATTAAAGTAGGCCTCAATGTACATTAGCTCAACAAATATTCCTTTTTATAAAATGTTATCCTGGCTGGGTGCAGTGGCTCATGCCTGTAATCCCAGCACTTTGGGAGGCCTAGGCAGGTGGATCATCTGATGTTAGGAGTTCGAGACCAGCCTGGCCAACCAGGTGAAAACCCATCTCTACTTAAAAAATACAAAAATTAGCCAGGTATGGTGGCAGGTGCCTGTAATCCCAGTTACTTGGGAGGCTAAGGCAGGAGATTCACTTGAACCTGGGAGGCAGAGGTTGCAGTGAGTTGAGACCGTGCCATGGCACTCCAGCCTGGGCAACAAGAGTGAAACTCCATCTCAAAAAATAAAATAAAATAAAATAAGATAAGATAAAATAAAATAAAATAGTTATCATATTAGTCCTTCTTCTTCTGAGCCTACCAGGTAAAAGTGTGAGGGCCTCTGCTTGGGATTCAAAGCCATCACTAGCCTATCCCAAGTTATTTCTCATCCTCAATTTCTTTCTGCCAGACTCATCTCTTTGTTATTTCCCAAGTAAGCCCACTCAGTCTACCTTGGGCAAGCCCCCTCTGGGTATTTACAAAATACATGACATTTTCATTAGTTTCATTTTTAAAAATGAACATTTTAGCATAAATATGGCTTATACACTCAAGGTTATAGTAAATTCTGTGAAGGTTCAATTAACTGGATGATATGGTTTGGCTGTGTCTCCACCCAAATCTCATCTTGAATTGTAGCTCCCATAATTCTCATGTGTCTTGGGAGGGACCAGGTGGAGATAATTGAATCATGGGGCAGTTTCCCCCATCCAGTTCTCATGATAGTGAGTTAGTTCTCACAAGACCTGATGGTTTTATAAAGGGCTTTTCCCTTTGCTGGGCACTCATTCCCTCTCCTGCTGCCCTGCGAAGAGGTTCCACCATGATTGTAAGTTTCCTGAGGCCTCCCTAGCCATGCAGAACCGTGAGTCAATTAAACCTCCTTCTTTTATAAACTACCCAGTCTCAGGTATTTCTTCATAGCAGTGTGAGAACAGACTAATACAATAAATTGGTGCTACGGAGAGTGAGGTGCTGCTATAAAGATATCCCAAAATGTGGAAGCTACTTTGGAACTGGGTAACAGGCAGAGGTTGGAACGGGTTGAAGGGCTCAGAAGAAGACAGGAAAATGTGGGAAAGTTTAGAACTTCCTACAGATTAGAGGGCTCAGAAGACAGGAAGATGTGGGAAAGTTTGGAACTCACTAGAGACTTGTCGAATAGCTTTGATGAAAATGCTGATATTGAAGTCCAGGCTGAGGTGGTCTCAGATGAAGATAAGGAACTTGTTGGGAACTGAAGTAAAGATCACTCTTGCTATGCAAAAAGACTGGTGGCATTTTGCCTCTGCCCCAGAGATCTGTGGAACTTCAAATTTGAGAGAAATGATTTAAAGTATCTAGAGGAAGAAATTTGTAAATAACAAAGTGTTCAGGAAGAAGCAGAGAATAAAAGTTTAGAAAATTTGCCATCTGATGATGCGATAGAAAAGAAAATCCCACTTTCTGGGAAGAAATTCAAGTTGGCTGCAGAAATTTGCATAAGTAACAAGGAACCCAATGTTAATCACCAAGACAATAGGGAAAATGTCCCCAGGGCATGTCAGAGACCTTCATGGCAGCCCCTCCCATCACAGGTCTGGAGACCTAGGAGGGAAAAATAGTTTTCCTGGCCTGGACCCAGGGCCCCTCTGCTGTGTGCAGACTTGGGACTTGGTGCCCTGTGTCCCAGCCACTCCAGCCATCGCTAAAAGGGGCCAACGTACAGCTTGGGCCATTGCTTCAGAGGGTGCAAGCCCCAAATCTTGGCAAATTCCATGTGATGTTGGGCCTGCAGGTGCATAGAAGTCAAGAATTGAGGTTTGGGAACCTCCACCTAGATTTCAGAAGATGTATGGAAATGCCAGGATGTCCAGGTAGAAGTTTGCTGCAGAGGTGGGGCCCTCCTGGAGAACCTCACTAGGGCAGTGCAGAAGGGAAATGTGGGGTCAGAGCCCCCACACAGAGTCCCCAGTGGGGCACTGCATAGTGGAACTGTGAGAAGAGGGCCACCATCCTTCAGATCCCAGAATGGTAGATCCACCAATAGCTTGCCCCAGGTACCTGGAAAGGCCACAGACAATGTCAGCCCATGAAAGCAGCTGGGAGGTAGGCTGTACCCTGTAAAGCCACAAGGGCAGAGCTGCCCCCATGGGCGCTCACTTGTTGCATCAGCATGACCTAGACGTGAAACACATTTTTGGAACTTTAAGGTTTAATGACTGCCCTATTGGATTTTGGACATGCATGGGGCTTGCAGCCTCTTTGTTTTGGCCAATTTCTGCCATTTGGAATGGGTATATTTACCCAATGCCTGTACCCCCATTGTATCTAGGAAGTAACTAACTTGCTTTTGATTTTACAGGCTCATAGGCAAAAGGGACTTGCCTTGTCTCAGATGAGACTTTGGACTTGGACTTTTGAGTTAATGCTGGAAGAAGACTTTGGGGGACTTTTGGAAGGGCATGATTTTGTTTTGAATTGTGAGGACATGAGATTTGGGAGGGGCCAGAGGCAGAATGATATGGTTTGGCTGTGTCCCCACCCATATCTCATCCTGAACTGTAGTTCCTATAACTCCCATGTGTCTTCAGACGGACCAGGTAGAGATAATTGAATCATGGGGTGTTTTCCCCTATCCTGTTATGCTGATAGTGAGCTGGTTCTCATGAGATCTGATGGTTTTCTAAGGGGCTTTCCCCTTTGCTGGGCATTCATTCTCTCTTCTGCCACCCTGTGAAGAGGTGTCTTCTGCCATGATTGTAAGTTTCTTGAGGCCTCCCCAGCCATGCAGAACTGAATCAATTAAACCTCTTTCCTTTATAAATTACCCAGTCTTGGGTATTTCTTCATAGCAGCATGAGAATGGACTAATACACTGGAATTCTCTAGAGGATTGGGAAGTTTCAGTTAAATACACTTTCTTGGTGAATTTTCTAACTAAAGAAGAGATCTTTTCAATTTCAGTCCTTATTAGGGAAATATTTTCAGACTTTATACTTTCTTGATTTATTAGATAGAATGAGGTATACAATATGGAATTATTATTGACTAAGATAATCAGTTTTCATTGTCCAAAACTATTGGTGTGCATGTACAAAAATGGATTAGATCAAATATACATCTATTCCCAGAAACTGTTTTCCTTGATATTATCTGTGTTATTGCTATTCTTTTCCATGTATGTTGTATACAGGAAAACTATCCCAAGGTTTAGCATGTGAGTTGGCTGGGTTTTAACTAATTGAGGCTTTATTTGACTTTTCCAAAAGTCAAATAAATCCAAAAGTTTCATGAATATTTACATCACTAAGATAATTTAAAAAGAGAAATTAAAAGATTAGTACAACTTCCAGGTAACTTACTGAGAAGAAGAGTGTGTGTGTGTGTGTGTGTGTGTGTATTAAGTGACAATTTACACCCTTAATATTTCTTAAACCAATTCAAAGTAAATTACAATAAAAGCACAATCTGCATGTTCCCAGAATGGTTATGATAAAAGAGACACAAATAGCTAAAGAGGGGGCTAATTACATCAGGAACTAGGGATGGAATAATTACTATAATCAGGCACGATTTGGTTTTTAGTTCTGGAAAATCAAGGCCAAAAGGGAAACATGTTGCATAGCTCAGTATTTGACAAAATGATAGCAATACTACTAAGGGTGAGATGATAAAAAAGAAAGAACCTTGGACTTGAAATGGAACCCTGAATTCCAGTCTGAAACTACTAGCTGTCCAGCTGTGAGCAGGTTATTCAACACTGTTTAATGCAATTTCCTTCACTATAACATTAGAGGTTGGGTTGGATGATCTCTAAGAGATTTCTTTCATTTTTCACTTTGTCAAATTCAATAGTTACATTCATATTTACATCAGTAAAAGATATTCAGCAAATTAATTAGTTATATTACCAAACTTCTGTTGAAAAGGAGAACTATTTATTTATTTATTATTTGTTCTTAAATTAAGATGGGGGTCTTGCTCTGTTGCCCAGGCTGGTCTCAGACTCCTGGCCTCAAGCAATCCTCCTGCCTTGGCCTCCCATATGTGTGGGCCACCATGCCCAGACTAGGGAAAACTATTTATCATGGAAAGGAAATTAAACATTCATAGTGAACCCAACATGTTATTATTAAGGGGGAAATAGATTCTCTCTCTATATCAATTAAAAACTTCAATTATCACATTGCCTAGGTTTCTTTAATTGACACATTATAGCGGCTTTCCTAATGTCAAGGACATATCCACATAGTAGTGACTATTTGGCAATTGCATTTCTCTCTCTATTCCACGGCTTCTCTTGAGTTATCACATTTCCTGATCAAGCTAATTACATCAGGAACCATTTACTGACATTTCTGTAGTAAATAAAAGTGAAAGATCCTGTTGTATGTAATATAGAACATAATTTATAGGGCGAAGCACAGAACAGGTTGGCTGGCCATGGAACTGGCTATCCCCATTGGTTTAGCAATGATCATACGCAAGTTACTGCTCCTGAAGCCCACAGGAGAGTCTTCACTGGAGACTGTGCCAATCCTGCAAATAACTCCTGTCACTGGAACACTCTACACACACAAAACACTTCACCAGGATACAGGAATTCTTCCTCCAAATCTGCAACCTTGTAGACGTACCTTTTAGAAGACCCTGCTGAAAGCAGAAAGCTGACCAGAGAACACAGCAGGTCCTTGGGCAGTGGCTGCTAGCAAGTGAGGTGAGGAAGCCCTCCAAGGACAACCTAAGGAGTCCTGGTGAGCTCGTTTCTCTGCATGGGTTTAATTTCTGGGTGTGCTACAAATGCCACATGTGGTCCCGAGTGGTTTCATCAATAGGCCATATAACAGCAAGTTAGGATTACCAGCTGTGTCTGAAAGATTGAAGAAACACTCTGGCACTCAGAACCTAAGGTGAGTCCTCTTTGCAGCGAATTTGACCATCAGCTGACTTCCTGCTTTTGTTGCCCTGGAAACCTGATAAGGGTTGAATATTACCTCTATTCATGACAGCATTATTTATGATAAGTTGCATTGAGATAAGGAGAACCATGAGTACTGGGAGGGAGTTACAGCTGCCACTTCTCCCAGTCTGGTGACCCTCGTGCACATTCCTGGTGGGGCCCTGAAGCCATGCCCCTGGCTCCTGAGAGGCATCGGGCAGGGAAGATTCCACACCCACTTGTGGATGTCCTGCTCCCTGCACCAAGCTGTCATCTGGCAGCAGTGCTGGGGGAGAAGGCAGCTCCTGTGTGGTTGGGGGGACAGCAGCATTGAATACTGCAGGAGAGGTGCACATGTGTGACGTCACCCTGCTGGCTGACCGTTGCTGCCCCAGATCCTACTGAGTCCAGGTGATGCTGAATGTGGACTCAGGCAGAGCCGGAATGTATGCTTGGTCCACACATGGCCCCTGATGGGTGCTTCAAAGCAGGTGTCAGGCCCCTGACATAGGCCAACCTTCCTGAACAGTATGCCTTCCATGGGTTCATGTCAGAAACTGGATGATGGTGGGAATTCTGAGTCTTTTCTGAAGTAAAATTACTACAAAGTAATAAGAAGAAGCGAGAGAGATATACCAACAACAAAGATGGGGCTGGGTAAAGGAGTGTTGGGTTTTTTTGAAAAGTGAACCGCTGGCTTGAGATCATAGAATCAGTCTGGCCAGTTACAAGCTGGAAAACAGCACAGCAAAAGCCACCAAACTGTGACTACAAGTATTTGTTTTTTGTGGAATATTTGAAAAAAAAAAAAAAGAAAAATGTCGTTGTCTTACAGATCACACTCACACATATACAAAATACCACCTTAAAATAAACTTCGAGCTGAGCATGGTGGCTCCTGCCTGTAATCCTAGCACTTTGGGAGGCCAAGGTGGGAGGATTACTTGAGGCCAGGAGTTTGAGACCAGCCTGTGCAACACGGTAAGACTCCATCTCTACAAAAACAAATAGCAACGACAACAACAACAACAACAACAACAAAACATTAAAAAATTAGCTGAGTGTCATAGCACACGCCTGTAGTCCTAGCTACTTGAGACACAGAAGCAGGAGGATTGCTTGAGTCCAGCAGGTCAAGACTGCAGTGAACTCCTGCCTGGACCACAGAGTGAGATCCTGTCTCTACAAAACATACACAAATCAACTTTGTTGTATTTCATTTCCTTCAAGATGTATGTGTGTTGGTAGGAGAGGTATAAATCTGGTTTTTAATAAAACTAAGGCCATATAATATAATGGTTAATTTATATTAGGAATGCTTTTCAACGTTATTTTATTTTTATTTATTTTTTGAGACAGAGTCTTGCTCTGTCGGTGAGGCTGGACTGCAGTGGCATGATCTTGGCTCACTGCAACCTCTGTCTCCTGGGCTCAAGCAATTCTCTTGCCTCAGCCTCCTGAGTAGCTGGGATTACAGACATGTGCCACCATGCCCAGCTGATTTTTGTATTTTTAGTAGAGACAGGGTTTCACCATGGTGGCCAGGCTGGTCTCGAACTCCTGACCTCAGGTATTCCGTCTGTCTCTGCCTCCTAAAGTGCTGGGATTACAGGCATGAGCCACCACACCTGGATGCTTTTCCATGTTATTAAACATTCTTTGAGACATGCCCTTGAAGAGATATGACAGTTTATTTAATTAATCCCTTATTATTTGACATACAGTCTTTTGGTTTTTTTATCGTAATAAAATACTATTGTGTGCATCTTGGCACAAAAATTTTCACCTGTGTCTCTGATATTTCCCTGGGATAAATTCCGACAAGTGGAAAGCATGAATCATGATCACTGAGCTATAAATATGTGTATGAAGGACACAAACAGATCGATCAAAGAACTGTACAAATTGCTAAAAAATAACAAAAAGAAATCTTATTACAATGTTTTGTTTATCAGATTATGAAAGACTGAACACTAATGACACCCAGCACTGCTAAGAATGCAGTGTGCTCACCTGACGGGAGCATAGGTGAACACTGAAGAAAAAGTCGGCAAATCCTATCAAAAGAGACTTTTCTTGCAGAGATTACATGAAGAGACTGCTGGAAATAAAGTATAATTGGCCTTCAAGCCTTGTATACAGAAACTGATGGTAGTGGAAAGCCCAGTTACCTTTGAGCTAAAAGGTTAATAACATATGTATGTATACACGTGGTTATGTGCTTTTTCCCATGGAAGTAGTCCTAAAATTGCCAGGAGTCATTCTCAGAGTACCCAATGCTCTATTTCAGGAACACAACATTCAATCTGTGAGTTACTAAATACTGACTCTATTTTGCCCTCACATTCCCTATATTTTGGCCTTTTCCCTTTTCACTGCTCAGCTGGGCAAATACACAACCTTTTGTTATACTGGCTTGTAACGGATGGATAGAGGATGACATGGTTTGGCTGTGTCCCTACCCAAATCTCATCTTGAATTGTAGTTCCCATAATTCCCACATGTTGGGAGATCTGATGGTTTTATAAGGGGTCTCCCTTTTTGCTCGGGTCTCATTCTCTCCTGTCTGCTGCTATGTAGGACGTGCTTTCATTTCTCCTTTACCTTCTGCCATGATTGTGAGGTCTCCTCAGCCACGAGGAACTGTGAGTCAATCAAACCTTTTTTCCTTTATAAATTACCCAGTCTCAGGTATCTCTTTATTAGCAGCGTGGTAACAGACTAATACAGAGGAGATGTCAAAGCTGTTGATCAATGAGAGGTTTAAGATTCCTGATGATTCTCATTTAGTTCAGCATCATCATCATCAACACCACAAACACCCTCGGGGCATGTCCGATGGACCTGGCGAGGTGCTGAGCAGTTGGCATGCAAGGGCTCATCTCATTTTTGCAATGGCTATAACTGTTTATTCTGAGTGAGTATTTCATATTTTAGGCTGATGATTAACCCATCAGCCTAAAATCCAGAATGCTTGGTTCTTTCATTGGTTCTTGCCTAGGCAGCTCTAGGATATGGCAAAAAAAATCATTTAACTGCTCTGCATTTTGATTTTCTTATCCACAAAATACAGATAATTACACCTGCCGTGCTTGCCTCATGGTGCTGTGGGGAGGATGAAAGCAGATAATTTATGGGAGAAAATCCTGGAGGTTATAAAACACTTTCAAAGGTAACATATTATTAGCATAATAAGTGTCATCAACCTATCCAATCCTTACCACAGAGGACCGCATTTTAATCACAGGATTCTTGTAGTTCCCTCACTTTACCACTTTTCCCCTCTGCCCTTTCCTTCAAAAACCAGTATAATGTATTACATCATTTTCCACTCCAGCAAATTACTTCAGGATTTAATGCCAAAGGGCAGAGTGTAGTGCCAAGAAAGAGAAATGCTTGTAGATAATCTAAAATTGCTCTTCCTACCAGAAAGTACTCATATCATTCCTTCTTTCAAAACATCAACCAAAATCAAGATGAAAAGCCCCAACACCACTCTAAAGACCTTCCCATCAATGCAGCTTTCAAACGCTAAAGGAAAACCTTCCTTTTCAGAGTCACCCACCCAGAGAAATCTCTTGGGATCTTTCTCACCTCCTGAACCCACATTTTAACCTGGAGAATTCTGAGGTATTATTTTTCCAAAGCTGAGAAAAAGTTCTCAAAATAAAATTGTGCTTTTAAGCATTTGATAGTACGTGTTCAGTGTCCACTTGAAGCTATTTAGTGTAACAGAGGAGCTCCAGAAGTTCCTAGCTGACTGAAGAGATGGCACCCTTCTAATGAGTCCAGGGACATGGAGAGGTGGGCACAACAGTGACAGGAACCAGCATCAGGCCCTGCCCAAGGCTGTGCATTTCATAAACTCCCCCTCCTCACAGGGAGTCACTGAGCCTCCAGGGGCTGACTAGGAGTGGCCTGGCCAGGCATCCTGACATTCTCCAGTCTGGGAATTGCTGGGAGGAAGTTTAAAAAGTGCCAACAGGGCACCCTGAGGGTCTTGTCTGGGTGGTTGTGAGGTCTGCCCTGAGAATCATATCTGAGCTGAGATCTACGGGTGAGCAGAGGCTACCCAGGGAAAGAAGGGGAATGAGAGCATCGCAGGAGAGGGAGCCACGTTCACCGAGGCCCTGGGCAAGGCAAGAAAGGACAATCCTCCGAGGAAGGGAGGAGGCCACAGCAGCTGGGCCAAGGCAGGCGGTGAGAGGATAAGCTGGAGAAGTGGCAGGGGACGCAGGATCCTAGAAGTTACACTCCTGACTCCATGCTTTTGTGTGAGAACAATGGGAGTCACTGAAGGGCGCTGGTTGTCATCATGGTTCCAGGACATTCCAAACAAGGGAGAAGGTGAGAATTTTGTTTTCCATGACCGCCCTCATTGCTGCATAGGGGCCGAGTAGAGGGGGGACATCTGCAGGATGGGCCAGATGGGGAACAACAGTGGCCTTCACAGGCCTTCCAACCCTTCTACGCAGGAAACTGGCCACTTTGTCTGAGTTGAAAGCATTGATCAGATGTTGCTGTAATCACTAGCTCAGCTACAGTTGCTCTATTCTACCAACAAATAGAAGATCATATTCACTGGATTAATGACTTAAGATAGTATTTGCCTATGTTTTACTTTCACATGTTCTGGCTAACTGCTGTAGTGGTGACCTCCACTTTTTGTTTGCCTAGTTTGAGGCCATCTCTCCCCTATGCCTGTGACTCAGGGGCTGTCTGGGAGCCCTGGCCCCCACAATGGGCATACCACTCAGGCATGTAAATCTGCAGGATTCCATCCCTGCCACCCCAGCCATGGGCCCTGAGTGATGGCCTCTGACACACCCTGGGTGGGTCAGGTATTCTCATGCCTTTCCTGGAGCTTCAGAGTCTACTGCTTCTTGCCTCTGGGTCCTGGCACTGGAATGATACAGACCTCAGGGTCCCAGGGGTGATTTGTCTTCCTGGCCATATGGAAGACGTTTTGCACTGGAAGAGAGCGAGATGAACACGCAGAAAGAAGTAGAGCTGAAGAGAGACTACAGAAAAGGGAAAGCAGGAAAGGAAAATAGCAGGAGATAAGGATGGAGGCAGAGACATGCCCCAGGATGCTGTCTGAGTCCCTGGATGCCAAACCCACTTCTGATCATCCCAGGTAAGTAAGACATTCCCCTTTTTGTTTAGTCTAGTTTAACTTGACATTTTGTCTTTTATCACTAAAAAATCCTGACAAATATATCCACTTCTTTGGCTACAGTTACAATATTTTCTATGCCCTCCCTTCTCCCCCTCTCCTCTCCCTGAGCTTTTCCTTGTACCAGGTTTCTGAATAATGATGGTCTTTGCCCTGGAGGAGCTCCTTGTCTGGTTCATCCATGCTTAAACACATACACATCAATGGCGTGTGCTTGTAATCTCAGCTACTCTGGAGGCTGAGGCACAATAATTGCTTGAGGAGTTTGAGACCCAGCCTCGACAATATAGCAAGACTCTATCTCAAAGATAAAAACAGAAAGCCATATACAGGCATGCCACAAAGATTTGGCAGGTTCAGTCCCAGACCACCAACCACCACAATAAAGTGAATATCACAATAAAGGGAGTCACAGAAATCTTTTGGTTTCCAACTGCATATAAAAGTTATGTTTATACTCTGCTGTAGATTAGTAACTGTGCAAAAGTATTATGTCTAAAAATGTATGTGAGTTATTAAAAATGTTTTGTTGCTAAAAAATGCTAACAATCATCTAAGCCTTCGGTGAGTCATCGTCTTTTTGCTGGCAGGTGGTGTTGCCTTGATGTTGATGGCTGCTGACTGATCAGGGGCTGGTTGCTGAAGGTTGGGATAACTGGTAATTTCTTAAAATAAGACAATAATGAAGTTTGCACATTGATTGATTCTTCCTTTCACAAAAGCTTTCCTGTAGCACCCAATCCTATTTGATTGCATTTTACCCACATCAGAATTTCCTTCAAAATTGAAGTCAGTCCTTTCAAACCCTGCTGCTTCTTTCTCAACTATGTTTATGGAATATTCTAAATCCTCTGTTGTCATTTCCACAATATTCTTAGCATCTTCACCAGGAGTATATTTCATCTCAAGAAACACTTTCTTTGCTCGTTCCTAGAAGCAACTTCTCACCCATTCAAGTTTTATCCTGAGACTGTAGCAACTCAGTCACATCTTCAGGCTCTACTTCTAATTCTAGTTATCTTGCTGTTTTTATCACATCTGCAGTGACTTTCCCCACTGAAGTCTTGAATCTCTCAAAGATTATGAGGGTTAGAATCAACTTCATTTAAACTCCTGGTAATGTTGATATTTTGGCCTCCTCTAATGCATATGAATGTTCTTAATGGCATCTGGGATGATAAATCCTTTCCAGAAGGCTTTCAATGTACTTTGCCCAGATCCATCAGAGGAATCACTATCTATGGCAGCTATAGCTTTATGAAACGTATTTTTCTTTTTTTTTTTTTTGAGACAGAGTCTCGCTCTGTCACCCAGGCTGGAGCGCAGTGGCGCGATCTTGGCTCACTGCAAGCTCCGCCTCCCAGGTTCATGCCATTCTCCTGCCTCAGCCCCCTGAGTAGGTGGGACTACAGGCTCCCACCACCACGCCCTGCTAATTTTTTGTATTTTTTAGTAGAGACGGGGTTTCACGGTGTTAGCCAGGATGGTGTCGATTCCTGACCTCATGATCTGCCCGCTTTGGCCTTCTAAAGTGCTGCAAGTACAGGCGTGAGCCACCATGCCCAGCCTATGAAATGTATTTCTTTTCTTTTTTTTTTTTTTTTTGAGACAGAGTGTCTCACTGTTGCTCAGGCTGGAGTGCCATGGCATGATCTTGGCTCAATGCAATCTCTGCCTCCTGGGTTCAAGTGATTCTCCTGCCTCAGCCTCCCTAGTAGCTAAGATTACAGGCACCCACCATCATGCCTGGCTAATTTTTGTATTTTTAGTAGAGATGGGGTTTTGCCATGTTGGCCAGGCTGGTCTCGAACTCCTGACCCCAGGTAATCTGCCTGCCTCGGCCTCCCAAAGTGCTGGGATTACAGGCATGAGCCGCCATGCCAGCCATGAAATGTATTTCTTAAATTATAAGATTTGAAAGTCTAAATGACTCCATGATTCATGTGCTGCAAAATGGATGTTATGTGGGCAGGCATAGAAACAACATTTATCTCCTTGTGCATCTCCTTCAGAGTCCTTGGGTGACCAGGCATACTGGGATTGAACAGTAATATCTTAAAGGAAATCTTTCTTTCTGAGCAGTAGGTCTCAACAGTGGGATTAAAATATTCATTACACAATGGTATAAACAGTTGTGCTATAATCCAGGCCTTGTTATTGCATTTACAGAGCATAGGCGGAGTAGACTTAACATCACTCTTAAGGGCCCTAGGATTTTCAGAATGGTAAATGAGCACTGGCTCCGACTTAAAGTCACCAGCTACTTCAACCCCTAAGAAGAGAGTCAGCCTGTCCTTTGAAGCTTTAAAGCCAGGCATTGAATTTTCCTCTCTAGCTATGAAAGTCCTAGATGGCATCATCTTCCAGAAGAAGGCTGTTTTGTCTTCACTAAAAATCTGTTGTTTGGTGTAGCCATCTTCATCAATGATCTTAGCTGGATCTTCTGAATAACTTACTGCAGCTTCTCCATCAGCACTTGCTGCTTCACCTTGCACTTTTATGTTATGGAGACGACTTCTTTCCTTAAGCCTCATGAACCACCCTCTGTTAGCTTCCAACTTTTCTTCTATAGCCTCGTTACCTCCCTTGGCCTTCACAGAATTGAAGAGAGTTAGGATCTTGTTCTGGATTAGGCTTTGGCTTCAGGGAATACTGTATCTGGTTTGATCTTTTATCCAGAGCATGAAACCTTTCTCCATATCAGCAACCAGGCTGTTTCCCTTACCTATCATTCACATGTTCACTGGAGCAGCAATTTTAATTTTCTTCAAAGACTTTTCCTTTGCCTTCACAATTTGGCTAACTATTTGGCACAAGAGGCCTGGCTTTCAGCCTATCGTGGTGCTTTTGACATGCCTTCCTCATTAAGCTTACTCATTTCTAGCTTTTGATTTAAAGTGAGAGACCTGCAATTCTTCCATTTATGAACACTTACAGGCCATTTTATAAGATATTATTGGCCTAATTCAATATTGTGTGTCAAGGAATAGGGAGGCCCAAGAGGAGGTGAGGGAAATGGCCTGTTTGTGGAGCAGTCAGAACACACAATGTTTATTACGTTTGCCACCTTATATAGGCACAGTTAGTGGCTCCCAAAACAATTACATCAGTAACATCAAAGATCACTAATCCCAGATAACCATAACAGATATAATGGTAATGAAAAAGTTCAAAATATTGTGAGAATTGCCAAAATGTGACAGAGATGCAAAGTGAACATGTGATGGAAAAATGGTCCCAACAGACCTGCTCAAAGCAGGGTTGCTACAAACCTTCAATTTGTAAAAAACCCAATATGTGCAAAGCAGAATACAGTGAAGTGCAATGAGATGAGACGTGCCTGCATTTGTATAAGGTGATGGCAGATGGATAGTGAGTGACATCTCATGTGCCACATTCAACTATCAGCATGCTTGTTTCTGGAGGAGATCTCACCTCTACATTTTCCAAGGAATAACTTTGTGGGTTTGAATTTTTTTCTGGCCCAATGAAGGTAGAGCCCGATGCAGTCTGGAGATTTATGAACCTTTCACAGGTGGCAGCCATAGAAATGAGGATAAATCAACAGAAGCAATGATGGGAAGATGCATGATCTGGTGAGTGAAGCAATGATATGGCAGTCAGGGACTACTCCAGTAACTCCCCGCACACCACGCTAATTCACAGTGCACTCAGCCTGGCGGCTCAGCCTGGATCACCCTCACCCTAGCAAATGACAAAGCTCATGACACTCTCCAACTCTCCAAATTAAAATGCCTATGGATAAGGATGTTCAGCTTTCAAAATCAAAACACGTGGAGAAATCACTTGGCATTTTGGACAAATTAAACTAGGTAGCGTTGGGTTATACTTTAAAAAAGGTATAGGCTTAGATCTAAACAAAGCTGACCAAACCTGGGCACAGCACTGGACCACAGCCTGCGTGGTTATCAGCACAAGGGGGCTGTTGATGAGAGGCAGAGGAGAAAGGCCTGGAAAGCCCAGTCTGTGGTGAGCGTGCAAAGCGGGACAGGAAGACTGGAAGAGCTCTGGCTGGTTCCTCGACTCTAGAGTGCAGGTTAATTCTTGCGGCCTGACCTTCACCTGGGAACTCCAGGAGGATCCTGGAGGATCATAGGAAATGGGTCAACCAGATCCTCCAAAAAGCCTGCCGTATCTCTGGGCTATTTTGGTGAGTGGAGACAAATCCAGGCAGATGGGGGGTGATGGGGATGAGTGATGGTGATGGCAAGGGTGGAGGGTTAAGTGTTTGCTGTCATATCTGAGCCCTTGGGCAAGGGCTGGACTGTGGTCTGTCTGATGGGAAGGTCTCTGGGCATCTCATTTACCTGGACAGATGAGGTCTGTGTGTGTGATGGGGTTCGAGGGGCCACCGCCCTATCCTGGGGAAGTAGATGCACATTTTCTTCGCTAGGTCAACAGCTTTTGATGCTCATGCAAAAATGATCTCATTGAGAATCTCATTTACCTGGACAGATGAGGTCTGTGTGTGTGATGGGGTTCGAGGGGCCACCGCCCTATCCTGGGGAAGTAGATGCACATTTTCTTCGCTAGGTCAACAGTTTTTGATGCTCATGCAAAAACGATCTCATTGAGAATTTACTTAAAGAACTGAAGCTGATTTTGGAACATGGCCTTTGAAGAAGGCTGAACCAGCCCAAGAAAATCACGTGCAACAGCAGCAAACTCCCTGAAGCATCATTCTTCTCAGTCCTTTCAGCCTAAAATGCTCCAGGCCCAACTTGAGTCTGAACATTCTGAAACCTTCTCCTGTCACTCCACTGCCTGAGGATCTCTCCCAAAAAATGATACTGGCCCACTGCTCTGTGAACCGTGCTGGTAGCACTCTCCAGAAACTCCTGTTACTGAACTCTGTTTTATGTTGTCTGCCCACAAAATTATAATCTTTAAGACAAGGGAAACCAGATCTTGTGCTTCTTTCAATGCCTACACCAGAACCTTGTAGAAACTTGACGCTAAATATTTATTGATTAATGGAACCATGTACCAATGAATCCAAAAATAGTAACCACTCTTTGTTGAGGGCTCGTAATGGTGCCATGCATTGATGGATGTGTTGCACATATTTATTTTATTTTACATTCACATAGTACTTGTTATTAACCAAACACTGAAGACTTTAAAATATTAATTTACTTAATCCCCATTATAATTCTATGAAATAGGCATTATTATGGATTATGATTTTCATTTCAGGGCTATGTTACCTAGGGTGCTGAAGGAGCCCACTGGCCCAAGAGGACACCCTTTTCAGGTGAGGAGCCAGGGTTTGGACCCAGGCTGTCCGACTCCAGAGCCCACACTCTGAAGACTCCCCTCGTCAGAACACCTAGGAAAGGAAGGTGCTGTTCTGACTTTATGGAACTGAGATGCAGGCTTGGAGAAGCCAGCCCTGACCCAAGGTCGCCCTGCCCATAAGGGGCAGAACTAGGCAGCCTGATGGCACAAGCAATCATGCCAGGGCTTCTCCAAGGCCACTCTGGGCCCAGCCACTCAGCAGCACCTGGGGATTCGTTAGAAATGCAGACTCTCAGGCCCCACCCCAGACATACTGAGTCACACACTCTGCACAGGGGCCCGGCTGTCTGGGGGCGGCAAGTTCCCCAGGTGACTCAGAGCCCCTGCACTGGGCTCAGCTGCTGCCTCTTGCAGCTGAAAGTAACAAGGCTGGGCCACGGGGCCTTTATAGGAGCAGGTCTGAACCAAAACACAAATATTGTGAACGTTTTCTCTCTGAAAGCTTTCAGAGGACTGACAAATTTATTGACTGGTAGAAAGCAGTGGGAGGCACTCTCTCACTCCACAAATCTTTTTATATTGCAGTTAGATCCGAGACTTGTCAGCTGCCAGAAGTCACCCTCTGACTGCAAAGAAGTGAATGAATTTTCAATATCTTTCTAAGGTGATGAAAAAATCTATTTTTTTCTTGTTAAGTTTCTGGGCCTTTTTGTATACAGTCCTAATACGAGTGGCCTCCGGCTTCTAGCAAGAGTAAAATGCTACCCATGAAACATCATTCAGATGTTCCTGGCTAAGTCTCCCGGATCATCCCAGGTATTTGGAGCAGATGAGATCAGTTTCAGGGTTCAGTGAAGTCATCAATCCCCTCCCTTCTCAGACAGTGTCTGCTTCCCTCCCAGGTTCCCTGGGTGGCTGATCTTGGAACCGTGCTCTTCTCCAGGGTGGTGTGACCAGCAGCCAACCTCTCTGCAGCCTACAGGGGCTCGTTATCCCGTCTGTAGGTTACTCAGATCTTCCAGGTTTTGGAGTCCTCTGGCTCTTCGTCTTCCTCAGCTCACTGCTGCTCATTAGTGCCTCCTAGAGGATGAGCAGGGGAATCACAGAACCCAGCTCAGAAGTCGCTGCCTCTGGCATGGGCATCAGGGGCTCCGCTACGCCTGAGACTAGCTCCTGGCTGGACCGTGAAGGACTCAGAGGTGATTTCCGATTTCCGCTGTCTTTCCCCTTCAGGGAGCTTTTTGGTTATTTACACACCAAGACATTAAAAGATAAATGGAGCAAGAATAAAATCACAAGAAAGATATCACTGGTATTACTTTACAGAAAATCAATTTACTATTAAATATATGTGAATTTAATTAACTATAGAATATAATTAAATATATGCTGATTTAAATAGCTATGCAATTAAATTATATTAGCAGAGATCTTTTTAAAAAATCATAGCCTTAGCAAGTTCTCTTTAAAACGAATTGCATATTCACCTGATGCTGGTGAGCATGGAATCAGGATGAATGATGAGGCATACGGACGACAATTCGCAAATATACATCAAAAGTGTATATAAAAAAGTGTTCCTAGTTTTTGACTCAGTAATTCCACTCAAGGAACATCTTAGACCCAAAGGTGCTTCACAGCATCAGTGATAACAGGGAATATTATACATGGTCCAGCTGGTCTAGCTGGAAAATGGTTAATTGCATTTTGGTAGATCGACTCAATGAAATACTATGTAACTATGAAAATTATGTTAACAATAAGTATTTAATTGTATACAATGCTAATTGTATCAAAAGGTTGGGATGTAAAACTAATAATTGTAACTAAAAAAATACATCTATTCTTGGAAATAGATTTAGAAAACATACTAAAATATTAATAGTAATTTTAGATACTGGGTCTATTGATGCTATTTTAAAAAGGCTTTTTTTCCTATTTTTTACTATATTCTGTATTATTTTTATAATGGGAAAATAAATAAATGATAAAGTTCAACCAAATGCCTAAAATGAACCTAGCACCTGTACTGGGAATTGGTGATAAAATAATAAATATGCCACCATCCTAAGCTGTGTGGGATATCACAAGTTACGGGAAAGACCTGTAGACAAATGTTTACTGTACACTGAGTGTACAGACAGAGCCGCGCACGCCATGGCTGAAGGTGGTGGGAATTCGAACCTGGGAGTTCAAGAAAACCTTGCAGAAGAAGTGGCATTTTTACGTCTAACACTGACCTCTTTCACCTTCTCACTTATTGTTTCTTCCCTTATTGCCTCTGTCTGAAAACCAGTCTTTATATCAACAGAGAAAACAATGGAAACCTTCAAGCCATGGGGTGCCAGAACACCACTCCTCTCCCATAACGTATCCATGTGACCTCTGCCAAACAGACCTCAGAATCCTTCCCATCCTTGGCTTCCTGGAGGATGTCTGTGGGATGGCAGGGCCACCTGGAATGCCAAGGGGCCCGATGAGAGGCCACAGCAGAGCCAAGGGGCTGTGCAGGATCCTGGGCTCTTTCCTCTGCCTGAGTGCACAGGGTGCTGCAGGGGTCTTGGCTCTGGAGGCCTACATGGGACTTGGAAGCCCTGGCCTGAGAGGAGCCTCGCAGGGGAGGAGGAGAACAGGAGCAACTTCTCGTGGGCAGGTTCTGGGGTTCCGGTCATGGCGGCCTGGGTTGTCCAAGCCTCCTTAAAGGGAGGCTGCTGTGGAGTCAGGCAAGTTGGATATGAAGCCAACTCTGCCAGGAACATGACGGGACACCTTGAATGATGCACATGATGCCTGAGGCTGACTTTCCCATCAATACTGTGCCCCTGTGTGACCTACAAACAGCACCTGGGAAAACCCTTGGTTCTCCATCTATGTTCACCCCTCTTTCACTCCTACCATTCTGGAAGTACATGTCTTTAGTGGACTCAGGAATTCAACCCCTACTTTATGCAACTCAGTCACAAGAGCAGGTGTCAGGGTCTTTGTAGAATCGTACTCTCTCAGGGGCTGGGACAGGACCCTTTCTCACTGTCGCATTTTCCTGCCTGTGTGAGACTTAGACATGATTTCTGACCAGCTGAGCCACTCTGTGACCGGCCCCCCGAGGCCGGCTCCTAACTCCACTCTGGGTGGTTCTCCATAATCGGCCTTTGGCTGCCCACAGCACAGCTCTGACCAGGAGGTTCTCATTAACAAAGGCTAACACGGCATCACGCATAGTATGAGTCACATCCTCATAAGCCCATGAGGTGGGCGCTATGTTGATATCCATATTAGAGGAAAATGAGGCACAGACAGCCTAGGTGATTTGCCCAACAGGACAGAGCCCATGAGTGGAAGGGCCTGGATGGGGACCAGGCTGGCAGGCTCCAGCTCTGGGCCCTGGGCTAGGCCACTCCCTCCAACACTTAAACAATGTACTTCATCTGTAGTGGGGTCAAAGAAATGTCTTAGCCTGAGACCTCAGAAGTCACCAAACTTAGGAGGGTCCTATAACCTATCATCCAAATGAGGGGACATTTGCACATGAAAGGAAGCTCTATTTGTGACTTCCCCTGGACTCCCGGGTAAACTTGGACTGCTCTGGGCAGACCAGGGCTGAACTCACTGCGACTCCTGTCACTGGGTCCCGTGTAACCTTTCCTCTCCCTCTGCCCATCTTAGCCTCAATCCTCATCACCCCAGGGGTACACGACTTCTTAGGTTACTCCACACCCAGGGGCCCGGGTGGCTGTGCCCCGTGTCAGTTCACAAAAGCCCAGAGCTCTCACAGAACGGAAGCTTCCGCTCATTCAGACACACTGTCAGGTGACCCCTGTCCTCCGGCTGATGAGGCGGGGCTCTGAGGATCGCATGAGTTTTGTGGAGGTGGTTCAGCGCCCGGCATGGAGTCCCTGGACTGAAGCCACAGGGGCCCCGGGGGCCGATTTCAAGGCCCGTGCTGCCACAGGGCCTGCCTCCTCTGAGAGGCCTCTTTTGGGCCCTTTCTCAGGTGGATAACACAGGGTCACCCATGAAGGGGCTGAGACCTGTGGCTTTCGGGGAGGTGTCTCAGCACGGTCCGCTTGTTTGATCAGGAAGGAAGCCTACAGCTGGCCCAGGTTGCCCCAGTGCCCATTGAGGTCTCCTGCCTGTCCAGAGTGTCTGCAGGAACTCATTTCCAGACAGGCCACGTGCCGCAGGGCCAATGACTTAGAACCAGGCCAGCATTCTCCTACCCTCGGCACCTCCCTGATCCACACAGCGCCAGCCACCTCACAGCCTGCCTCCAGGTCTCTGCTGCTCCGCTTCTCTGATGACCTTGCCTGCTCTGCAGAGCCCGAGTCTGCCCCATCTCCTGGAGGAAGCCTTCCAGAACCACCTTCACCTCTCCTTCTCCAAACTCACAAAACACCAAATCACTATGTGATTTAGAGGATTACTTCACCTCTCTGAACTATAGCAATCATTTCATACAATTCTCCTGCCTTAAAAATAGGGTGGTAAGACTCTGGTTAAAATCTTGTAATAACTTTCTTAGTTTCTGTCATGTATGTATGTCTTATCCACATATTAATCTCCTTCAGGCAACAGTAACGTTTTCCCTTTTTAAAAATCTCATACACACACTAGCACAGCTCTGGGCAAACATAGTGGCTCATAGTATTCGTTTGACTCCTGTGAGTTTTTGGTTGCTGACCTAGTTCCCTCACAGCCCTTTCTGGCGCCCTGCCACTGTGGTCCAGGTACCCGGGGGCCGAGGCATCAGGCTCTGCAATAGTCTTGGGCGTCATGCACCCTCACCAAATTCCCAAGTCTGGCTGCTACCCCAAATCTGTGTCCTTGCCGCCAGCCCTGTAGTCTTCCCTTCATTTGATACCATCTCACCCCCGTCTTCCTAATATCACTTGCTGACCCACCCACGGGGTCTATTTTAATGACAAAACAGAGGATAAAACTTTTCAAAATGTTGTCTATGCAAATCTCAAATCTTTGGGCACATATAGCAGGTGGGGAACAGTGAATTAATGGACTCATAAGATGAGATTCAGAAGTCTGGCATGGGTGGTGTGTGTGCATGTGTGTGTGTGGCACGAGGAGAAGGTGGTGGCGCCAAGATCCCCAGAGCCTTGTCAACAGCATGAGCAACCATCCCGCTTACCCGGGACTGTCCTGGTATCAGCATGAATGTCCTGGGAAAACCCCCAGGCATGGGAAAATGGTAACCCCAGGTTTAGGAAAGGGGTCCGCCGGGCCTTGAGAGATCAGAAGCTCATCTTCATCACTTACATCAAGGATTGAAAGGCTGGGGACCGTCAATGTTGAAGATTAGTACATACATACCAGATTCCTATGCCTTCTGGTTTTTTTTTTGAGATGGAGTCTCACTCTTGTTGCCCAGGCTGGAGTGCAGTGACGTGATCTCAGCTCACTGCAACCTCTGCCTCCCGGGTTCAAGCGATTCTCCTGCCTCAGCCTTCCCAGTAGCTGGGATTACAGGCACCCGCCACCATGCCTGGCTAATTTTTGTATTTTTAGTGGAGACGGGGTTTCCCCATGTTGGCCAGGCTGGTCTTGAACTCCTGACCTCAAGCGATCCACCCACCTCGGCCTCCCAAAGTGCTGGGATTACAGTTGTGAGCCACTGAGCCTGGCCTCCCATGTCTTCTTTATGGTGTTACACATTGAATGTTCGTGTCCTCCCCAAGTTCCAATGTTGAAATCCCACCCCCAATGGGATGGTATTAGGAAGTGAGGTCTTTGGGAAATGATCACGTCATGAGGGGAGAACGCTCACGAATGAGATTAGTGCCCTTACAAAAGACAACACAGAGGGGTCCCTTGTCCCTTCCACCAAGCGAGGACACAGAAGAAGGCAGTCTATGAGCCAGGACACAGGCCCTCACCAGGCACAGAATCAGCTAGCAAGTTAACCTTGACTTCCAGCCTCCAGGACGATGAAAAATCAATTTGTTTTTTCTAAGCACCCCAGTCTACGATATTGTTAGAGCAGCCTGAATGGGCTCAGACATAACAGATGGAGACATCTGCAAACAAGCCTTCACACATGTATGCATGCATCTATTACTCTCACACCACAAGGGGTGCTGTGAGTCCCTCTGTTTTTGCCCAGACTTAGACAGAAACTTCCAGGCCTTCTAGACTCATCACGAGCCACATGACTATGGCAGGCCACATCATAGGGAGGTCTGCCTGGAGCTACAGGGTTGGGGCATGGCCAGGTGCTCTGGTTTTCTGATGTCACACGTCAGGGTTTTACACCAATGAACAGATCTTTCCTAAAGGCAGATGTGGCCAGAACCCCCTCAGGAGTGTGGGCCTATTGGTGTTTCAGGGCTCCGCGGGTTCAGAAGAAGCCCAAAGTCTGTGAGTGGCACCAGCCAGGGGCCTCCCACCCACCTGGGAGGCTGGCTCGGCTGAATGAGGACATCTCTGAGTTCAGCAGGGAGCATCTGAGGAAATAGTTTAAAATGCAGCCAACCTTCTGCTGTGAGCTTGGTAATTAGCACTTCTGGAAAATCAGTGCTCTCCAAAATGTGAGCAAAATGAAAATGTTAATTAATAAAGGAAAATTTCAAACTCCTTATAATATCAGGAGACATTCAAGCTGAAAAATATCACTTGGTGTTATGAAAATGTGACCTGGAGGAGACTTAACGGAAGCCTCATAGTAAGGGCCTTCCTTCTCGGCCACGTCAGCGTTTGCTTCCCCTTGTTAGAAACTAGCACACAATTGCAACTGCAATGCAGCTGTCACACAACTCACAGCACACTCACAGCTGTGAATTTTAGGGGAGCCAAATTACCACTCTTTAATCCTTAAAAAGACCTCTGGTCAAGTAGAAGGTTAATTGTCAGTAGAAAAATAAAGAGGGCCAGGCCCAGTGGCTCACACCTGTAATCCCAGCACTTTGGGAGGCTGAGGCAGGAGGATTACTTGAGCCCAGGAGTTTGAGACAAGCCTGGGCAACATAGCAAAACCTCATCTCTACAGACAATTTAAAAATTA
The DNA here is from genome assembly GCF_000001405.40 of Homo sapiens. Lineage (NCBI taxonomy): Eukaryota > Metazoa > Chordata > Mammalia > Primates > Hominidae > Homo > Homo sapiens. The sequence continues at coordinate 154,692,955 of NC_000007.14, read as the reverse complement.
GCCGGGTGTAGTGGTGTGTGCCGGTAGTCCCAGTGACTAGGGAGGCTGAGATGGGAGGAACACCTGCTTGAGGTTGAGGTCAGGAGTTTGAGGCTACAGTGAGCTATGACTGTGCCACTGCACTCCAGCCTGGATGACAGAGTGAGACCCTGTCTCAAAAAAAAAAAAAAAAAAGAGAGAGAGAATAATAGTTTTCAAATAAAAGTATGAAAAAGAGAAAAGGATGATGGGTAGATGCGCTTTCAGTGCCCTGAACCTTGAATTAATGAGGTGAGTGGGTCTCTATGTAGAATCTGTAGCTACATCAGCATCTCAGAAATTAGAATTTCACACCCCAAATTCTCAAGGCTCTAGAGGATGTCCCCGCAACACCTTGTTGCTTCTTGACCCCAACATTAATCAAACGATTTCCCTACAAACTCTGAAGAATATTTTATGCACATGAGGATACAATTTGAAAGATAAAGGAGGTTCTCACATGAGGAAGGAAAGTCATGGTCCTTCCCCAGTGAGGACCATAACAAACAGCTGTTATTGATTGAGGCCTACTCTGTACTTGATGTGATCACTAGGACGTGACTTAATTACATACATTACCTCAGATTTGCCCAATAATTATGCAAAATAAGTATCTTAATCTTCCTCATTTTATGGATTAGGAAATCAAATCAGAAGTTTCAAGGTCGAAAAAGCTAATAGGCTTGTCTTGCTACAAGTCCATGTTTTTCCATTTTGTCATCTTTCATCACTTATGCAAATATTATTATGTCTTTGGCCCAGATTCAAGATAATAATAGATTTCTCCTCCAACATCAGGGAGGGAACTAACATTTACCACATAAGGAATGCTGCCTATAAGTTATTGCCTTTAACCTTCACAGCATCCCTGGGAGGTCTTTTTGCCCTATTCATGAATGGGGAAACTGAGGCTCAGAGGGGTTATACACATCATCAATCCAGTGAGGGCTGGGTTTCCACCCAACGTGTGTTGTTGCTAAACCCTGGCTTCCTTCCCTGACAGGAGCACTTCCCAAGGCTGGTTAAACACTAACCACCTTTGTGAGTACCTCTGATACTATTATTTGCTTTCTTTTCTTTTCCTTTTTTTCTTTCATTTATTTATTTATTTGTTTTTTTGAGACAGAGTCTCACTCTGTCACCCAGGCTGGAGTGCAGTGGCACCGTCTTGGCTCACCGCCACCTCCACCTCCCGGGCACAAGCGATTCTCCTGCCTCAGCTTCCTGAGTAGCTGGGACTACAGGTGTGCACCACCATGCCTGGCTAATTTTTTGTATTTTTAGTAGAGACGGGGTTTCACCATGTTATCCAGGATAGTCTCGATCTCCTGAACTCCTGATCCACCCGCCTCGGCTTCCCAAAAAGTGCTGAGATTACAGGAGTGAGCCACCGCGCCCGGCTGCTTTATTTTCTTTTCAGTCAATTCCCTCTTTATGTAAACAAGTTTCATTTATCAGGGACATTTTGTATTACTACTATAAATGGAACACCAGTATTCTTTGCAGTGAAGTAATGATAAGCATAAAATAAATACCAAAAAACCAAAACATGATAATGAATTCTGCCCAGTCCTGCTTGGAGTTCTGGGCCTGAGGCTCACTCTCCATTTGTTAAAAAGAGACATGAGCAAGAATTAGGAGGTGTCAAAATCATGCTCCTCATCGGAAAACAGAAGTTTGAGAGAATTGAAAACAGAGCAATGTCCTCAACTTTATGTTTCAATGTTCCTTAATCCATGCAGCCCATGAAATCACACCCTGACCATTTGAACATTCACCACTTTGTTCCATGACATGGAAGCCTTCCCCGTACATTGTATGGAGAAAAACAGTTCCAGCAAAGCATTTGAGTTGCACCAAAACACTTTGACGTTGCTCGTCACAGGTGATCCTAAGAGGGAAACCTTTTCCGCCTGACAACCACAGTGTATTTTGAAACAATAACCTGAGAAATGTTCTATGTTTTACCAGCCCTGCTTAAGCATTTAGTGCTCATAAGGTAAGACAGTGGCATCACCAGTGAACACTTAACAGCGGGTGGTCCTAAGGCAGGGGCTGCTTGGCACATGAGAGGTGCTTGAAGACTTGTTGCATGGATGGGGCATTTTTACCACCATGAGGATGAAGTGATCAGGGCAAATAAAGCCAGGGTTTTTTGTGTCCTCAACATTTTCCCTATTGCAAATCAGGCTAACATGAGAATAAGGCAGCCTCATAGTGGGGTGTTTCCACAGGACTTTCTGTAGGGTGTGTCCAGGGGAAGATGGGGAGAAGATATGTCCAACTCTTGCTGCCTCATGATGCGGGGTGGGGGGTGGTTTGGGTTGCAGTCCTCTCTATTTCCAGCTGGTGGGATCATTCCTCTCTCGCTGTAGGCTGAGAGCACTCTGTGTGGAGAAACAGCTGAAGGTCATGAAGTCCTACAGTCTCATGGGCACCGTTCCATTCTCTCCCCAGCTCATCATGGAAGACAGTTACTCAAAGTCAGTGTGAAGTTCTGCTTTCTACAAAGTCAGATCTTGAGTGAGGCCCTCGAGGGAGGAGGACTTCTCTAAAAGACTCCTTACCACTCACCTAAGTTCTGCTTACCGTCTCTGCTGGTCCTAAGGGAAGGCCGACATTGGTTCAAATGCAGCCTAGCAAACTGTACTAACAATTCCTTCTGTAAAAACTCTGGATGGGATGCTTCTCAAACTGAGTGATAACAACCTGGGAATCTGAGGACACAGGTCCTTATAAAACACTGACATTTCATATGTTCATTTTGATGAGAATCTTAGTAAAATGTATATCCCATATTGTGGACCACCTGGATGACTATCCAATAAGCAAGTCCTTCTATCCTGATTTTAGGGCCTGAATTTATGTTTATAAGCACACTGGTGCCAAGTAGTACTGCTTTAGTTATTGTGGGCCAGTGAGAAAAGAATAAAAGGGACTTGACATGCGAAAGATGTATTCCTGCCAAGCAAAGCAACAATAACATGGCTGTATTGTTCCAAAGAAGGTTTCTCTATAGGTCAAATAAAGAAAATGCATGGGAAATTAAGTCATGACAAGTCACGTGGTAATGCAGGAGAAGAAAGGAAAATTCATGGAGCAGTCAGCATTGTCATCATATTCCAGCTGCCAGAGACTTTCAGTAAAACATCAGCACTGCAAATTGATATAATTGTTTTTAAATTTCCTGCTTTCGTAGATTTGTTGAAGTGAATTGGTAAATTATATATGGCTTTATAGTTGCATAGTTTTGTGTTTGTACCTACTTAAGTACCTACCATTCTAATAAACTGATTTTAAATTCAATAATGTCCCACAGTGTAGACGAATTTCACCCATGAACACAGACGCAAAAATCCTAAAGAAAATATGTTAAAAAAATCTAGCTAGGTATATATTAAAAAGTACATCCCAATCAATCACATCTATCCTAGTCACATAAGGCTGGTTTTCTACTGACAATACAATACACCTCACTGACAGATTAAAGGAAAAAAAACCCACATGATCATTTCAATAGATTCAGAAAACATACTTCATAGAATTCAAAATCCATTCAAAATAAAGACAAACAGAACACAGACCACAAGACCAACAACAACAACCAACCAAAGAAACAAAACCCAATGACCGAGGTCATTCCCAAATAAATCGTGCAAACTAGAAATAGAAATGGCCTTCCTGAAACTGACCAAGGTCATTCCCAAATGAATCTACAGCAACTTCACATTCCATGGCAAAAACTTGGGAGCATTTCCTCTATGATGAGCTAGAAGGCGAGGGTTGCATCTTCACTATTGCTGTTCTGCTCAACATAGTGTGGGTGGTTCTGGAGAGTGGAGTAAGATCAGGAAATAAGGCAGAGTTGAGGATGAAAAAGGAAGAAATAAATGTGTCATTATTTGGAGAGGGTGTAATTATCTAAATACAAGATCCAAAAGAAACCACAGATCAATTATTGGAAGTAAATGAGTTTAGCAAGGCTGCTGGATGCAAAATCAATAGAAAATGTCAAGTGCAATTCTATTAACCAGCTGTGATGGTTAATACTGAGTGTCAACTTGATTGGATTGAGGGATACAAAGTATTAATCTTGGGTGTGTCTGTGTGGGTGTTGCCAAAAGAGATTAACATTTGAGTCAGTGGGCTGGGGAAGGCAGATGCACCCTTAATCGGGTGGGCACAATCTAATCAGCTTCCAGAGAATATGAAAAAGGCAGAAAAACATGAAAAAGAGAGATGGGCCAAACCTCCAAGCTTACATCTTTCTCCAGTGCTGGCCTCTTCCTGCCCTCCAACATCAGACTCCAAGTTGTTCAGTTTTGAGACTGGGACTGGCTCTGCTTGCCCCTCAGCTTGCAGCCTATTATGGGACCTTGTGATCGTGTAAGTTAATATATATATCCTGTTAGTTCTGTCCCTCTAACTAATTAGTCTGAACCCTGACTAATACACTAGCAGACATAAATTCTAAAAATTACATTTACAAAATGAAACATGTACCAAAAATATCCAAAGAAGATATGTAAGAGTAAATTTAAACCAGCTTTGCAAGCTGTTTTGGAGAAAATTATAAAAATTTATGGAGAAAGTATTTTTTAAGTAAATAAACTGGGAACTATACCACATATTGAAAGTTTCAACAGCTGAAGTTTATAAATTCTCCCTCCATTGGTATATAGACTTAATGCAGTTCACACTAATCTCCCAATAGTGTTTTTAGAGGAACTGAACAAACTTATTCTAAATTGTGTGTGTGCATGAGTGACACATATATACACATATGCAAAAGGCCAAGGACAGCCAGGACACTCTTAGGAGCAGCATGCCCAGGTGACTGGCTGTACCAAATGCCCCATCTGTGTGGTGAAGCTGTAGTAAGAACGTGTGGTGTTGTTACAACAGTGGACAAAAGATGAGTGGAACACAGTGGAGAGTCTGAAAGCAAATCCACCCATACACAGAAGTTTGATAAATAGCAGAGGCTCCAAAGATCAGTAAGGAAAGGAACACTTTCTCAATAAATTGTTCTGGGACAATTGATTATTCCTAGGGAAAGATAATTGTAAGCATGCGTCACACCCTTCCCAAAAATCCAGTTCAGGGGGACTAAAGACATAATTGTCAAAGATGAAAGTAAAAAAATGTTACAAGATAATCTACGAGACTATGTCCTTGGGGTAGGGACAATTTCTTCAAGAAGACTTAAAAATGCAAACCATAAAGGAATAAATTGCATTGAAATCAATGTATCTTCCTGCCAAAGAATATCAAAATAAGAGTGAAAAGACAGGCTGTAAAATGAGAGAAGATCTTGGAAATAATGTAATTGACAAATAATTGAATCTTAAATGTATAAAGAAATGATGCGCATCAATAAGAAAGGGGCAAACAACCCGAAGGAAAAATAGGTTAAAAGACATGAACAAGTGTTTTACAGAAGTTGTGACATGAATAGAAAATGCACCCATGCAAAGATGTTCAGCACCATCAGTAATGAAATATACACACAGCAAAACCTACAGAAACTTTGCCACATGTGCACCAGAAAACATGAGCAAAATGCACATAGCAAAACTGTAAATACATTTAAAAATAGAAAACTAAATATCCATGGACAAAGGACTGGATAAAGGCATTGTGATACATTTGTATAATGGACTATGACAGAAAACTGAAAAAGACTCAATTACAGCTAATGCTTCCACATGTTCATACAAGATAATATAGGAGACTTTATATAACTTGATGTAACTGTTACCAGACAGTATGTACACTCAGGGTACATCAAGCGTCTACACTCATGTTACTGTATAGTGACAAGACAGACAGTATCTATACTATGTTGATGTAACCTCAAGTCACATGAGTATAGATACTGTCTGGTAACAGTTACATAATGTTCAAAATGTAAATGGTATATTGTTTAGAGATCCATAAATGGCAGGGAAACATAAAGAAAATTCAGAGGAGTGGTTGGTCTGGTGGAGGAGGGACCCGGAACCCGGTGGACCTGGAGTCCGAGCTCTGGGCATGCTTGGGAATGCTCTGTATTTCATGCTGACTGGAGGGCATGTGAGTGCTCATTTTATTACTCTTTATTCATAAAATATTTCATTAACATTTAAAATGCATCCGAAATAAAAAAAATAATGAAGCGTAGAAAACTAACATCAAATACTTAGGTCACCCCCTGGAAAAGGAGACATACAAGCTTCATTTGTTTGATCCAGCTCTGAAAGGGCTCTGCACACCCCTGGGATGTGAGGAATGCTGTGCTGGATAACTGACCCACCCTCTCCAGGAGGAACGTTTTATTCCAGTTGGGGTTCAGTGTCTGCCCTGGGGCTCTGACAGCTCATTTATGGAACCTGCAAAGATTTTAGAGGGAAATATCAGTTAGGTCAATGTTTCATTCCCTTTGAGAATGCTCAGTGGGGAGAGATAAGGGTGTCGGATTAATTACACCAGATGCTGTATCGGGAGACATCCAGCTTCTGTGCATTGCCAAAAAAAAAAAAATCCTTATGGTGGCCTTGAATACAAATATACAAATATCACGTTCATGGTAATAACACTGTATTTACAGTGCATTTAAGAGGTGTTCAAAGGCTTCTCATAGACTTGAGAACATTTGGTCTTGAGAGAAGTCATTCTGAACAGAGTCCAGACTTAAGAGTTCGGTCCAAAGGAAGAAGCTGGGACACGACTTCTTCAGTTTCAGTTCTGACACCATCCCTGATATGTGACCCGGGGAAAATTACTTCCATTTTCTGAATTTCTATTTTCTCACTGCTGAATAGAGATATTGTGAGCAAAAGAGACAGTAATACACTGAGTGCCTAGCATGGTGGTGGGAACATTGTGAGCCCTATCTAAAAGGCCGCTGTTATCACAAGTTAGTATGTCCCAACCTGCACAGCCATGCAGTGAGACTTGCTGTCTGAAACCCAGTGCTTCCATCATGGCAGGCTTTCTTTTAGAAAAGTTTATTGTTTATAGGTTTGATGGGGGGAAAATCACACTAAAGATTGGTAATATTGCATAAAACACCTAATGATTTGGACAATGACTTCTCATCCAGGATTCAAAGAAAAAGAAAACAAAATAATTTTATCACATCCTGATCTTAACTTTGAGTTGAATTAAGTTGAATTGACCAGGAGCAAAGTAAACTACAACGTGGCCAAGCCATGCATGTTGATCTAAGGAAGTACAGCTGCCTTTTTGAAGCAACAATTTCCCTGGCAATGTTTTAATGACCAGCAATTTTATATTCAGCACCTCCCTTGTGATGGGCCTGGTGATTAAAAATATAATCTAAGAGATTCTATATTTTATTATGAAGTTGGAATGTTGACCTTGAAACTTCAAAGTTTATTAAAGAGGTCATCCAGTCCCAGTCCCGCCTGTAAGCATCTAAACCCAGGATGCTCAGACATGGTTGTACATCAGAAGCCCCTGGGGAGCTTTCAAATACCCTGACGCCCAGGCCCCACCCTGGTCCAAACGAACCAGAGCCTCTGGGCATGCAGCCACAGCATTCGTAGTTACACAAGTTGAAGTGTAGCTGAGTTAAGAAACATTATTCTAAACAATCATCTGCCACCATAAACCTTTTGTTTCCCTAAATGTGTACCAGGCTGTTGAACCGTTGGCTAGTAAAATTTTAGGGTTATTGGAAAAAAGGATTTACAGACTCTGCCACCTCACTGGGAAATTACGAATACATTGGCATTTTTCTTTATGAGACAGGAGGGGAAAGGCCAGCTGAGCAGCTGCTTGCCATGCTGGCTCTGTTACAACACAGATTTACTGTTCAGATAGGATTCAGCAGGGCAGTGGGAGACGGCTGACTCTGTGTAACAATGAGATGTTCTATTATAGTTCATCAGCCTGGTATAGATCGTTTGCTTTTCCATTGACTGATTAATTTATTCCTTTATTATTCTGAGTCTTTTGTAGGGAGTTATCAGAGTCAACTAATCTTGTCATGCAGTAACATAGGAAATTTAAAAGGCAGCATTCCCTAAGCAAGCCTATCCTGCACCTTGTCCTGTGATGATTAGATTTACAGGAAGTAGACAGCAGTGGTATCTGAGGACCTTCTAAAGACTCAAGTTCCACTAAACAGTCAGATCACCCAGCTAATTTTAGAAACACGACTTTGTATGGCCATGGAGAAAACTAGCTTAATTAAATAGATACATGTACGTGCAATCATAACCTTTTTATCTGAAGGGTAACTAGAAACTGGTGAGCCTGGGTTTGAACACGGTGTCATGGTAATTGGGACCCATGTGGTGGCTGAAAAGGCTAAAATTTAAAGGAGGATGCCACAGGGTGTGGCTAGAGATGAAAGGTCAGCCAACATCTCCAATAGGTGAAAACACAGAAACAAATTTCATAAAAATTCATAAATCGAGTTTACGCTTAAATTGAAAAAAGTAATTGATTTTCATCTTGGGTAAATAATATGCCTTAATTGACTGAGTCACCCATTCAACCTTTGAACACGTATTTAATGCTTACTAACAGTCTACACAAAGTGGCTGAGGACACAGCAGTGAACACGAGAGGTGCTTGTTCCTAAGGAGCTTGGATTTGGCTGGGGGAGAATAACAAGGAAACAGGTCACAAAAGCAGAGAGTGATGAGTGTGGTGATAAGGCAATGGCAGAGTGGCAGGGGACAGAGCAGAGGGGTCTCAAGCCCAATCTTCAGGGATTGGAGTTAGGGGTGAGGGGTGGGGGATTAAGAGTGTGTCCTGGGCTGGGCACAGTGGCTCATGCCTGTAATCCCAGCACTTTGGGAGGTTGAGGTAGAAGGATTGCTTAGTGCAGGAGTTCCAGACCAGCTTGGGCAACACAGTGAGACCCCCATCTCTACAAAAAATACAAGAACTAAACAGGCATGGTGGCACGTGCCTGAGGTCCCAGCTACTCAGGAGGCTGAGGTGGGAGGATCGCTTGAGCCAAGGAGGTTGAGGCTGCAGTGAGCCATGCTCACACCACTGTATTCCAGCCTGGGTGATAGAGCTAGACATGGTCTTTTAAAACATTTTTTAAAAAAAGAGTGTGTTCTGGACTTTGTGAATAGCAAATACAAAGTCTTCGCAGTGAGAGGTGGTCTGGGACATTTGCGGAACTGGATGTAGCTCATTATGGCTGGTCTCCAGCCTGGGAGTACTGGGTGGCAGGAGAGGTCAGGGGAGTGATGGCACCTCAGGTGGGCTTCACAAAGCATGTGAAGGGGTTTGGGTTCTATCCTAAAGGCAGTGGAAAACAGTGGAAGGATTTTACATGGGAAAATGGACATGATTATATTTGCATTTTAGATCACTCAGTGAGAGATGGAGAACATTCTGGAGTAGGGGTAGTTTTGGGGTAGAAAAACCAAGAAGGCAGCTGTTACAGGAACCTAGGCATGAGGTGATGGTGGGAACAGAAAGAAGAAGGTGGATTTTCATGATACCAAGAAAGCAGAATTCATAAAATGTATAGTGGATCAAGCCGGTGGGGGAGGAAGGGGAGTCAAGAATTTGGCTGACCTGGCACAGAAGAGATGGTGGTACCACTTACAGGGCAGAGCTTTGGCAGAAACAATAGTGAGTTTAGATTTATGAATGAACTGAGTCTGGAGTGCACAGTTGGCCTCACACTCACGGGACAGGCGCAGGCTCTAGAGCGATCTAGGCTGGAGGTCAGACGGCACACTCAGCTCACCAACATGCATAGTGTACGTTAATTAAATCTGGCCTAATGGAGGAAATTAAAACATATTTCAAACAGTTCCTGGCCATAAAAGCCATTAAAGGGAAAACTAAAACCATTCAGATAAATGAAGAGGTTTTCAAACTGAAGAACAAACAGAAAAATCAATTCACTAATTTGCTAACTTTTTTTAGAGTGGAAATAGCTGAACTAGATGTGAGCTATTACACAAAAAACAAAACAAAACAACAACAAAAAAATGAAACAAAAGAACAAAAGTAAAACCCACAGTCTAAAAAAAAACCAAAGTGGTCTGTCATTGAAATTGACTCATTGATTATCTGTGCTCACGTCTATCACTGCTCTAGCACGAGTAAGGCACTGTGTTCCCCACACATCAGAGAAGTGAAATAAAACCTCGTGGGCTGTGCAAATACCCACGTCAAAGGGCAGAAGTACGTTAGTATCCAGTATTGATAATTAACCTCTAATAATCAATCAGGGCTAACAAAATTCTGCAAAGGAGGAGCCCTGTGAAGTCTACTTTGCAGAAAGGTCCAGAAGAATCATTCACAAATAACTGACTTGGACACACTAAAATTTCTCCAAACGTTCTTAGAAACCTCTTGTTTTAAGTGAGCAAATTATCTTCTGTTCTGTGCCCTCTCTGTCTCCACGTTTAACAACCCAGACAATAACCTCTGAGGCCCTCACAGGGCATTAGAATGAGGGCCGACCCCAATTTCAAACCGGAGAGTGCGTGAGGGGCACAAGCCCACGAGGCCTCACTGTTCCTTATGACACTGCGGAGACGATCACCTCGGTGTCCTAGTGGGACAAGAAGTGAGGCGCTTTCATCCTCTGAAACGTCCTTGGAAAGACAAGAAGTTCAGGTCCTTTCGCCTTGTTGAGTTCAGCCTGATCCTGACAGGTTTTAATCAGGAGCACTCTCTATCTTCCTTTTAAGATCTTTCACAGCATAACAAACATTTTAAGACAAATGTCTGACTCGAAAATCCAGATTTTCTTCCTTGGTATTGCTCACAATCTGAACTGAATCTGAACTGCTGAATTAATTTGCCATCAGACAAGTTGTTAAATCTCAAAAATTTTAGGTTATAACGTCAAAGTTTTCCAATTTCCATGAATGTTGGACCTTATGTCTATAAATCTGACATTTAATTTTACTTTCCCTTCTGGATGGCATTCATTTCACAAGTATTTGTTGAGAACCTACACTCTGCACAATGCTGAGCAACGGGCTGTGGAAGACAAAAGTCTAATGAAAAACATTCTTTGTTCTTCAACAGCTTACATTTGGTCTGGGAAATAAAGTTATTCAAAAGCAAAATAGTTGAATAATAAAACAAAGAGGCATAAGATTAACTGCTACAGTAAGTGGGACTGACAGTATTTCAGCACTTTAAAGGAAGAAAAGGTCGCAGTTATTCTACAAAGACCAGGAGATGGAACCTTTACTTTGATATTTTCCAATGGTGAAACATTTAGGAATTATGATGAAGAGGTGTTCCCTCCACCCAAACGGGAGAATTCCACAAAGTAATCTACAGAACCCGATTAGGTGCACGAAGGAGAATTCTTGGCAGCACCGAGTACAGCCCTCCCCCGCCCTACCCGAGGCGACCGGAAAAGCCTCCAAATGTTCAGAAGCTGCTCCCTCCACAGGACGAGAAACAGGATCTGCCATGGCCGCAAGTGTGGTGCGGCTCCACGCCCCATCATCCAAAGGTCTCAAAAGGTTATGTTCATTTATAACTAACTGCCTTGTTATATTCTCTCAAGAATCTATCACTAAGTGCACTCTTCCTTAATGTACAACTCTGGTCCTGCTTTAAATTCTATTTGATAAATGATCTTGAAATTCTCTAACCTAATATTGCCGAGGCTGATGTGGGGGCACCCTTCTAAATTTGATTATTCCTAAGAAATGATACACTGTTTCAGTCGCAATTGAATTAAGGAAGCTATGAGGAAGAAAATAGGGTTTATCTTCACCGGCCAACGTGGGCAAGCAGGTCAGGCCCGGTTTTAACCCTGCATCCACCTTTTCCTTAATTTTGTTCTGGCTTAAGAGTGAGTCTCAAGGCTCACTTACCATTTTTTTTTTGAAATGTATTCTCTTATTGTGAAATATACAACACATTATTATTGACTATAGTCCTCTTGTATCCCGTAAGTGTATACGATGATGACTTATCAATTAAAAATAATTTTTAGATATTAAACACTCATAATCTGTGACCTTGAATTTTGTTATTCTGCTTTCTCTCCTTCAAAAAGAGAGTGAGTCCCAGAAAATATCTCTGAAGGGTTTGCAACAGAGCTTTCAAACCGGTGGAATTAACGGCACTGTGATCCCCGGAGGGTGATGGGCGGCTTATTCATGTTTGGATTCTCTGCAAAAAGCGCCTCTTCTTTACCCTCAACACTACTTGAGCACATGTTTATTGAGTAGAGTTCCTAAATCCCATTTTTAACAATACATTTTCTTCTCTTTTTAATTTTTTTTTAAAAAAAATATATATATAATGTTGCTTTAACCAAGAAAGTTTTAGAAGGGGGAAAAAAGCCCAGTCTGGCCAGTCCAAATAATTATTTTGACTAATATATTACTTTCTAATCCTTTCCATATGCCAACATACCAAATGGCTTATTTTTAGTCCTGCTATTGTTTGATAGATGATATATGCTCCATGCTCCCATGCAGTCTTCCTAATCATAATCTTAAATGGTTATATAATACCTCTTCCTATGGATACTCCATGATTTAGCAAATGGCTCAGCTCTCAACACTTAGGACATTTCCAGCTTTTAGAAATTCCTGTTATGGATAACAGTGTTATGAATGTGTTTGTTGATATAGCTTTGGGCTTCTTTTTAGAGGGATTTCTGTGATCTTGTATAGGAATGTCTTGATGACTCTTTCTGCATATTTTCATATTGTTTTATAAATAAATTTTCTCTTATGCCTCCTCCATTTACACAGAGTTAAAACAAATCTCCACCTCCTCCTGATGTCCTACTTATATTTTTCTTCTCTCACTTCCCCCATAATCCTATGATTACGCATTTCCTTTCTGAAATCCCTGTATCCCAGGAGAAGAGCCTCTTGGTGGCAGGAAAGGGCCCCATAATTATTTCCTAATTCTCCTCACTCTTTAACCATGACCATCAGGTATCTCTGTCATACGACCCCATCCATTCCTATTAATTACCAAAAACTCAGCTTATTTACTTGAGTGCAAGTGAATATTAAAGTGATTTAGCCCCACAGAGCCAGGAAGTGATAACATATTGTGTTACATTTGAAGGGTCCCTTTGGTAGTGCTAACAAATCACTCACCAAACTGTCTCCATCCATTATCTGAGGGTACAGAAGGCCATTTCCATCCGTGGGATATTAATTTCTTGGCTACTGTCACAGACCTCAGTGCCCATGATGAATGTTTTTACAATGAATACCAAATTAACCCAAGCTGATTAGAGGCTTTTATAAGTTATTAATGGGATGTCACTTTAGTCTGGTCTTCTCCACATATAGGACATTTCATTAAAGACTCTCCTCTTGCTGGAAAGATCAATCTTCCTCCCCTCGCTGGATTTGTCCACTTCAGTAAAGTGCTCCCTGCCCCCTTTGCTACAGCCATGGGACTGGGTGGGCAGCGCTAACCCTGAGCCAGGCTGTAACTTGTAGGAGGAGGCGACGGGCCCATTTCTGCTCAGCTCCCTGGTGGTTGCCCAGGTGGTAATGGGGAACTGCGGACCGGATGCAGGCTTCCTGGACTGGATACAGGAAGCAGGACACCCAGCTTCTTATAAGAAACATACTCTCTCCATTCAAGGGATAATTTCTGGCGTGGCATTAGCGTAGGGGAATTGCTGTCACCTGACAATGGCCTTTTCTAAAGCCACAGGCTCCTGAATAGTTACAAGGGGCTGACGACTTCAGGAGGTAGAAATTGATGTTGTTTTCTGAACATTCCCCCTCCCTCCCTAAGAGTGGGAGAAGAGCAAGGTGTGAGTCCACACAGGTACACTGTGGATGGTGATGGACAAGGGGGCTGGCCCGTCATGAAGCCCTCTGGACACCAACCCTAGCTTCTGTCTCTATCCTGCGTTTCTCTGCTTTATCAAGGGCAGCCCAACTCTCCTTCTGACACACACCAGACTTCCATCTGATGAAATGCTTATTTTCCTTCTCATTCTCAGACGATTAACCCAAATAGTAAAAGCAGCAACAATCAAAGACATTTATTGAGAACGTTATTTACACAAGGCTCCACAGCCTGTACTTCGAGTAGATTATTTTACTCTCCACCATGAGCCCTACAAGGTAGGCACTGTTACTTCAGTTAACAGACTAAGAGATGGAAGCTCAGGGATTAAGTCTCTCAGTCAAGGTCACGCAACTAGTAAGTGCTGCAACCACGATCTGAATCTGGCCCTTTTGACTCCAAAGCTTTTGTTACTAATGACCCTTTAAGAGCAAAACAAACAAAATAAAATATTCTTTTCCTTCTCACGCTTAAAACAAGTTTCTCCGGAATTGGTTCCTTCTGGTGGGTTCTTGGTCTCGCTGACTTCAGGAATGAAGCCGCAGACCCTCGCGGTGAGTGTTAGGGTTATTGAAGATGCTGTGTCCGGAATTTCTTCCTTCAGATGTTCAGATGTGTCTGGAGTTTCTTCCTTCCAGTGGGTTCGTGGTCTTGGTGACTTCAGGAGTGAAGCCGTAGACCTTCGCAGTGAGTGTCACAGCTCTTAAAGGTGGCGCGCCCAGAGTTGTTTGTTCTTCCCTGTGGGTTTGTGGTCTCACTGACTTCAGAAGTGAAGCTGCAGACCTTTGCAGTGAGTGTTACAGCTCATACACGTAGTGCGAACCCAGAGAGCGAGCAGCAGCAAGATTTATTGTGAAGAAGGAAAGAACACAGCTTCCACGTGGAAGGGAACCCGAGCTGCGGGTTGCAGCTGTTGGGCGGCGGTGGCCAGCTTTTATTTCCTTATTTGGCCCGCCCCCATCCTGCTGATTGGTCCATTTTACAGAGTGCTGATTGGTCCGTTTTTACAGAGTGCTGATTGGTGTGTTTACAAACCTTTAGCTAGACACAGAGCACTGATTGGTGCGTATTTACAGAGTGCTGATCAGTGCGTTTACAAACGTTTAGCTAGACAGGAGCTCTGATTGGTGTGTTTTTACAGAGTGCTGATCCCTGCGTTTACAAACCTTTAGCTAGACAGAGCTCTGATTGGTGCCTTTACAATCCTTTAGCTAGACAGAAAAGTTCTCCAAGTCCGCACCCCACCCAGAAGCCCAGCCGGCTTCACCTCTTACCTAGGACCTTCCCATTCTGAGGCTGAGGAGGTGGCCTGGGACCCTACAAGGGAGTTTCTCAGTGGGGGCTTCCACATCCCAGGCCTGGCTGGGTTCCCACTCCCAGCTGGCTCCTGGCTGCACCCAGCCTGCCCTCACGCTGGCTCTGTGCTGCTGCTGCAGTGCCACCCACGTGGCCTCCCTGTCACACTGAAATCTGATGGTTCTCCCCACGCGCTCCTCCCCGTGCAGACGCCCACACGTGAGCGATGGGTGAAGCAAAGGCCCTCCATCCCTCCGATCTGCTATCAAACTGCCCTTTCGTCCCTCTAACAAAGCGTTTTGGAGTTTCAAGCGCAAGCTCTTCCTCCATATCTTAGGTTGAATTACTGACATTTTGAAGGCATGGATTTTTACAATTTTAATGGGCTACTTTAAAAAATTATTTTTATTGAAGGCAAAAACCCCAATGCCATAAGGTAAGTCAGCACGAGTGCAAAAAAAACCCCTCAACTCCAATTTTCTTGAATCTTTCACTGATTCATAGAAAAAAGTGTCAAGACACGGTTCTGGGAGGAAGCAGTGCCCGCTGGATCACTGGCAGATGCTCATGGGTAGGTAAAGGAAGGCTCACGCTCTCTCGCTGTTGGCGTATTAAGAAGAAAAACAGCTATCCTTGGAATAGTTTGCTTGGAATGGGCTCCGTCCACTTGAAGTGGGAAATTAAGAAAACAACAGAATAATAGCATAAGTAGTAATAGTAAAAATTATAATAATAGTAAGAAAAATAACAATAGCTCATAGAATGAAATTCTGTATTAACCAAGGCTGAGGAGAATTTAAGCAGCCCCGCTGAAGTTAAAAGTTAGAAGAGTATATTAACTGTCTGTCCCAAGAAACAATAACCATATCTATCCTCCACATATTTTGTAGGCTCTGTAAACTCCTGTTTCTTTCTTCCCCCCACAACTGCAAGGTCACAAGACAGATAAGCACAAGCCGCAAACCAAGTTCTCACAGAGATGTAAGCCATGTTGCAAAAGTGTCACAGCAGCCTTTAGTTCTCGCTTCTGTAAGCCTGCTTCACGTAGTTCCTGCCTCAAAATGCTTAAAAGGGACTCGTTTTCTTTGTTCTGGGCTCAGCCTTTAGGACACATGTCCACTGGGCCTGTGTACACCTTAAAATAAACACCCTCCTGCACTCCATCCGGTCTCTCTGGTTCCTTAAATCCCGCTTCACACTGAGGTGTGGCTTAGAGAGCCACAACTGCCACAGGCTTGAGAGGGTGTAGCAATCACTAAGGTGGGGCCGGTGCAGGGTGTGGGTACAGTGTCTGTGTGAGTCAGTCAGGGAACGCCTGTGTAGCAGGTCACATGGGGAAGGGCAGCTGGACCTCCAGACAGCACACCCCATGGCCGCAGCCTGGAACACCTGTGTAGCAGGTCACATGGGGAAGGGCAGCTGGACCTCCAGACAGCATGCTGTAAGGCTGTAGCCGGAACACCTGTGTAGCAGGTCACATGGGGAAGGCCAGCTGGACCTCCAGACAGCACGCCCCATGGCCGCAGCCCGGAACACCTGTGTAGCAGGTCACATGGGGAAGGGCAGCTGGACCTCCAGACAGCACGCCCCATGGCCGCAGCCCGGAACACCTGTGTAGCAGGTCACATGGGGAAGGGCAGCTGGACCTCCAGACAGCACGCTGCAAGGCTGTAGCCCGGAACACCTGTGTAGGAGGTCACATGGTTAGGACAGCTGGACCTCCAGACAGCATGCTGCAAGGCTGTAGCCCGGAACACCTGTGTAGGAGGTAAGGACAGCTGGACCTCCAGACAGCACACCCCATGGCCATGTCCCCGCCCCTGGAGAGAAGTTTTTCTCAGAGCTGGATTGGCCTCATGGGCCCTGTATCAAGCAAGTACGGAATGACCCCTTAGGCGATGAGGCCTGTCTGGATGGCTTTGTTTTCAGGGGCATCACTTTGTTAAGACTTGAGGATCTAAGGATCTTGGTGAAAAATGAGAAGAATATCAAATACATAGTGTGACAGCCCCTGCTGTGGACAGGAGAGGAAAGCTTGGGCAGTGTGAACAGACGGGGACAGTTATGAGAGTGACCGTGCCAGAGCAGGGCAACGGGCAGCATTCGCGGTTGGGGAGAGCGAGTGAATGTGCCAATAGGTGAATGTGCCATCAGAAGCAGAAGCTAGTGAGGAAAGGGACCATGTCCTTCTTCTGCATCCGGGATCAGGCAGTATCCAGAACACAGGAAGTATTCAAGAAGAGTTGATTGAATCCGTAAACAAACGAGTGCATAAGAGAATGACAGGAAAGTACATGCACGGCAGGACCGGCCTGCAGGGTCCCGTGCACTAAGCTAGCTTGTGACCATGGCAATCGCTGGCCACATGTGCCATTCCAGAGAGCCCTAGGGCTGGGAACATCTTTGGGAGTCCAGTCTACCTGCTCCTAAGACTTCACCAAGGGAGCTGCCATCCTAACCATTAAAACACAGCACAATTTTTTTTCTTTTTTTCTTTATTATACTTTAAGTTCTAAGGTACATGTTCACAACGTGTAGGTTTGTTACATAGGTATACATGTGCTATGTTGGCTTGCTGCACCCATCAACCTGTCATTTACATTAGGTATTTCTCCTAATGCTATCCCTCCCCTAGCCCCCCGCCCCCGGACAGGCCCCGGTGTGGACGTTCCCTGCCCTGTGTCCATGTGTTCTCATTGTTCAATTCCCACCTATGAGTGAGAACATGCAGTAAAACACAGCACAATTTAAATGCGGATTTATTGACGTTCTCCGATAAACTATTCTGTGACCTTCTGTGGAAAACTATTCCAGGATCTAAAATGCCATATAATCAAGGCAATTCTTCTTAAAGTCTGACTCAAATCTCCCATTTTGATAAACATGTTTTTCTCCTGACTGACACAGGACAGTTGCTCACTGATATTCACCACCCCTCAGCCTCTCTTGGTCTGGAGATGATGAGGAAGTTGGCCTTTCCTTCTAAGCTGTGAAGCATGGCTGTGAGAATTCCTTAGTTTCCCTCCATGGTGTTTGTAATTGCACCTGCTCCTTTGGGGAACGCTATCTCTTGGGGACAGCTCTCTCCCCAGTTCCAGCAGGTTTCCCGGCTAACTACTCCACTGCTCTTCATCTGTCACATTTTGACGCTCTCTGCGTTGAAGACTTCCCAATGGACTCATTAAATTTCCCATTCAAAGCTCTTCATTTATCACTATCATGGTAGCAAGCCAACCAAAGAGAGACCCATTCACTTTGTCTCTGATCTTCCGAGTGTACCAGCAAAGATTCCGGCTTTGAATTCTTAATGTTGCCTAATGCTGCACAGTCTTTCTTGGGAAAATTTCCATGGCACTTGTTTCCAAAGGAAAACGTGATGATGCACCAAATTCACATGCCCTCCCTCCCCTTGCAGATCAACCAGCAAATGCACCCTGAGGCAGCTTCAACTCCAAGTGCATGTGCCAAGAACAAGGAAGGCCACCGCGGCTGCCTCAAAGTCTGTGTGCTTCCAGGAAATGTCTCTAATAGAAATACCATATCAGGAAATATGTGGACATTCCTAAACCAGACAACTAATCACATTCTAGGTCAGCAGAAACAAAACCTCCCATAAACAGACAAACACATGGTCGGGGGCAGGACTTCATGAAAAGATCAAAGAAAAGAAACATGGATGGCCGGGCAGAGTGGCTCATGCTTATAATCCCAGCACTTTGGGAGGCCGAGGTGGGTGGATCACTTGAGGTCAGGGGTTCAAGACCAGCTTGGCCAAAACGGTGAAACCCCATCTCTGCTAAAAACACAAAAATTAGCCACGTATGGTGGCACACACCTGTAGTCCCAGCTACTTGGGAGGCTGAGGCAGGAAAATTGCTTGAACCCAGGAGGTGGAGGTTGGAGTGAGCAGAGATCGCAACATTCACTCCGGCCTGGGTGACAGAGGGAGATTCCAGTTAAAAAAAAAAAAAAGAAAGAAACATGGAGGAAATCTCAGTTCAGGCAGATTCATCTGAAGAGGACACAATGAGGAAAGAAGTGGTACAGAGAAATACGTTGAAACAGCATATGTTTTGAACGTTTATGTTTCCCGACTGACCACTCCAGTTTGGAGGAAGAGGAAGCAAAGGAGAGACACTGTGTTAACATTTTACCTAGGATTTCTCATTTAATCCTATTTAATCTGGCCAAGTCTATTTCCTAGATCACATCCTGGGTCCTCAGCAAACGTTTGGAAGCAATCTTGTCATTTGTCATAAACTCCAGCCCCAGACCAGCATCATCACAGAAGTGGCTTCTGGCAGCCTGGGGGCCTCCTCCCACCCACTCCACTAACAACACACAGGCCACTCCCCCTGCAGTCATTACTACCGGAGAAATGTTCTATGGGTCTCACAACACTTACTCTAAAAGGTAAGAGCTAATTGGCAACCACATCGAGGCACTGGGAAAAGATGCCCTCACCCATCCCTGGTTCCCTGGGTCATCACCTGTGATATAGGGGCTCCAGACCCAAAGGCATCACTGAAATCAGTCAGCACAGGAGGCTACATGTTCCCAAAGCTCTTTGCAAACCTCAACTGCAGCTGTGTTCTCTGCTCCCAAAGGAGAATTACTCACTTCAATCTGACTCATTATAATTAGAGTAGGTTGACTTTAGGGAGCAATATTTACTTTTTAAAATAAAATGGCAATGAGGGGTGTGTTGCTTGGCATCACTTAATAGGTTAGGGCTTGCAAGGCCTGCTCTTGAGTTGTGAATTTTCTGTGCAGACGGAGCAGGTGTGGGGAGTACCTGTGATGAGGTGGTGGCTCTGGGGTCAGGCTTTCCCCATGAGAACAACCAAGACAGCATATGATCCCCTAAAACAGGGGTCAGCAAACTATAACCCATAGGCCAAGCCACCTGTGTTGGGAAGTATAGCTTTATTGGAACACAGCCATGCCCATCTTGTCTATACTGTCTGCAGCTGCTTCCATGCTGCAGTAAGGGAGATGAGTCATTGTGCTAGAAACTATCTGTTTGCAAAGACTGAAACATGTGCTATCTGACCTTCTGCAGAAGAAGGCGGCCCCTGCTCCAGCACATAGGGTACTCACTCAACAATGAGCTATATTGCGTCTTAAGCTCAGTACATGCATGTATCATAACGCTCTTAAAGGTCAAATGGATTTAAAAACTCAAAAGTTCCACAAGTATATAGCACCTTTGGTACTAAACTCAAGTATTAACAGTTATTACTTACCTGAACATTCATTTCTTTGAAGCAGAAAGGAAGTCAAATTTCTGTCACCTCTAGTACTGTCCTAGAACATATTCATAGATGCTGGCTATTTGCCACCATCCAATTCTTCATGCTGAAGTGGTTTGAAACCACAAAAATGTATTAACTAATGAATTAATCAATCTGTTTGTGCTTTCATCTTTTACCTCAACAAATGTGTACTGGGCACCAGACACTGTGCTGGGTGTGTTAGAATACGAAGATGAAACAGTCTCACTGTGTGGACTCAGGGTACCTGTATTAGTTTGTTCTCATGCTGCTATGAAGAAATATTTGAGACTGAGTCATTTATACAAGAAAGAGGTTTAATTGACTCACAGTTCTGCATTGCTGGGGAGGCCTCAGGAGACTTACAATCACGGCAGAAGGCACCTCTTCACAGGGCAGCAGAAGACAGAGTGAGTGTCGAGCAAAGGGGGAAACCATCAGATCTCGTGAGAACTCACTATCACTAGAAGAGCATGGGGGAAACTGCCCCCATGATTCAATTATCTCCATCTGGTCCCACCATTGACACATGGGGATTATAATAATTCAAAGGTGAGATTTGTGTGGGGACACAGAGCCACACCATATCACCACCTAACCAAGGAGAGAGACATGTCTACAGGCAACAAGAGATCATGTGTGCTGGGAGATTGCACGGTGAAACCTGAAGCCCCAGGATGGCTAGCTACCATTGTGTGTGTGTGTGTGTGTGTGTGCATGTGTGTGTTGGGGGAGGTGTCAGGAAGCCTTCTCTGAGAAGTTGTCATTTACTTTGTTTTGTTGCTACTTATTCTGTAAGAGGTTAAACAAGATAACTTCTATAATCACTTATCCCCTCCTCATCTCCAACGGAGCATGACATGAGTGAAGGTCAGTTGTTCAAGAGGACAATTATAGACTTAATTCTAAAGTGTGTGCATGCACACGCACACACACACACATATGCATGCACAGCAACTCCTTTTACAGTTGTGGGTTAAATTTCCTTTATGTTACAAGCTGTTCCCAGAGGCAGGACAAGTACCAACTCTACTACGGGACCCGGTTTATTTGCATGTGCAGACAATGAGGCAGGAGTCCACACACTGAGTTACAGCCGCTGGGTGATAAGAAGCGAGGCCGCAGGTATGGTGGAAAGAGACCTTGACATGTGGTCACATTATGATGGTCTTCTCCTGACTACTATAAAAAGGCTGGACAATGATCACTCAGTAAGGTTACACATTCCCATCCTTCTCCCTGTAGTGGGGTGATGAGGCCAGGTGCAGAGCTGTGGGTACTGGCTTGTAATGGATCCGCAGCAGGCAGGGAGAGCTCTCTATGGAGGTGTAATGGCCACTTTCACAGATGATTTGATGGATATTGAAAATCTCTTCAATCACAGACTTTCAGAGGGTTTTAAAGTCAACTATTAGAGATTCAGTTGCGCATCAGTCCTGAAAACTTAGATCTTCTACAATCTCTTATCAAATTGCATTTTTTTCCCTGTGTAAGAGTTAATGCCTTTGAGAAAAGACAAATTTTGTCTCTTTGTTGTGACTGAACTGATGGATTGGTGTTCCTCGGTCAAGGTCAGCTCTCAGCTGCCTCACTTCCTCCTGTCACCCTGTGATTTTGATCAGTTACATATGCTTTTCAAAACCTCTGTTATCAGTTTTAGCATTAGAGACATGTTAATAATAGCTAAAATATTAATAGTTTCACCGCCTCGATCTTCTTGCTTTTTCAAACCAATTCAAGGCAGTGGAATTAATATATAACCAAGAAAATGTGATTGTACTATGGGGAGAAATAAGACTATTTTCATTTGTAAGATAGATGACAGCCTATCCGATACAATTCTGTGGGAGCTTTTAGATACGATCATTTTTTGTGCTATTTTAGGAAAAAGGAGCTTTACAAATGCAGGCTTAGGTAATCAGCTTAAAGAGGCAGAAGAAAATGGTGACTTGAAAACAGCAACCATGTCATCTGACCTTCAAACCTGAGGGACTTTCTGCACGTGGCAATACAATGTCTTAAAAAAATGTTACCCAGAATGGACAAATATAACCAAGTTTTAGTCAAACGCAAGGCTAGAGTTGGAACAAACCTGAAGGACCGTATTATCCAAATTCTTCACTACATGGCTGGGCTGCTGCCTACAGCCTGACAGCGGGAGGTGCTGTCCAAGGCCAGCTCGGCAGTGAGAACCAGGGTGGGAGCCCTCATCTTAGAAATAGTGTTCAGGGCCTTTTTCTCTGCACTGTCCTTCCCATTCACAGAAACCCAGCAGTTTTGCCAATTTGAGAAGGAATCCATGAAGATAGCTGATAGAAACCGAGAAGGCTGCAATGACCACGGGGGGTTTTGCATGTTGACGGGACTGGCCTGGCTCCATCAGGGCCAGCAAATCTACTTGCTTAAAAAACCCTCCGCAGAGGCTGGGCACGGTAGCTCACGCCTGTAATGCCAGCACTTTGGGAGGCTGAGGCGGGTGGATTGCCTGAGGTCAGGAGTTTGAGACCAGCCTGGCCAACATAGTGAAACCCTGTCTCTACTAAATATACAAAAATTAGTCGGGTGTGGTGGAGTACGCCTGTGATCCCAGCTACTGGGGAGGCTGAGGCAGGAGAATCGCTTGAACACAGGAGGTGGAGGTTGCAGTGAGCTGAGATCGTGCCACTGCACCCCAGCCTGGGCAACGAGAGCAAAACTCCATCTCAAAAGAAACAAACAAACAAAAAACAAAAAAAAACCCTCCACAGGAAGAAGTCTGAGTTCCCAGAGCATCTTTAGATGACAAAATCATTCGGATCATTCTCATCTGCAGTTCTTTTAATGAAGTTGATCTCTTTGAGCTCATGATTCATCTGGAGTCCATAGACACAGCTACAGTTAGGCACCACTTTAACCATGTCAGATGTAGGAACCAAGCACATGCTGTTCCAATTTTAGGAGAATTTGCTATCTAAAAAGAAATGACCCTTTTACATATTCAGACACCCTGGTGTACCTCTCCAGATTTTAATTTACACACACACACACACACACACACACACAACACCATGTACAGGCTGAGTACAGTGAGATCCATTCAGCTTAGAAAACAGAAACTTCCTCAAAACCCAAGTATAGTTACTGAACTTGATTGGCTTACCAGCTGTTGGCCTTTAGGGCCCCATCCTGCATACTGAAGTTTTGCATTGCTGACTTCTGGTGGGTCCAGACTTTGAGGATCCCTGAAAATTGAACAAACAAACAAAAACAAAGCAAAATGTTGGGAACCAAGAATTTAAGCTGCTGCAATTTTATCCCCTACCTATAACTTAACTCCTTTCTCCTTCCATGGTATCCATTTCAAGAGCTTGTCTCTTGTGTTACTAAGTAATATGTCTCATTTAGTCTCTATTAGGTTTCTTCAGATGTATATAATTTATATGAAGCTGAAATAGGTCCATCATTGCTTAACCCAAATAGTAAATACTCATTAAGAGAGGACATGCAGTGAGGTCTTTGGATCAACTTCTTAAATCTCCAGAACAGTCAAAGTTAAAAATTAAAATGCAGAACCATGCAGTGATCTACCTCCACAATTTGTATCTCCATCTTTGGTTCTCCTAGAAGATAATTTTTTCTAGGTATAACGCAGGTCATTATGACCTTACAAACCTGGTGGCATCAGGTTTTGTGTTGGTTTGTGTTGACAGATACAAGTCGAGAGAGAGAGGGAGGAAGGGGATAAATTGAAAGATGTATTTCCTTTCAAACCTCCTTATATTTTTTATCCTTAATGTACTGATTAAATACCAATACCACCACAACAAAAACCTCTCTAAGTACTTAAAGGTTATAGTGAGTAAAGGTCATGGTGGGAAAAATGAAAAGTGCTAACATTTTATAAGTATTAAATATTTCAGTATATTTTGTAGCTACTGCTGTCTCCAACGTGTAGAAAAGATTCATTTTCATGTTTCTTTTGGATGACACCCCTCCACGTGAAGAATGATATCTGTGTTCTGCTGAGTCTGCTGGGCTCTGTCAGGTAAGCGCCCTATCACTTAGCTATAATTTCTTATGTGGGGCTGAGCGCGGTGGCTCACGCTTGTAATCCCAGCACTTTGGGAGGCTGAGGCGGTCGATCACGAGGTCAGGAGATCGAGACCATCCTGGCTAACACGGTGAAACCCCATCCCTACTAAAAATATAAAAAATTAGTCGGGCGCGGTGGCGGGTGCCTGTAGTCCCAGCTACTTGGGAGGCTGAGGCAGGAGAATGGCGTGAACCCGGGAGGCAGAGCTTGCAGTGAGCGGAGATCATGCCACTACACTGTAGCCTGGGTGACAGAGCGAAACTCTGTCTTGAAAAAAAAATGTGTATATTATATATATATATATATATATAAAATATACACATAGCTGGGAATGCACCCACTCATCTGTAGAAAGAAATGGTTGAATGGCCTTTGGAAAGGGAGGATGCTGCACTTCAGGGGTTGCATGAACAAAGGAGATGAGGCAGGAAGGGAAGGAAGGTGAAGGGGCTAAGGACATGGTGGACTGGAATCAATAGAAAATACAAAAGCAACGGCTGAATAAAACTACCAGGAAAAACAAGGACTACATTTAGAGTAAAGACAGATGGGGGAGGCTAGAGAGTCTAGAATGCCCCAGGTAGTTTTAGATGAAGTGTCTGGGTTTGGAGAAGCCAGGAAGCCTGAGGGTAGAGTGACGATGCCAATTCAGAGAAGACATTGCCGCTTAGAAACCAGCTGGGAAGGCAGCTGCCCAGTGATCGGAAGATGCAAGCGAGTCCTAATATTGCAGGTTCTGTTAATAGATGAGTTTTTAACATTGCGTGGTTTTGTTTTGTTTTGTTTTGAGAAGGAGTCTTGCTCTATCGCTCAGGCTGGAGTGCAGTGGCAGACCTCAGCTCACTGCAACCTCTGCTTCCTAGGTTCAAGTGATTCTCCTGCCTCAGCCTCCCAAGTAGCTGGGATTATAGGCACCTGCCACGACGCCTGGCGAATTTTTGTATTTTTAGTAGAGACAGAGTTTCACCATGTTAGCCAGGCTGGAACTCCTGACCTCAGGGAATCCGTCTGCCTCGGCCTCCCAAAGTGCTGGAATTACAGGCGTGAGCCACTGTGCCCAGCCAACATTTGTATGTTATGATGTTTCAAAGTATTCTCATAAGCATAGGTTAATTCCTCTTGAACCCTGGTGTAGAGAAAAGCTTTGATGACTCAAAATTCAGGAGCCAGAAATTAAGATTAATAAGTTGGACTACATAAAAACATAAAACTTTTGCATGACAGATGCATCATAAACAAAAGACATCTTACAAACCAGGAGAAAAGTATTTACAACACATGGCTAATATCCCTAACATACAAAATACTTTGAAAAATGTGGTTATAAAAAAAAAAGATAAAAATATGAGAAAAAGACATGAACAGACAATTCACAAAAAGACATAAAAATGGCCCTCAATCAAACATATGAAAGGTACTCAAATACATATGAAATTAAGGAAGTAGGAATTAAAATTAATTGAGATATCATTTCTCACCTATGAGACTTGGAAAAAGAAGAAAAAAGTATGACACATGGTGCTGGGGAGACTGTAGGGAAACAGGCACTCTCAGACTTGCTTGTCGGGAAGCAAGCTGGTGCAATCATTTCAGAGAGACATCTGACAATACCTAATAAAGTACACACTTAACTTTCAGCCCAACACTTCCACTTCTAGACTCCTAGAGAATTCACCTCAAACAATGCACAAATACATGTGCACAAGTTTGTATTTATTGCAGTTTTATTTGTAGTTGCAAATATTGGAAACAATATGTGGTTGAATAAATGACGGTACATCCTTCTTTTTTAAGGCTGAATAGTATTGAGCAGTGAGTAGAGTAGTAGTGGTTACCAGAGGCTGGGAGTGGGAGGGATTGGGGGGGTGCTGATAAAAAGATACAAAGTTTCAGTTAGACAGGAGGAATAAGTTTTTGAGATCTGTTGCAGAGTATGGTGATTATAGTTAATAAGAATGTAATGCATGTTTCAAAATAGATAAGAGAATAGATGTTAACTATTATACCACAATGAAAAAAGATAAGTATATGAGGTGATAGAGATGTTAATTAGCTTGATTTAATAATTTCATAATGTATACATATAACAAAATATCATATTGTACCCTGTAAATATATATAATTATCATTTGTCAATTTATAAAACCCCCCAAAACTATACCCCCCCAATACAATGAAGTAGGGTGCAGGTGTAAGAGAGAATGAATAACTCTATAAACAGATATGGAGTGATTTCCATGTCAGAGTTAACAAAGCCCAAGAGTATGTGTTATAGTATGTATGTATGTATGTATGTATGTATATGTGTATATATATATATATATACACACATATATGTATGTATATAGTATGATATAATTATATATCATAGAAGAAAGGGATATGAGAATATATATGAATCGAGTCTTTTGTGAAAAAGGAAATGTAGGAAGCAGAAACCAGGAACCAGATTGATTACCTATAGGGTATAGGTGGAAATAGGGTGGAAAGATGGGACTGCTGAGAGAAGGAAGATTCTCTGTAGTTCCGTGAGTAAATTTGTTTCTCCCAGGGGTTTGGAGGATCAATTTTGAGACTGTGTGCATGCTAGAATGGGACAAATATGTAAATATATTGGAGATAATGAAAGCCAGGTTTTTCACTGTTGAAAAAAAACGTTATAAGGAAAAGGGGAACACTAAAATAAACTGTGAAGTTTGAAATCAGAGGTATCTGTATAAACTCATGGTTTTTAATCTCTATGTACACAGATAGATCCAAAATATAGATATGTGTGTGTCCATGGGTTAGTATACATACAAATATGTCCTGCGTCTGTCCACTGAGAAGGCCTAGAAACAATGACACCCCAGTAGCAATGAGCACAGTTAGCACCCAGATCTTGGTGTCTAAATACCATCACCCAGTAAAAGAAAATAGGGCTTCTGGGAGGAGCAATTGTATCTGGGCTGGGGCAGGGAAAATACAGAATGAGTCAGGAATATTTTAGGAAACCAGAAAGCAATGGAATACTAAAAAAATAGGGGTTTATTGAGAGAACATGAAAGCTAACCTAAAGGAGTTTCTAATGACTCATACTAGAACAGTTTGATCAACAACAACAAAAATTAATGTTAGTACTGGATTAACCCATAGAATAAAATAAATACCCATGAGTCTTTACTGATATAAATAATTAAATAAATCAAATCATCAAATTTACAGTGGAAACCTGGCAGACAGCCACTTAAGCAAATGACCAAGGCCAACATCACTGGAGCCCATTGGATATAATGCAATGGGAAGGACAAATAATCATTTATGTGATATTTTTTACCCAAAATGCAGAACCTTACTCCAATCATGAGAAAACACTGGGAAAAACCCAAATTGAGGGACACTACAACATAACTGACCAGTCCTCCTCAAAAGTGCAAGGTCATGAAAGACAAGGAGAAATGGAGGAAATGTTATAGACTGGAGGGTGCTAAGAAGAAAGAACATCTAAAGGCAGCATGGGGTCCTGGGACACAGGTAGAAAATTGGTAGAAAAATTGGTAGAATTCAAATGAGGCCTGTAGATGAGTTAACAATATGGCACCCATGTTAATTTCCTATTCTTGATCATTATACCAAAGTTATACAATATGCTATCACTAGGAGTGGTGACATGAGAAATATGGGAGATTTTTTTGCACTACTTTTGCAACTTTTCTGTGTCTACAATTATTCAAAATAAAAAGTTTTTAAAAAGAATTTCATAGCTTATATCTCATTGGCTTTAAAAATTATCCTAAATAGGAATGAAAAGTCAGATAATTGCCCTCCCAACATACTGTGATCTTGATTTTAAAAACTGAAAAAAAAAAAAAAAGAATTCCATATGGAGCACAGCACAGGCCCTCATTATGTGCCTATGAACAAACAAATAAATTAGTAAATAAAGGTAGGTTCGAGAGGTGGCTCTCAGCAAAGATCCTTTTGAAAGTTTAGAGACAAGCCTAACAAATTCACTTGACCTGTGTTTATTTGGAATTTTCTAAGCACAGAGGGCAGAGTGGGACATCAGAAAGACTTAAACTCCATTGCCTTACTTAATATTGAAATTCAGTTTGTTAGATTATGATTTTCAGTAGGTATCTAAGATATTCAGAAACAGCAGGGGATTAACTTTTCTTTGATACGACAAATGTAAATTCCCATAAATGCTAACTGGAAATAATATGCAGTGCCTTGCAAGACTGCATGAACACTAGGGCCAATACGCCATGGTGATTCACCATGATCGCGTGAACACTAGGGCCAACAAGCCATGGTGATTCACAATGACTTTATGAACACTAGCGCCAATATGCCATAGTGATTCACCATGACTATATGAACACTACGGCCAATACGCCATGGTGATTCACCATGACTATATGAACACTACGGCCGATACGCCATGGTGATTCACCATGACTATATGAACACTACGGCCGATATGCCATGGTGATTCACCATGACTATATGAACACTATGGCCAATACGCTATGGTGATTCATCATGACTATATGAATACTAGCGCCAATACGCCATGGTGATTCATCTTGACTACATGAACACTATGGCCAATACGCCATGGTGATTCACCATGACTATATGAACACTACGGCCAATACGCCATGGTGATTCACCATGACTATATGAATACTACGCCCAATACGCCATGGTGATTCACCATGACTATATGAACACTATGGCCGATACGCCATGGTGATTCACCATGACTATATGAACACTACGGCCGATACGCCATGGTGATTCACCATGACTATATGAACACTACGGCCGATATGCCATGGTGATTCACCATGACTATATGAACGCTATGGCCAATATGCCATGGTGATTCACCATGACTGCGTGAACACTAGGGCCAACACGCCATGGTGATTCACCATGACTGCGTGAACACTAGGGCCAACACACCATGGTGATTCACCATGACTATATGAACACTACGGCCGATACGCCATGGTGATTCACCATGACTATATGAACACTACGGAGAATATGCCATGGTGATTCACCATGACTATATGAACACTATGGCCAATACGCTATGGTGATTCATCATGACTATATGAATACTAGCGCCAATACGCCATGGTGATTCATCTTGACTACATGAACACTATGGCCAATACGCCATGGTGATTCACCATGACTCTATGAACACTATGGCCAATACGCCATGGTGATTCACCATGACTATATGAACACTACGGCCAATACGCCATGGTGATTCACCATGACTATATGAACACAAGCGCCAATACACCATGCTGATTCACCATGACTATATGAACACTACCGCCAATACGCCATGGTGATTCACCATGACTGCGTGAACACTACGGCCAATATGCCATGGTGATTCACCATGACTATATGAACGCTATGGCCAATATACCATGGTGATTCACCATGACTGCGTGAACACTAGGGCCAACACGCCATGGTGATTCACCATGACTGCGTGAACACTAGGGCCAACACACCATGGTGATTCACCATGACTATATGAACACTACGGCCGATACGCCATGGTGATTCACCATGACTATATGAACACTACGGCGAATATGCCATGGTGATTCACCATGACTATATGAACACTATGGCCAATACGCTATGGTGATTCATCATGATTATATGAATACTAGCGCCAATACACCATGGTGATTCATCTTGACTACATGAACACTATGGCCAATACGCCATGGTGATTCACCATGACTATATGAACACTACGGCCAATATGCCATGGTGATTCACCATGACTATATGAACACTACGCCCAATACGCCATGGTGATTCACCATGACTATATGAACACTATGGCCGATACGCCATGGTGATTCACCATGACTATATGAACACTACGGCCGATACGCCATGGTGATTCACCATGACTATATGAACACTACGGCTGATACGCCATGGTGATTCACCATGACTATATGAACACTACGGCCGATACGCCATGGTGATTCACCATGACTATATGAACACTACGGCTGATACGCCATGGTGATTCACCATGACTATATGAACACTACAGCCGATACGCCATGGTGATTCACATGACTATATGAACACTAGGGCCAATACGCCATGGTGATTCACCATGACTGCGTGAACACTAGGGCCAATATGCCATGGTGATTCACCATGACTATATGAACACTAGCGCCAATATGCCATGCTGATTCACCATGACTATATGAACACTATGGCTAATACGCCATGGTGATTCACCATGACTGCGTGAACGCTACGGCCAATATGCCACAGTGATTCACCATGACTATATGAACACTACGGCCAATATGCCATGGTGATTCACCATGACTATATGAATACTAGCGCCAATATGCCATGGTGATTCACCATGACTCTATGAACACTATGGCCAATACGCCATGGTGATTCACCATGACTATATGAACACTATGGCCAATATGCCATGGTGATTCACCATGACTATATGAACACTAGCGCCAATACACCATGCTGATTCACCATGACTATATGAACACTACCGCCAATACGCCATGGTGATTCACCATGACTGCGTGAACACTACGGCCAATATGCCATGGTGATTCACCATGACTATATGAACACTATGGCCAATATGCCATGGTGATTCACCATGACTGCGTGAACACTAGGGCCAACACGCCATGGTGATTCACCATGACTGCGTGAACACTAGGGCCAACACGCCATGGTGATTCACCATGACTATATGAACACTACGGCCAATATGCCATGGTGATTCACCATGACTATATGAATACTAGCGCCAATATGCCATGGTGATTCACCATGACTATATGAATACTACGGCCAATACGCCATGGTGATTCACCATGACTATATGAACACTACGGCCAATACGCCATGGTGATTCACCATGACTATATGAATACTAGCGCCAATACGCCATGGTGATTCACCATGACTATATGAACACTACGGCCAATACGCCATGGTGATTCACCATGACTATATGAATACTAGCGCCAATACGCCATGGTGATTCACCATGACTATATGAACACTACGGCCAATACGCCATGGTGATTCACCATGACTATATGAATACTAGCGCCAATACGCCATGGTGATTCACCATGACTATATGAACACTACGGCCAATACGCCATGGTGATTCACCATGACTATATGAATACTAGCGCCAATACGCCATGGTGATTCACCATGACTATATGAACACTACGGCCAATACGCCATGGTGATTCACCATGACTATATGAATACTAGCGCCAATACGCCATGGTGATTCACCATGACTATATGAACACTACGGCCAATACGCCATGGTGATTCACCATGACTATATGAATACTAGCGCCAATACGCCATGGTGATTCACCATGACTATATGAACACTACGGCCAATACGCCATGGTGATTCACCATGACTATATGAATACTAGCGCCAATATGCCATGGTGATTCACCATGACTATATGAATACTAGCGCCAATATGCCATGGTGATTCACCATGACTATATGAATACTACGGCCAATACGCCATGGTGATTCACCATGACTATATGAATACTAGCGCCAATACGCCATGGTGATTCACCATGACTATATGAACACTACGGCCAATACGCCATGGTGATTCACCATGACTATATGAATACTAGCGCCAATACGCCATGGTGATTCACCATGACTATAGGAACACTACGGCCAATACGCCATGGTGATTCACCATGACTATATGAATACTAGCGCCAATATGCCATGGTGATTCACCATGACTATATGAATACTACGGCCAATACGCCATGGTGATTCACCATGAGTATATGAACACTACGGCCAATATGCCATGGTGATTCACCATGACTATATGAACACTACGGCCGATACGCCATGGTGATTCACCATGACTATATGAACACTAGCGCCAATATGCCATGGTGATTCACCATGACTATATGAACACTACGGCCAATATGCCATGGTGATTCATCATGACTGCATGAACACTAGGGCCAATACGCCATGGTGATTCACCATGACTATATGAACACTACGGCCAATACGCCATGGTGATTCACCATGACTATATGAACACTACGGCCAATACGCCATGGTGATTCACCATGACTGCGTGAACACTACGGCCAATACGCCATGGTGATTCACCATGACTGCGTGAACACTACGGCCAATACGCCATCGTGATTCACCATGACTATATGAACACTACGGCCAATATGCCATGGTGATTCACCATCACTGCATGAACACTAGGGCCAATATGCGATGGTGATTCACTAATTCCACTTTTATTACCTGGCTCACCTGTGCTCAAGGAGTCCTTTACTTCTTCCATAAGCTAAGATGCATTTCCCTTCCCTCACCACCAACACGTTACAGGAGTTTCCATAGATCCACACCAGGAATCAAAAGTTTGCATCCTAGTCCCAACCTTATGACGTGTGGATCACACGGCCTTCAGCAACTCTCTGCGTCTTATTTTCTCCTATGGGGACAATAGCTACCCTCGTCCTACAGAATGGTCATGAAAATCAAGAGAAACAATGGCTATTAATTTATAAACTCTACCATAGTCCAAAGAGGTAATTGTTTTCTTTTTGCTAGCTAGTGACTCTCTCAACCTCTCAATCTTTCTCAGTCTCTATAAGTTAAACAAGTGACTCCAAGATGCCAGAAGTGAGTCGTGGCAATCTGTCTTCAAAAACACCAGGATGTTCCTCGTGGGGAGGAAGTTGTGAAGTGGTGGAGATAATTCCAAGAAGGTGTAAATTTAATTCTGAACTCTGCCACTAGAAGCAAAGGGCTTGAGGCAATAGAGTAACTGGATCCAAGTTTGTTTCCTGTGTATAAAATGAAAATAATCATGTTTGCCTCGTAGGGTTGGACGCAATAATCTATTGTATGTGAAAATAGATAGCACAGAGCTTCCTAGCAGATATTCCATAAATGCTGGTTTATTCATTGATAAACTGGTAAATAATTTGACCATGCAATATAATACACACAACGTATATATGTGAATGTGTAGATGTATATGTGTGTTCCCTTAACCCTTCACTTAATTAGGAAGGATCAATGGTTGAATATTGATAAAATGTTATTACAACAACTATCTATATGTAATTTCTTTTAAAGGCCCAGTAATATGTCAGATATTGGGACAAGTTTACTCTATGGAACTCTGTAGCAAAAACAAATGGGCTCAATCCCTGTGTCAGGTGGGAAACTGGGTTTAGGGTCTCAATCCTCAATCATATTCTCCACATCTGTTCCTATGAAAGGAACCTATATTTTTGCATTGGAATTTGATTTCTTGCAGGGTATCAGATTCTTTTCCTTTCAAGTTAAAAGAGGATTTGAGAGTGACTTTTCCAACTTCTTCTCCACTGTGGGAATTCCCTTTTGGATGAGCCACTTGGTGGTCATTCATCCTCTGCTCCAATCCCCTACTGAATGGCTTTCCTCACACAACTCCTTCTCTGCCCAGACTAGCGAATGCCCAACTTGGTTTTATGCCGAATCTACCTCCTCCACATCAACACCTTGACCTTTGAGAATGACCTTTGGGAATGACAAATGCAATGTCTCCAACCTCAGCTGACCACTAACCATTCCCATCATCACAACCACCCAGAGTGTGAGACACGTCTGTCCTCAATGCCAATTCCAATCTTTCCTGCTCTCCTTACATCTCTCTTGTACCTACTGCCCCCTTACTCTAAAGGGACAAGGAGGTGTGGGGCAGACAGAGGAGCACTGAAGGCTCTCCCTCCCACACCCACTCCCTCTCCCTTTTGCCTACAGGGCTTCCCTCTCCATCAGCCTCACTCTCAGCCTTTGCCTCTGGGAGGCTCCAGCTTGGCCCAGGGTCCCTGCTTCCCTGCAGAAGGCTTCCTCCCGGACACACTGAAGTACCTGGTGCTCCTCCCTCCTCTCAGTCTCCAATGACCAGGCATCCCCTTTCCGTCTCGGCCAGCACTTCCTCCTGTACCTCCTTTTTTGTTCCATCCTAGAACTATCAAATACTTTCCATTTACCTTCCTGGTAAACTTTTCTTATTTATTACTATTTTTAATTAATAAGCTTTATATTTTTAGAGCAGTTTCATGTTTAGAGAAAAACTGAACAGAACTACAGAGAGTTCCCATATCCTCCTTCTTCCCCTGCCCTCAGTTTTCCAAATTACAAACATCTTGCATTAGTGTGGTGCATGTGGTATAATTGATAAACCAATATTGAAACATTATTAACTAAGTCCCACAGCTGACATTAGGGTTCACCCTTTGCCTGTGTGTTCTGTGAGTTGTGACAAATCCATCCGTCTTGCACCTGCCATTGCAGGATCATACAGACGTCTTTTGGGTCTCCAAACCTCTGTGTGCTC
The DNA here is from genome assembly GCF_000001405.40 of Homo sapiens. Taxonomy (NCBI): domain Eukaryota; kingdom Metazoa; phylum Chordata; class Mammalia; order Primates; family Hominidae; genus Homo; species Homo sapiens. The sequence continues at coordinate 154,658,051 of NC_000007.14, read as the reverse complement.
GGCCGATTCATCCTTCCCACCCCACCAAACCCTGGCAAGCACAGATCTGCTTAAGGCCCCCATAAGTCTGCCTTTTCCTGAATGTCACATAGTTGGAATCATACAAAGTGTAGCCTTTCAGGTTGGCGTCTTTCACTGAGGAATGTGCGCTTTTGGCTCCAAGTTTTTCCATGGAGGAGAGACTTTTATGCTGCCTCAGCCTCTCGGATTTTGCTCCACCAGTCTCTTTCCTTTCCCTAAGGCTGTTCTCCCAAAGGAAATGCAGACAACTAGGACCTCCTCCTACACAGTTTCTCCACCCATCTCTGGGCACCTCCTCCCACGTAGCCTCTCCACCCACCTATGAGCACCTCCTCCCACGCAGCCTCTCCACCCACCCATGAGCACCTCCTCCCACGCAGCCTCTCCACCCACCCATGAGCACCTCCTCCCACGCAGCCTCTCCACCCACCCATGAGCACCTCCTCCCACGCAGCCTCTCCACCCACCCATGAGCACCTCCTCCCACGCAGCCTCTCCACCCACCCATGAGCACCTCCTCCCACGCAGCCTCTCCACCCACTCGAGCATCTCCTCCCACGCAGCCTCTCCACCCACCCATGAGCACCTCCTCCCACGCAGCCTCTCCACCCACCCATGAGCACCTCCTCCAACGCAGCCTCTCCACCCACTCGAGCATCTCCTCCCACGCAGCCTCTCCACCCACCCATGAGCACCTCCTCCCACGCAGCCTCTCCACCCACCCATGAGCACCTCCTCCCACGCAGCCTCTCCACCCACTCGAGCATCTCCTCCCACGCAGCCTCTCCACCCACCCATGAGCACCTCCTCCCACGCAGCCTCTCCACCCACCCATGAGCACCTCCTCCCACGCAGCCTCTCCACCCACTCGAGCATCTCCTCCCACGCAGCCTCTCCACCCACCCATGAGCACCTCCTCCCACGCAGCCTCTCCACCCACCCATGAGCACCTCCTCCCACGCAGCCTCTCCACCCACCCATGAGCACCTCCTCCCACGCAGCCTCTCCACTCATCTCTGGGCACCTCCTCCCACGCAGCCTCTCCACCCATCTCTGGGCACCTCCTCCCACACAGCCTCTCCACCCACCCATGAGCACCTCCTCCCACGCATCCTCTCCACCCACCCATGAGCACCTCCTCCCACGCAGCTTCTCCACCCATCACTGGGCACCTCCTCCCACACAGCCTCTCCACCCGTCTGTGGGCACCTCCTCCCACGCAGCCTCTCCACCCACACATGAGTACCTCCTCCCACGCAGCCTCTCACCCATCTCTGGGCACCTCCTCCCACGCAGCCTCTCCACCCACCCATGAGCACCTCCTCCCCACGCAGCCTCTAACCCATCATCAGCCCAACGCCTACCGGTCTTGGTCCAATCCAGTGAGTGGTCCAAATCTGAGGGCCACTTTCTGACCTTCTCTCCTGTCCCTAACCCACTGCAATATGGCTTCCATCCATTTTTAAAGCTGAAATTGCTTCTCTGAAGATCTTCTGTGTCCATCGAGGTGCCAAAGTCCGTGGCCTCCCCGTGCTGGGCCTGGGTGGTCTCTCCCTGCACATGCTGCGGCTGCTGCTTCTCTGTCTTGATGTTCAGGACTGCCCCTTCTCCCAGCTCTCCCCCGACCTCCCTCTCGACTGCCCCTTCTCCCAGCTCTCCCCCCACCTCCCTCTCGACTGCCCCTTCTCCCAGCTCTCCCCCGACCTCCCTCTCGACTGCCCCTTCTCCCAGCTCTCCCCCGACCTCCCTCTCGACTGCCCCTTCTCCCAGCTCTCCCCCCACCTCCCTCTCGACTGCCCCTTCTCCCAGCTCTCCCCCCACCTCCCTCTCGACTGCCCCTTCTCCCAGCTCTCCCCCCACCTCCCTCTCTGGTCCTCGTCTCTGTGGGATCTTCTCTGCCCACCCTTTAAAATCCAGTGTCCTGGGCGTGACCGCAGCCCCGCTCCTCTCCTCCACACCCTTCTCTGTCACTGTCATTTCAACTGTGTCCACATCTCTGGCCTTCAGAACTGGGAGGGGCAATTTCTGTTGTTTTAAGCCACGCAGTTTGTGGCGATTTCTCACCGCAGCCCTAGGAAGCGAATGTCCCTTCATTTCCCAGTTCCACCAAGGCCCAAAGCGACTTGCTCAGGGCCAGGTAGCTGACCAGTGTCTGCGTGAAGATTTAGTCAAAGCCTGAAGGGACAAAGTGGAGACCCTCAGAGAGCAAGGCAGAGGCAAACCCTGGGGGAGATGACCCCTGCCCTGCCCACCCCCTGGGCTTCTGGCCTGAGCCGGCTTCCTGCGGGAGAAGTCCCTGGCCCCACCTTGCACATTTAGGCCACGGCAGCACACTTGGCTTAAGCCCCAATTCCTCGCATCAAATGATTTTCCAGCATGTCCCGGATTCTGCTGAAATTCTTAGAGGTGTGTGTGTGACAGAGAGGAAGACAGGCAGAGAGAAAGAGAATGCAGGAAGGTGTACAGTGATTTACTTTGGGGCTATGTAGTGGCCCTCCTTCACTTTTCTTTCTTTCTTCTTATTTATTCCTTTATTTTAAAGCAGCCCTGGCAGCTGTGTGATGAATCATCTCCTGGGTAGAGATGGATTAGTTAAAAAAAAATGATGAAGGAAGAATAAAGTGATCTGGACTTAACTATATTTCAAAATAATCACACAATCCATTCTGATTTTGCTTATTTGAGCAATAAACAAAACAGGGCATAAATCATGCTGAAATTTGAAGAGTAAATTAGTGCAGCGAAGTTTACTCATTTATCTTCCTAAGTGATTTTGAGGGACTGAAAAGCTTTATAACAGCAACAGCATTTGGGAGTGAGGGGGCAAACCTAACAATTGCTTTCCTGGATCCTAACGTTTTATCACCAAAGGCACCAAAAAATAGCATTCTCAGTGTCTAATCATATGTGTTTTCTGAGTCTTCCTATGTACTTAGCATGGAAGGTAATATAAAAATGTGTGATACACTCCCAGTTCTAAAAGAGAACCTGACACATGGTAGATGCTCAATAAATATTAATTGAATAATTAATTAGTGGATGGGTGGATTAATAAGTGGGTCTAGTCTAATCTCCAGTCACTGAGTGGCTAGGGTCAGTAATACCTTAAACTCATGTAGCATTTAAATATTCATATATATTCATTTTTTGTGTATATCTAAATGACACAGTTAAATTTTTGAGGGCAGGAATCCTCATGGGCATAAATGCTTCCTCAGGGGCCAATATTTGAGCACATATTCCATTAGTAATTTTAAAATTTTCCCAGACACTCTATGGTGTATCAGAAGTTCCTTTCCTTATGAAACACTTGGGCCGGGCACGGTGGCTCACGCTTGTAATCCCAGCACTTTGGGACGCCAAGGCAGGAGGATCAGAGAAGGTCAGGAGTTGAGACCAGCCTGACCAACATGGTGGAACCCTGTCTCTACTAAAAATAAAAAAATTAGCTGGGTGTGGTGGCATGCGCCTGTAATCCCAGCTACTCAGGAGGCTGAGGCAGGAGAATCGCCTGAACCTGGGAGGCAGAGGTTGCAGTGAGCCGAGATCACGTCACTGCACTCCAGCCTGGGCAATAGGGCGAGACGCTGTATCAAAAAAAGAAAGAAAGAAAGAAAGAAAGAAAGATTTGGATATAGATGTTTTCAGGCAGAGATGCTCCACTCACTAAAGATGGATCGGGGTGGCCTGTTCTAAAATATTAGTGACAGATGTGACAGATTCCCTCTCTAATTCAGAGAGATGCTTTTAACATATATGATCACAAATATGAGCACAGTCATCCTTGGTATCCATGGAAGATTGGTTCCGGGACACCCCTGCAGATACCAAAATCCACAGATGCTCAAGTCCTTGATATAAAATGTGTGGTATTTGCATATAATGTAAGCACATCCTCCCGTATCCTTTAAGCCACCTCTAGACTACTTATAATCCCTAATTCAATGTAATTGCTAATGTAAACAGCTGTGATACTGTATCATTTAGGGAATAATGACAAGGAAGAAAGTCTGTACAAATTCAGTACAGATGCAACCATCCTTTTTTTTTTTTTTCCAGGTATTTGACCTGAGGGAGGTTGCTTGAATCTCCAGATACAGAACCCATGGATATGGAGGGCTGACCGTAGTAAACACAGTCACACGGAAATGGAATCTTTGTAATTAAAGGGAGCTTGTGTCTTCTCTGTCACTGTAAACCTAATATCAAGATCAGTGCTCAACAAACTCTGTGAAATGAAGACATGACGGGGAAGCAGAAATGAGTTTGGGGGGTTCAGTAAATGCTAAAGCATAATTTGGAGGTGGGGGTGGAATGTTCTAAAATGGAATGAGATGATGCTTGTGCCACTCTGTGAAGAAACTAAAAAACAGGTTTGTTTTCTATCTATCAATCATCTCTCAACCAATCAGTCTATCATCTATCAATCAATCAGTCTATTATCTATCACCTATCCATTAATGGATTGATTTATTATCTATCTATATCTATCTATCATTTATCTATCTACCTATTTATCTATTATCTATCTATCTATCATCCATGGATTGATCTATCTAGCTATATGTCTATCTGTCATCTATCCATCTACCTATCAATCATCTATCCATCATCTATCTATCATTTATCTATCATCTATCTATCATTTATCAATCAATCTGTCAATCTATCTATCTATGTTTAGAGACAAGGTCTCATGCTGTCGCTGGAGTAGATTGGCACAATCATAGCTCTCTGCAGCTTCAACCTCCTGGTCTCAAGCCATCCTCCTACCTTGGTCTCCCGAGCTGTTGGGGCGTTAGGCATGTGCCACCATGCCCAGCTCTGTTTACCTTCTTAAAGCTTTTACCTTACATCATATGTGTTAAAAACAAGTTTTTGGTCACCTCAAGGGCTTTTTCCTCCTGCCTTTCAGTAAAATCCCATTACAGAACAAAAAATGTTGCCAAGAGGAAATCTTATTTCTTTTTGGCCTGTGGCAAGAGCCATGAGACCCCAGCCTGGGAGACAGGGGAACACTGTAGTTTATGAAGGACAAAGAGAAGTTCCTTAAAGAATGAATGGACGTGAACGGAGCCAGTTCAGACAGGTGCTCCCTCCTCTCTTCCCACTCAGAGCGTTCTTTCCTCTCAGCCTCTTTCCCATGTTTTTTACTTTCTGAAGCCGTTCGCTGGTATCAGCTCCGACTCAGGGAGTTTGCCCATATTGGCCTTGAGAACAAATTGCTCAAACACTCAGCTCAAGATGTAGTTTCAGTAAACATAAGAGGTGTGAAAAACATGCAGAAGACTGAGAATCTAGTGGCGTCTGGGTCTCAATGAGCTGCACTCTGACGCCTCAGGCTCTCACAGTGCTCAGAACGAACAGCAGGGACGCAGCAGGGACATGGTGCACATGTAGCAGCTTCATGCAGCCTGAGGACCTGACAACATACATGTGCATGTTCTAGCATGTTCAACACACACACAGGGAGGTGTGCTTGTGGGCTCTGTCACTGTGGTCCCTGATAAACGCTCCCTTCTCCCAGAGAGCTGCATCTATTATCCAAGGACACTAATGAGGCTCTCCATGGGATTATTTTAAACCAATCTAAGTGTGTATATTGATCACAAAAAAAAAAAAAAACCACAGACTTAGTGATAATGAATTAGACTAAAGAAAAATACAGAGAAGCCATTCAACACTAAATCTCCAACAGCTCAGGTAGGGGAAAAAAAGTAATAAATTAGAAAGCACAAAAGAATGTACAGTATAGGAAAAAAAAAACGCCTTTGGAGCAAAAGTGATTTTGATGCTATGGCTAATGAGCAGAGCAGGGTGCAGGCGAGGATGTGTTCCAGTGGCTCTGCCTTGCCCCAGTATCCTGGTGCCGGGCATAATTACCAGCTGATGTGTTGGGAGCCTGCGGAGGAGCCCCCTATTTCACTGTAAGATCCTACTGCTAATTCTCAGGACAGTATCCTGATCATGCCATCTCCTCTTCCACGCACTACAGAGCTCAACCTTTTCTGTCCTTCCTTTAAATTCTTAAGGGATACCTGAGACCTTTCATGTTGATCTTATCTAATTTGGGGGCTTATGATTAGAAAAAGGCCTGAAATCATCGTGTTATTCAGAGTGGGGCTTTGTGTGAGGATGCCCTGGGAAAAGGTTTCCAATTCTTGGAGAAAACCGCCCAGCATCCTGGGGCTGTGGGGGCACAGACCGCAGCTGGAGGAAGCCCCAAGGGGTGATGTTGGCCCAGGATTTCCTTTGTGACTTTCAGTTTAGCCATCTCATCCTTTCCCTTTCGGCTGCCCATCTGTAAATTGGGACGGCGGAAACCAGAGTCGTGCTGAGAATGAGTAATGTTGCCGAAGCAATTTGGAGACAGTCCTTCGAGACTATTTTAGAACCAGCAGCCGATCCTCAGCCATGCTAATTTGGGCAAAATACCTGACACAATTAGGGCCCCGCGGCACTGCAAAGGATTCTTCTGACTCATTTGGCCCTAGCTCCGGCATGGTGCTCGTATCATTAACAGCTAACTGCTTGGGGTTTTGTTTAGCCCACGGAAGGGGAGATCTCATCGAGGTAGGGTGCAGACGAACTGGGGAGTGAACTGCAACTAGGAAAAAAGGGGAATAGGTTTTTCACAGGCTGCAGATATAGTTGATTTAAAACTATACTTATGTAACCCCAGGACATCACATTGTACAATTCTTATGTAGTCTAATAGGAGCACAAAGGTAATTTACTCATTCTCTAATGAATGTGGTTTCTGTAACTATATAGGAAATTCCTTGACAATCAGAATGGTTTCCTTCCCCTCTGACCCCTCAAATCCACAGTACCTAGTGCAGTGCTATTACCTAGTGCAGTGCTAGTACCTAGTGCAGTGCTAGTATCTAGTGCAGTACTAGTACCTAGTGCTATACTGGAAGCTAGTGCAGTACTGGTACCTATGAAGTCGTGAGTGCATACATTAACACTGCCTGAGAGCTCCTCTTAGCATTTCAAAAAACCAATAGAAATGTACCTTCGGGCAATGGTGTGGTGAATCAGTTAGGATGTACACAGAGATGTAAGAAATTGACCTTTACATTAGAAATTGGGACCTTGGTTGTCTAAATTTTCTGTGCTAATGAAAAGGTTAATTGTAGACAGTTCTCATCCTTCCAACCTCCCTCTACTAGGTAGGACGGCCTTCATCCATCCAGTTGGATGTAGAGAAGACAGCTGCTACAGGCCAGGTTTGAATTAATTTCTAGTCTGGACAAGCAGAAACACGAATTTTATCTGGTTTCTTTTTAACCCGAGTGCTGTGGCCACAGTGGCAGGCTGCATGTCAGCACTGCCCTTGGGTGTCTGACATCCTGGTAACGCTGTGCTGTGACTGAGCTGAGGGTCCTGGGAAGCCAGACAGCTCGACTCAATCAACAACTGTGTCTTCTCCTCTGAGTGCTGTGCTGTTGGGTTTGCCAGCCCTCACTTTGGAATTAAGGCCTTCTCATTAAGGAAACACCATGGCTTATCTTCTTTTACAGGACCCCAATGTCGGAAGTTAGGCCACGTCACCAGGATGTCCAAGTGCAGATGGCTCTGTGCTCTTTTTTTAAGCCTTTAAGCAACAGACAGACCCAGCCCAGAGCCAGGCTACTGGGATATGCATAGTCCCCTCCCCTCCCCTCCTCTGCCCTCCTCTCCACTCCTTTCCTCTCCTCTCCTCTCTTCTTGCTTGCTTTGTTGTCCAGGCTGGAGTGCAATGGTGCAATCAGAGCTCACTGCAACTTTGACCTCCTGGGCTCATGCGATTCTCCCACTTCAGCATCCCAAGTTTCTGGGATCACAGGCACGTGCCACCATATCCGACTAATTTTTTAATTGTATTTTTGTAGAGATGGGTGTCTTGCTATGTTGCCCAGGCTGGTCTCAAACTCCTGGGCTCAAGAGATCCTCCCACGTTGACCTCCCCAAATGCTGGGATTATAGGCATGAATCACTGCGCAGGCCCACAGTTTTGAATCTGTTTTATTTCTTTTGCTCTTCCTTAGGAGGACTACCAAGAGGGGCAGTTATTGAAAAACCTTCCTCTCTCCAAAATCTGGTCAAGGAGTGAGGACTTCATGGAGCAAGCAGGAACCAGGCTTTCTCAACCACTCCTGAGGTGAGTGCCCAGGGCCACGTGGAATCCGCTCCATGGGGAGTGTCTGTCTTGCCTCCTGCCTCTTATTTCCTATTTGTCTTCGCGGCTGATATGTCATTTAGAAAGTTCCACAGAGAGATCATTTGGAGAGATGAGAGATGGCACAGTCAGGCTGCTGCTCCTGCAGGCCGGACACCATCCCCCATGAGGCCCCAGGTGCCAGGTAGAGAAAGGCAGGTGCAGGCTGGCATTGAGGGCACAGATCTATGTGCAGTGAGCACAGATGCTTCTCCCCACAGCTGCAGGTGGAACCACCCCCAGGGCATGGTGGATTCCACCTGCCATACACAGTGACCGGGCGGAGGGCAGGGGGTCAAAAAAGTCAGTCCTGGGGTAGTGAGTTAAGAAAAAGGCAGAGTTCTTAATGGTGCAGCCACTTTGGAAGACAGTTGGGCACTTTAGAATCTAGTTAAAGGTGCATTTACTTATGATCTGGGAATTCTACATCTAGGTATTCACCCAAGAGAAAGGAAAACACGTTGGATGAAAATCTGTGTGCAAATGTGCACAGCACTTTTATTCATACTAGCCCCGAATTAGAAACACTCAAATATCAATGAAATGTTGAATGAAGAAACAAATTATGATATCCATGCAACAGACCACTCCTCAGCAGTGAAAAACAAATGAATGCAGACACCTGTCACAACACGGGTGAATCTCAAAAGCAATTATGCTAAGGAAGCCAGCTGCAGAAGGTAACACACTGTACAACCCCCTCAACATGACATTCCAGAAAAGGCAAAAGGCAAAAGTGTGGGATAGATGGCATGGCAGCGCTCGCCTGGGTGGAGGGGTATGGAGGATGCTCTGGGCAGGTGGGACTGCCCTGAGTCTTGCTTGTGGGGAGCTTATGTCATTCATTGCACCTATTTGTCAAACCTTACTAAACGATGCCTTTAAAAAGTGTATTTTTTTTTTTTTTTTTAAGATGGAGTCTCGCTCTGTTGCCAGGCTGGAGTGCAGTGGCATGATCTTGGCTCACTGCAACCTCTGCCTCCTGGGTTCAAATGATTCTCCTGCCTCAGCCTCCCTAGTGGCCGGGACTATAGGTGCACCCAAACCACACCCAGCTAATTTTTGTATTTTTAGTAGAGATGGGGTTTCACCATGTTGGCCAGGATGGTCTTGATCTCTTGACCTTGTGATCCACCCACCTTGGCCTCCGAAAGTGCTGGGATTACAGATGTGAGCCACCACGCCCGGCCGAAAGCGTGATTTTTATTAGAAGTAAATTGTACCACAATAAACTTGAAATCACATACGTACAGTTGGTGTTGGTGTATGCTCTTCCCACCACTATCCAGACAGACTGACCTGCTCCCTCTCCTTGAGTGATGCCCTTTCCTGGCTGAGGCTGCCCTAGATGTTTGATTTAGGCCAATGTCCCCAGCGCAGACACAGTGGGGTATTTGTGTCCAACCCTCTGCAGGAGCACAGGGGAGAGAGGAGGTGACGTAGAAACAAAACAAAATAAACTAGACAGCAAGGGACAGGTGGGGCCTTTCCCTATCCATCCCCAGTGCTTCGCATCAGGCCTGGCACTTGCGAGGGGCTCAGTGATTTTTTTTTTTTTTTAGACAGAGTTTTGCTCTTGTTGCCCAGGCTAGAGTGCAATGGCACAATCTCGGCTCACTGTAACCTCTGCCTCGCAGGTTCAAGGGTTCAAACGATTCTCCTGTCTCTGCCTCCCAGGTAGCTGGGATTACAGGCACCCACCACCATGCCCGGCTAATTTTTTTTTTTTTTTTAATTTTAATAGAGACGGGGTTTCACCATGTTGGTCAGGCTGGTCTCGAACTCCTGACCTCAGGTGATCTGCCCGCCTCGGTCCCCCAAAGTGCTGGGATTACACGCGTGAGCCACTGTGCCCGGCCAGGCTCAGTGATTGTGTGGAAGAAGGAACACACAGCACAGCACACACATGAACCAGGCTTGGCCACCCAGGGAGACACCCATGGGCCTTTCTCTTTAACATCTGTAAACAGGAAGAGTGCCACCCTCCAGGATGTCAACAGCTCTCTCCCAGGAGATTAATGGCTGGTTCAACACGCGTGCTGATTCACCAGCACAAGAAAGTGATCAACAGCCAAAATTAAAACATAAATAAATAAACAGAACACCTTCCATCTTAGATGCAGTGACCTGTAACATCTGGCGTGTCTGTCTGAAGCACAGATTCCCCGCAATGCAAACATGCGCGGTTAAGGTGAAGACCGGAGCTCACCAGAGGGAGCCCAGGGCACATGTGAGGTTGGCCAGGCTCAGGAACAATCACAACCAACGTCTGGTGCCCCTTGATGTGGACAGACCCCGGAAGAGCCGGCTCTGCTTCATCTCCATGCTGCAGACTTTGATACTATAACCCCTTTACTGAATATCATTAAGTAAATCCCCAAGAACATGGTTAATCTGAGATCTACCCTTATTTCTCCAAGTTTCTTGAGTGGACAAGGAAATTAATGCCTGAGAGGAAACTTTACTGGCATATTCAGACAGAAGTGTTATTTCTCAGCTTCCACGGCAATCCTGGGTGTCACTTGTCAAGGGCAGCAAGTAAAGGGGCGAGCAGGCCAGATGACCCCAGCTGGACACCAAAATCACCCAGGTAGCCTTCAAAGCCATCCTGAGGTTCCCTCTTCAGAGGCTCTTATTTAACCCATTTGTGGTGGGGCCCCAGCACACACATTCTTGCTCCTCAGCATGGCTTAGTTCCTTAATTCATTTCCTCCAGTGATTAACCAACATTTATGGGGTCCCCCAGTATCAGGAACCAGGGACATGGGTGTAGAGTTTAAGATGAACAAGGAGCCTGACCAAATGAGGACTCCTGGGCATTTTCACCTCATTTTCAAAGAGACTTGTTTGTTTGAAAATCTTTTAGACTTTCTAAGAAAGTCCCTGAGGGAACTAAATGATTCCACTGAAAAGAGTAGCTGCAATGACTCCCTTTGCAGGTGGCCGATGACATTCCAGTCACTGACTACCTTCAGCTTGTTATCTGAGACCTGCACCTGGAAAGAGCATAAGACCTGTTGGTGCAGCCTCTTTCGCCACTTTTGCAATTCAAAGTCACAGTGTCACCCTGTGCAACAGCTACTGGTATTACAGGCAGAGTCCACACCCTTCCCACCCAACCCCTCTCTCTGACAACTTAGAATGACGGAGAGAAAGAAGTCAAGCAATACATGGATATGGAAAGCATTCCTAAATATCCCCTTTAGAAAAATTCTATCTACAACAATGGAAGTAGCCATCTAACAAAACGATAAATTCTAGCGTGAAATAAGAAGCAGTATTGACTCTCAGCATTCAGGTTTTTTTTAGAGAAGGAGGTTTTGACGCTGTGGCTTGAAGGGTCAGAAGGATTTGAGTATGAGAGGCACAATGACCAGGACATTTCTGTAGTGCGCATGTGTGGGAGGGGGCTCGTGTGGTGGGGAGGAGAATGAAGTCAATAGAGGTGTGGATAACCAGAAACACATTCCGGGTTTGGGAGCAATGACTGGACACATTGCGTGATGTGATTCATTCTTACACAGCCGGATGGGAGAATAGAAACCTCAGAGGCAAAACTCACTGATTGTGGCATTCTTTCCTAAAGAGCCTGGGCATGGTTTTAGTCTATTTTTAAATGTAGAGCTCCAGGAAGTCATTGTCAATTGGTCAGAGTTAACAGTGAGTATGAGATTTATTTTCTGTCCCAAATTTAGGGAAATTTGATGAAGGGTGGCTAATTAGATTTGGCCATATTATGGAAGGTCTTGGTGTCCACCATGAATAGAGCCCTCAGTATTTTCTTTTTTTTTTTTTTTTTTGAGACGGAGTCTCACTCTGCCGCCCGAGCTGGAGTGCAGTGGCACAGTCTCGGCTCACTGCAAGCTCCACCTCCCGGGTTCACGCCATTCTCCTGCCTCAGCCTCCCAAGTAGCTGGGACTACAGGTGCCCACCACCATGCCTGGCTAATTTTTTGTATTTTTAGTAGAGACAGGGTTTCACCGTGTTAGCCAGGCTGGTCTTGATCTCCTGACTTTGTGATCCACCCGCCTTGGCATCCCAAAGTGCTGGGATTACAGGCGTGAACCACCGCGCCTGGCAACCCTCAGTATTTTCTATGAACCAAAGCAGGCCCTTAAAGACATCACCTCATCATACAGTGTTTCACAGAAACTTCACCATAAACCCCATGCATTAGGCAACTAATATATGGATGGAGTAAGTGTGCCCAGAGGAGCAAAGGAACTGTTTCATGACTACACAAGTAGAAACGAAGACTGGGGATTTACGCCCAGATCTCCTTGACTCTAAAGTCCACATTTTTTGGTGATGGTTACTAGAAGTCTGGATTTCAGCAGGAGGGAGGGATAGAAGGAGGACAGGAGGGGAAGGGAGAAGGGGAGGGAGAAATGGCTGAGACCAAGTCTTACAGGCAGATGTATGAGTTGTTCACAGTTCTGAAAATCCATAAAACCAAGTAACAGGCCGGGCGCAGTGGCTCACGCCTGTAATCCCAGCACTTTGGGAGGCCGAGGCGGGCGGGTCACGAGGTCAGGAGATCGAGACCATCCTGGCTAACACGGTGAAACCCCGTCTCTACTAAAAATACAAAAAATTAGCCGGGCGTGGTGGTGGGCGCCTGTAGTCCCAGCTACTACTCCGGAGGCTGAGGCAGAAGAATGGTGTGAACCTGGGAGGCGGAGCTTGCAGTGAGCAGAGATCACACCACTGCACTCCAGCCTGGGCGACAGAGCAATACTTCCTCTCAAAAAAAAAAAAAAAAAAACCAACAAATAAACAAAACAAAAAAAGCAAGTAACAGTGGAATTCTCCCCTCTTCAATGCCATGGTACAGACACATAAAATGCCATTTTATTGGGAGGCCAAGGCGGGTGGATTGCCTGAGCTCAGGAGTTCGAGACTACCCTGAGCAAGACAGTGAAACGTCGTATCTACTAAAATGCAAAAGAAATTAGCCAGGCATGGCGGTGTGCACCTGCAGTCACACCTACTCAGGAGGCTGCGGTAGAAGAATTGCTTGAACCTGGGAGGTGGAGGGTGAAGTGAGCCGAGATCGCGCCACTGCACTTCAACCTGGTGACAGAGCCAGACTCTGTATCTTAAAAAAAAAAAAAAAAAAAGCCATTTTAAGATTTCTTCTGCATTTTTGCTTCACACTGGTGCTTCCCCAGTTTACACACACAATCCTAGTTCTGTAACTTCCGGCAGCTGTGAAGGTAGCTTGCTCTGCACAGCCAAAGCCTATCTCCGTGTGTGCAGCAGCCAGGCCCTGGAGACTCACACACAGGAAGAAAGGGCTGGAAAGGAATGCACTAACCAACATGGGTGCTGAGAATTCTCATCGCTGCCCTCCTGAACTCACTACCTACAGACCACTCATGGTAGAGAGACCTCTCAGGATGGCACCAGGCTCAACTCACAAGGAGCCCAGGCTGCCACAGATTTAATTAGAGGGACATGGAATATAAACACTTGAAATCTGTCTTCATTTTCCAAGAGAACACCAGCTACTCATAATCACAATTAGTGTGGTTTCTACATTGGCTGAGCTCCCGACCCACCATTCCAACCTGGCTGCTAATTGAATCCAGAATTTTGATCTTCCTTTTTCTTCAGTGTATGCTATACATAAGCACAAAACTAATCTGCGCCTACTGTTTTCATCACATTCCTCTTCTGCTCCAAAAGGTTGCTATGTTCTTATTGTAAAGACCAATACTACTGGGTTTTAAACACTGAGTATTTCAGTTGTCTGCACTCTAGGTACCTCCTAAAGCCTACCTAACCCTATGCCTACCCATGCTGAGTCCCACGTGAACACTCCAGCAGCAGCCTGGCAGGGCACCTCATTAATTCTAGGAAGTGTTGGCTCATGCAAAGGTCAAGTTCATTTCATGTTTTACCCTGCCTGGAGTATCTCCCTCCTGTCATCTATTAAAAAGTAAAGAAACAAACAAACAAAAACTCAGCTATCAGGCTCACTTCAAGTCAAACTTCCTTCTTGAGACTGTTTATGATGGTGACACCTTCAACCCTCCCCTCCTTCTTTGGTGGGTAGTGTTAAAAATCCTCACTTCACGCCTGTAATCCCAGCACTTCGGGAGGCCGAGGTGGGCAGATCACGAGGTCAGGAGATCGAGACCATCCTAGCTAACACGGTGAAACCCCGTCTCTACTAAAAATACAAAAAATTAGCCAGGAGTGGTGGTGGGTGCCTGTAGTCCCAGCTACTCAGGAGGCTGAGGCAGGAGAATTGCTTGAACCTGGGGGGCGGAGGTTGCAGTGAGCTGAGATCGTATCACTGCACTTCAGCCTGGGCAACAGAGTGAGACTCTGTCTCAAAAAAAAAAAAAAAAAAAGAAATTACTCACTTAACAGACTTTATAACATTTTATTATATAAGTCTGTATCTTTCCTTTGCAACAAGATTTTTAATTTCTTAAGGATAGCAACCATGCTTTCATTGCTCCAGACAGTATTTCAATAAGTATTTGCTGACACAGTATCTTTTCTGCTTCCATTGGAGGCAAAACAAGAATGCTGGAAAGTTAATTGCAGAAGGTCAGAATGAGATGATATAAAAAAAATTATTGAGTATTGAGAATTGTAGACAGTTGAGGCCATAGATACTTCTTTTAAGAGGGAAATTAAAATTACAAAGACATTATAATTACCTGAGTGTCATGAAACAAGCCTCAGCTTAGAAAAATTATTAAAGAGAATTGTATGATTTTAGGATTATATTATTCCTTCATTTGTAACAGAAAAGATTTTCAAGATGGCTAGAAACTAAAGTCTGATAATATTTAATTATAAGACTACAAATATATATTGGGTACATACTACAATATTAACTAATCACTCACTAGATGCAAAATTCTTTGCTGGGTGTTTTGCATATATCATTCCACTTAATTCTTTTTTTGAGATGGAGTCTCGCTCTCCCACCCAGGCTGGAGTGCAGTGGCACAATCTCAGCTCACTGCAACCTCCGACTCCCAGGTTTAAGTGATTCTTGTGCCTCAGCCTCACTAAGCCCGGCCAAGTTTTGTATTTTTAGTAGACATGGGGTTTCACCATGTTGGCCAGGCTGGTCTCGAACTCAAGTGATCCACCCACATCAGCCTCCCACAGTGCTGGGATTACAGGCGTGAGCCACCACACCCAGCCATTCCATTTAATTCTTCTAACAAGCCTATGAGGTGGGCACTAATTTTTTTGTTTTGTTTTGTTTTTTGAGATGGAGTCTTGCTTTGTCTCCCAGGCTGGAGTGCAATGGTACAATCTCAGCTCACTGCAACCTCCGCCTCTTGGGTTCAAACGATTCTCCTGCCTCAGCCTCCTGAGTAGCTGGGATTACAGGTACCCGCCACCATGCCCAGCTAATTTTGTATTTTTAGTAGAGATGGGGTTTTGCAACAGGCCAGGCTGGTCTCAAACTCCTGACCTCAGGTGATCCACCTGCTTCGGCCTCCCAAAGTGCTGGGATTACAGGCATGAGCCACCATGCCAGGCCAAAGTGGGCACTATTATTATGATCTTCTTATATGGATCCTAAGACCTATGGAAGTAGAACAACTCTCAAGGTCACACAACCAGAAGTCAGCAGCACGATGGGTTCAAGTTCAGGTCTATGTGGCTGCAGGGTCTAAGTCACTGCCTGGCATGATGCTATTAGGCTGGCACTGGGCACTGTACATTCTCGACCTAGATATCTACTTCCCAAATAAACAGAATGCTCCTCTGGATCTCAGTCTATAAACTTAGAGAGCAGTTCCAGGTAGAAGGAAGTGATGTCTCAGTTTCCTATTTCCACAGATACAGAATATGGCTTTAAAAAGTCAACTACAATTCTAAAGGAACACAATTTTTTCACAGTTTTGTTTGGTGCCTGAAAATTACGAGTAGGTAAGCAAAGTTAGAGCAACAATATCCACAGAACATGGCCAGTCACGTAAAAAAATGCCTTTGAACACCCAGCAGTTTCTATTCTATTACAGTTCTGAGTTTGCCAGACCCCTAATTGCCAACATTACATAATAAAGTGATAGGACCAATTTTTCTTCAAATTGATTTCGGTTATAGAAAAAAGTCCATATGTCTTTCAGAACAATCCTATTGGATATGAGACTACATTTTAGAAATATATTATTACTATTATTAAAAGTGTGTATTATGTATATGTGTGTGTATAGATAGATAGAAAGCTAGGTAGATAGATAATAGACATAAATATAGATAATTTTGCCTTTGGCTTTAGACCCTAAAAAATATAAAGACAAAACTAATTCTAGAAAAAGAAGTCATGCCAGGAAAATGTCATGCAGTAGCCAAGTCTACAAAAATACTTATATGGAAACACCTAACAGATCCTTGACTCCACCATGGAAGATTCCTTATTTTATTAAAATTCTGATATAAAAACTTCTAGTGAAATGCTTTATGTTAAAAATAACTAGCTTTAGTTCCGCTAAAATATAGATTTGTTGTAAAAGGCATATGTCCTTTTAGGATACAATTTAAGAATACAATTTTTGGAAGCTTGGTATGTCAAAGTCAAACAAACCTACCCTTAGGTAATAGATTTTTGATTATATCAAAATTCAGCTGTCTTGGGAGTCTCATTGCAACTCCCACCTTCCACACAGAAAGAACTCTACCTGGCCCCAGCTATAGAGGTCACAGCCATCGGAGGAAGGAAGCTAACAGCGGGGACTGGGGAGTGAGAGGGGGATGGGAAAGGGGTAGTCCGTCCTGAAACTCTTTTGCCATTTGCCAAAAGGAAGGACAACAGAAATCAGAGGGCATGAGAACATTAATTAGACCATTTTCTCTGGCTGGTTGCAAAGACTGAAGCTAAGAAAAAAAAATCAAGCTATAAATGACAAAACCATCCTGAAGATTGCACGGCCTCTGGCTTTAATTTAGAGGGAGGAGCGAGGAAAGGAAAGATGAGAATTAGTGAAAAAGGTACAGATATGTGTTTTCTAAATTAAGAAAATCTCTTAGTTTTCTTCTACATGAATAATGTATATTCAAATATTTTAGTAGGGACATTTTTATTTTTAAAAGACAATTGTGCTTTCCTCCCTATCCAAAACCCACCTAGATCCTCAGACTTAGAGCTCCGGGCTGTGTTCTTTTTCTGCCACCTGGTGGAGCACGCACACCGGTGACAGTGATGACCAAGGGGTCACGAAGCTCCAGGCCTACGGAGATACCGCTCAGAGATCCACTGTCTCATTAAGACAAATAAGACTCTGACAATATTTGCAATGAATTAATTGGCTAATTTCTCATCAATGGCCTTATGACAAAGAGGAAGAATTGAGCAGGTTGAGCAACGCCGCTTCAGGGGCGCTGTGTTCAGTGACATGGTGACAGGGTGGGACACTGACTTTGGCACCCCCAGAGGTTGTTTTCCAATAAATGTACTTGCTACATCTTTCAATCCTATAAGAACCCTAGGAAGAGAAAGTAGTATGTCACTAAAAAATCTCATCTTTATAGCTATCACGTTTGTTCTCTGCATTGTGACCTTTGAATTAATCCCAATTGTTGTTTTTGTTTTTGTTTGACAGAGTCTCACTCTGTCACCTAGGCTGGAGTGCAGTGGTGCAATCTCAGCTCACTGCAACCTCTAGCCTCCCAGGTTCAAGCGATTCTCCTGCCTCAGCCTCCTGAGTAGCTGGGACTAGAGGTGTGCACCACCATGCCTGGCTAATTTTTGTATTTTTAGTAGAGATGGGGTTTCACCATGTTGGCTAGGCTGGTCTCAAACTCCTGACCTCAAGTGATCTGCCCACCTTGGCCTCCCGGAGTGTTGGG